>NC_000001.11:115008380-115311410 GCF_000001405.40 Homo sapiens | reverse complement strand
AAAGCATCAGAGGTGCTGTCTGTTTACTGAGCATACATTTAAGAGCCACTCAGCATATGTAAATCAAATAAATGTGCATAAGATCTGGATGACAACTCCAAGTTTAAATCTGAAATTTATGAAGGGAAGAGTGGGAGTGGGAGAAGTCTCTCCTGGTTGAAAGCCACTGATGATAAAAGAACTCCTGCTGACTAAAGTCAGTTTTAAGACTAATGATAAATGAATTTTCAGTTTTGTGGATTATCAGTTAGTATGTTCCCAGAGAATGAAAATCAATGCTTTTTGTGCTTTGGAACTAGATAAATCTTCTTCTTTCTAGCCTATGTGGCTTGGGACAAGTTATCTAGCCTCTCAGTCTCAACTCCCTTGTTTGCCCAAAATAGAATACCTACTTTGCATGTGGCCTCAAGCGTAAGTGAGCCATACACTGAAAAGCTTCTAGTATAATGCCTGGCAAGTACCAGGCATGTATTAAATATCTGTGGTCCCCTTCCTCCTCCTCCTCCCACTCCGCCTGTTACTCCTCCCATGACCCCTCCCCACACCCCACACCCCTTGCCCCAATGCCTGGGATAAACACAACCAATATATATGCTTGCTGGATTCTTTCCTATTTTTCTTTCCATAGCACAGATAATCAAAAGCTGTCATATATACAAACCTTATGTGAGCTTTGGAGAACAGAACAGCCTGAGTCAACAATAAATAAAGGAGAATCTGAGTTCTCAACCCTTAGCATTTCATGCCCAAGAACTTCCAATTACAGGGAATATGTCCACACACATTGGACAAATTTATCAGTTTATTATTCTCTGTCCAACATGGTAAGACTGTAACTTGACCAAACATAGGGCCTGCTCACGGGTTGACCATGTTTCTTACCCACACCCCCAAGCCATCCAATAGACCTGGTTTCTTTCTCAGCAACACTGACTGGAGCAACACTGATTGCCCCTGAAAAGGCCCAGGCTCAGCACCATGGTGGGAACAGTAACATGAAAATGTATCTGGTATAGTCCTAAACCTGAAGGATTTACAGAAAGGACACATGGAAGGGCTTATGGACCTTATGTTCATTATAAAGGCATTATAACAACATTACCAGCCATTTGGAAATTGGGAAAGAGAGGAAGGAGATCACCCAAAGTTCTAGCACTCAATACAACTGTTTTCATTTTACATATTTACTTCCAGGCCTGGTTCCCACATACATGTGATTTCCCTTGGCTGCAACAATTTCATGCGTATTCTCCTTAATCTCTTTTGCCCCCATACTGCACTAGATCACAGCATTGTCCTTGATTCTTACTGTCTTCACAGTTTTCATATTTAATGACTGCATAGAAATTCTTGCAGAAGATTTTCCACAAAGCAACTAATTAATTATCCCTTTATTGAGGAACACTTGGTTTCTGACTTTGCAATTATAAATCATTTAGTAGCAGGAAAAAAGTCATACACATAGCTTTTTCCTTCTCAGGACATTTTCTTAGGATAAAACCTCAAAAGTGAGATTAGTAGGTTAAAAACAATGGGCATTTCTACAGTTTTAAGTATAATATTGTCAAATTATTTTAAAATACATGATTCTGTTTACAAAAGCTATCCATAGTTTGCTGAGAATGATGGTTTTCAGCTTCATCTATGTCCCTGCAAAGGAACATGAACTCATCCTTTTTTATGGCTGCATAGTATTCCATGGTGTATATGTGCCACATTTTCTTTATCTAGTCTGTCATTGATGTTCTCACTCATAAGTGGGAGTTGAACAAGGAGGACACATGGACACAGGGAGGGGAACATCACACACCAGGGCCTTTCAGGGAGTCAGGAGCCAGGGGAGGGATAGCATTAGGAGAAATACCTAATGTAGGTGACAGGTTGATGGGTGCAGCAAACCACCATGGCACGTGTATACCTATGTAACAAAACTGCCATTCTGCACATGTACCCCAGAACTTAAAGTATAATAATAATTTTAAAAGCTATTCATAGTTTATTTCAAAATATTTATAAAATATAGAACGGTATAAAGAATAAAACAAAAATCACCCATAATCTCCTAATTCAACTACTGCTAATACATATTATATTTCCTTCTAGTCTTTATTCCCCTGTGTCTGTATTTAATATATGCATCTATTTAAAAGTAGTTTTATTCTCATATTACCAAGTCCTGGCTTGCTAAATAAGCAGGTACTAGACTGCCCTAAGGCAGTCAGATGAGTAATTCTAACCAGCATAACAAAGGGGTCTTATTAGAGTGCAAAGAATGGCTCAAAGGCTACCTTATTGCTTCAGGTATCCCAGCAGCCTTCTCCACGTCATTCTGCTAAAGATCACCTATCTTCCCTCCTTGCCAATAGGACTGTCTAGCATTCCTGTTAAATGGAGCCTAACTGATCACATACAGGGGCTGCATTCTAAAATCAATGTCTGAAAGGCCTTTGAACTATAACCAAATTTACCTTTTAAAAACACAAATCTTTAACACCAATATCATGCAGAATGAAAGTTGAATGGGAACCAACTCTGACTGATGAATGGTATATTCAAGTCTCAGCCTCACATACTCATTTGTGGAATGACACTAAGAATCACCCTTACTCTTTAAGTGCTTCTTCATTTTCACTCTTTCTTTCTCTCACTTTGTCTTCTTTCCTCCCTTCTTTCCTTTCTTCTTTACCTCCTTCATTGCTTCCTTTTTCTCTCTTTTTATTTTTTTCTGATTACATATAATTGAATCTACACAAGTTTAATCCTCTTATAACAAAAGGCCATGACAGTCATTCATACTGAATTGAACACTGCTCATGACAGAGAATTCCACCACAACAGGCAGCCCATTTTTTTTAGTTGAATATCATTAGAAACCTCATGTTGAAGTAGCACTTGCCTCTCTTCCAGTTCTGCCCATTGTGTTTCCTGTAATGACGGAGAGCAGCTCTTCTCAGACTCCCTGTGAAAGCCTTCCTGAAGTTCTAACATCCCTACTTCATCCAACCCATTTTTGTTATGGTGTGGTTTTTCAGGTGCCTCACCTTCCTGGTTTGCCTTTAACACCTGCCACTCTGGGAAGAGAATGACTGTGGGTCTTGGGCAGAGCCTATAGCCTTCATCAGCCTGTTCACTGACCAACTGCACAGCAGTGACAGGGGCATGGCAGTGGCACAGAGGAATAGTGGAAGCACATCCCTGAGACAGCCTCTCTGCAGCCCCAGCTCCAGCAGCCTGCATCCCAGATTTATGGATGGTACCTGGTAAAGCAATGATGCAAACTCAATGTGAAATCCAAGTACATCATCATCTATCTCTGTATTTGGTTTGGGGTTTTATTAATGACAGAGAATGTGATTAAACAAAGTTTATACTGTAACTAACTCCAGCTGGATCCAAGCATCAATGGGAAACCCCAATTCCCCTAATGTTGTCCTTGTGTCCTTTCTACTCACAATTTCTTTTCCAAGGCATTTTCTCTGAATCTGATAATGGTGAGGTCATACAATCTCATTTATTTTAAGAGACAGTCTGGCACACCCAGCCCAGTGGCCCTGCAATGAAGGACTTTTGTGTTGGAGATGCTGTGAGCCTTTGGAAATGGCCTTATCCTAACCTATGAGATGAAATCACTGTATCATTCTGCCAAGGCAATGTTATCACTGGGTTTGAGCTTATATTTGAAATGTTTCCAGCAGAAATCATATTCTAATAGACTAAATTGAAACATCAGCATGAATAATCTTGTAGGACTACCAGAAGCCAGTTCAGTGAAATCTGGGTTCTTTTGGTAGAGTTGTTGCTTATTATAAAATGGCTATGATTACCTATTCCTTGGACTTTTTCTCTAGGGAAATTCAGGAATCACATCTCACCAGCACAAGCTGAGTACTGTAAGTCTGCTTGTGATTTGTGCAGTGATTTCTTCCTCCTCACCAGAGCTGAGGTTGAGATTATCTTCAAAGTCTTTTCTCAGTCTCTGTCTCTTTCTCTGGTCTTTCTCTCAGCTTCACTCTCTCTTGCTGACATTGCTCCTTTGCCCTCTGGATCTCCCTCCACACCCTCCGTTGCTTTCTCCACTCCCCTCTGTTGTTTTCCTGCTTCCCCCACTTCTCATTTACTCTTTGCTCTCATTCTCTTACTCCCCTCCTCTCTCAATTGTATCCCACTATAGCTCCAATGTTCTCTTCCTACTATTTCAGTTTTCCTCTACAAATAGCATCAGGTTTCCTAAGGGTAAGACAAATCCCAGCTCACTTAGTTTGTTCCAGTGCCTATAGGTTTTGGGGTGGTCTCATTCCATCTGTTCAGGACTCATCCATTCATGCCACCACACTCAACAAGCTCCAAGCTGATGGAAAATGACACAGCCATTTCTCCCTCTGTCCCTGACCTGGGCTTAGCCCCAGGATGGCTCCTAACGGGAATCAGCAGATCCAGCATCAGGGCCAGGGCCATCAATCATCGGTACCAATATTGTCAGATACCCCATAGTGCCCAGTGGTGATAGGGCCAAACTGCATAATTAATGGCCATGGTGTGCCCTTCTGATGTGTCTGCAAAATGTCACTGTTACCCTGTAGGTGACAGCCATTGTTCACTGATGAAGAGCCTTCCTCTAATTTGCACCATCATACTCACTATTCTTGAGAAGCTAAAAGAAGATGGTGGCTTTATCTCTTTTAAAGAGAGTTTCTAGAGGCAATGGGCTGGTGGGCTAGAGCAACTTCCAGAGTTGCACCCAGTGCTTGCAATGAAAACCACCAATTTGCTGTATACATAGCAACATAATTCCTAATATTAAGCTATCTACTCAACTCACTATGGCAAATCAGAAGATGGTTCTTTCTCTTCTGGCTATGTTTTTTGTAGTGTGAGATTTTTATTATTCTAGAAAGAGACCATTTCACCTGCTAAAAATGAAAGCAAATGTCTTGCCTAAAACAAACAAACAACATACCACTGATGGTAACTCAACCTCTTCTTTTTTGCCTTGTGATTTACTTCTGTTATATGAAGCACTCACTGCTGAGAGCATGAAGCCTGGACAATTGAATCCTGATTGAGCAACTCACATGAATTCTGGGAAATAAAGTCAACAATTCACAAATTGAATCCACTTCTGAATGTTCATCCACCAAGGACTCTTGACATTCGATCTCTTTGCATTTCTGCTCAATGTTTATTGCTTTCCACTCGTCCCTCAAACCATAGTCTTTGCTTGGTAATTTCTTGTTTTAGAAAGTGACAAACAGACCAAGCAGAGAAAACACTGTATGTTTTGGACTAAAAATGAAATCATTAGGGTAAGTTTCTATTCTTGTCGACTGGAATTTTACTCTAGTTTTGTTTAAGCTCAACAAAGATATTATATTTGATGCTTTCCTGTAAATGTATGAGATGGTTTGCTATTGCATGTCCATGAATGGAAATATTAACAGTTTCCATTTGGCTCCATCGGCCTCTGGCTTGGTATTCACACCCAAAAAACCAATCAACAGAGAATCACATCCTCAGCCCAGAGTGAATAGTTTCTGTCTTGCCTGCAGTTTTTCTTCACAGTCTCAGAATTAAGAGTAAGTCTTATCCAAAATGCATAAAATTAAATAGAATAGCCACATTCTATTTCTATAAATTTCTCAGTAAGGAACAACTTCACATTTCTAAGCATCTATCTTTCATGGCTACATTTCTATCAGATTAGTGGGTCCTTCCAAAATCTCTTCCTTGGTGGTTAGATTACTTCATGAGGAGGGAGCTCCCTCAAGGGTATAAACAAAGAGAATGTCATGACAGATAAGTAGAGAAGCCAAGATATTTTACAAACTCAAAAGGGTGTGCTGATTTTTTAAAAGCAATCAGGTATGTTCAAGCATAGAAGATGCACAGAATCCCACCTATACATTATCCATATCATGGAAGCGGAAATCAACACTCAGAACAAAACCCAGAGGGTGGAACTGTTGCTCCCTTGAATTGATCAGTTTTTTGAGCAGTGCAGAGTAGGGTTAAAAAGGAGTGAATTGCAGAGCAAGGGACCTGGGCTGTTGTCCATCATGCCACCCACTCAACAGTGTGACCTTCTACTTCCCCACAGCACTACTGAGGTAAAGTTTCCTTATCTGTCAAATGAAGAGGATACTAACCTCAAAAGATTTTTAATGAGTATTTTAAAAGGAAACAAATATATATAAAGTGCTAGTATAGTGTCTGGTACATAATACATAATACATGTTATTGAGTATTAGTGGTAGTAGTTGTATTCTTTTCTAACCCACAGTTTATGCTAATGGACTAATTAACATATTTTAACACACAATATTATATTACATTTAATTTCATACATAAAATATAGGTCATTCTATCCTTATTAATACTTCTATTACAGCCTAAGGTGGAGGCCGAAGAGGACTCTTGGGGATTTCTATCCTATCCCTGCCTTTTCTTCCCACAAACCCAAACTCAAACTCACAATTTTGGCATACTTACCCTAGTGACCCAGCAGTCACTAGGAGCTCCCCACTCAGTCTGAACCAGTGGCTGAGGAAAAAAGAAGCTGTCTAGGCCTCCTCCTCAGACAGCTGTCCTGCCACTTCTCCCGCTGGGGTGGAAGGGCCAGGAGACAGCTATGCTCAGGGCCTGGCCTTTAACTCCCAGAACTCCTCTCTTACAAGTGGGAGTCGTTGCTGCCATGGAATTGGACTAGCCAGAGGGGTGCCTCCTTCTGGAGGCTGAGAGGAGAGGTCAGAAAGGGTGTTCCCTTCTTTTGGAGGCCTAAGCACAAAGTCCACTTGTCTTCAGATGTGAAGAAATTGAAAAACTCAACATGGTCTGCAAAAATTGTGCACCTACCTTTAATAGATTGCATCAGGCAAATGGAAGAGCCTGCCTCATTTTGGAGGACGAAGGTACATAATTCCTTACCTGGTTTTAAAAATATGGCCAGGCGCAGTGGCTCACACCTGTAATCCCATCAATTTGGGAGGCCGAGGTGGGCGGATCACCTGAGGTCAGCAGTTCGAGACCAGCCTGGCCAACATGGTGAAACCTCATCTCTACTAAAAATACAAAAAAAAAAAAAAAATTAGCCAAGCATGGTGGTGCGCTCCTGTAATCCCAGCTACTCAGGAGGCTGAGGCAGGAGAATTGCTTGAACCCAGGAGGTGGAGGTTGCAGTGAACTGAGATCATGCCACTGCACTACAGCCTGGGCAAAAACTACATCTCGAAAAAAAAATACTTGTGTGTGTATGTGCACCTATCTATATATAAATGTTCTTGTGACCATTACAGGTATTGCTCTTTTGAGATAATTCTAAGATTTATCAAGGTCTAAACTGAAAAATTTTATAACCAACATTATTGGAAACACAAAGCTGACAAAAGAAAAGAAAAATCTCAGGAGAAAGAAAGGAAAAAAACAGCCCCAGAATGAGTGCTAGAAAATAGTATAATGAAATATATGGGGAATCAGGAATATTGATTTCTAGACCCCACTCTATTCACCACTCAGTTGGAGGTTATATGGACCTACACAATTCATTTAACTACTCCATAAGAGACTAAATGACCTCAAGGCTCAGCTATCTTCTGCCTCTGGTGATTCTACTGATGGCCTATGAGGAGGTCTTGGAGAACATTGGTCAAACTTCCATGACTCCAAAGTTCTTTAACCCTTTGGAAGTGATGGGGATGATGATGATGGTGATGATGGTGGTGATCATGATGATGATGTTAGTAATAGTAATGGCAGTGTTGATGGTGGGGATGGTAATCATGGCAATATGTTGGAAGTGGTAATGCTGGTGGTGGTGGTAGGATGTTGGTGGTGAGGAAGTGTTGGGGAGGATGGTGATGATGATGATGACGGAGGAGGTGGTAGTGGTGATGGTGATGGAGAAAGTAGTGGTGATGGTGATGGAGAAAGTAGTGGTGATGATGGTGATGGAGAAAGTAGTGGTGATGATGGTGTTGGAGGAGGTGATGGTAGTGATGGTAATGGAAGAAGTGGAGGCAGTGGTGGCGGTAGGGGTGGTGGTGGTTGTTGAAGATAATGCTGCCATGCTCTATGGATCTAAATTCTATACTTGACCTATCTAAACGCTGTGATAGATTTCAGAAGTGAGCAGAGAGGGAGAGCACTTAGGTCCTGGGACTTAATGAACACAGGTGCACAGAGAGCATTGGTACTGGTCTCTGCCCATAAACATCACATGTGCCTTTTGAAGTGATTCTTCTGTTTGGGACAGTGCAGGCAAAACATACATGCTCAGGCAGATACACAGTGTTCTACTGGTTGTGAAATTTTTGGTGTTTGTTTGTTGGGGTTTTTTATTTCTTAAATTTTAATTTATTTTTGTTTTTTATTCCTCCAAAGTTTGAAGCCTTATTTTGAGAATACAGGAATCAGGTCTGTGGAAAGAAGGAAAAGTTGAAATAGCTAAAAAGAAAGCAGGGCTGAAAGTGGTGGACACAGATGAGGGGACACAATACAGGGAGATGACAAAGGGGAAAAGCATCCTCACACACACGAGACCAAACTGTGGTTTAGGCAGAGCTTAAAAGTAACTGCCAATGCACAACCACACAGGATAGGTACGTGGCCCTGGGACAAAAGGTGAGAGCTGGAGCCAGGCCTGGTGGCTGCGGCACAGAGGGAGCTGTGGCAGTCAGTCTAGCGCCCACCTTCCCGGGGACAAAAGGCGACACTCTCTAGACCAGACAAGGCAGAAAGAGTCCCTGGAGGGCCTTTGAGGTGCAGCTTCCTTTACAGACAGAGGCCTGCTGCCAGAAACTCGGCTGATTCACAAAGAAAGAAGTGAAATGCTAACAAATGGTTTCCATTATCACCGTGCAGTCTCCACCCTCATTCTGTATGTGTGCTGTGTTTTTTTCTTTCTTTTTTTCATCTTTTCATGGGTTGTAACTAAACAATGAGGTGATTGCCATCCCAGTGGATTGCACAACATAACCAGCGGCTGGGCTGGAGCATAGCCTTCTCCAAGGAAATTCTGGACAAGAAAAATGAACAAGCTGGAAGTAAGGAGGATGTCTGTTTTGCACAACACCTATGTACACTTTTAGTGCTCATAAAGAAGGTGGAACGAGGGTCTTAGATTCTTAGTTCCTCTGTGGCGCACCTGTCAGCCCACCAGTGTGGCACTCTCCTTCTTAAATAAAACACTACATAGCCAAAGTGAAAGGGAGGCTCACCCAGTTATCCAAGAAGGTGAATTGGGACCACTTGTTATTTCCCAGTATAACATGAAATAATGATTTACTTGGGTTGAATAAACTGGCGCAGCTGTGGGAAGAGTCTTCAATTCCTTTCAATAAACATTCATTAAGTGCCTACACTGGGACAGCCCCACGGATAGAAATACTCCTAAGACCTCAAGAAGTTAATCCAGCAGATGCCTAAACTTGTCCCAAATCCCTGGATAACCAAGTATAAATTTGATCATGAGGATACCATCCATGTTGTATTCTCCTTGTGATTCACTTTTTCTGCAAGGCAGCAATTACTTAAGCAAAGATGCTATTAACTTTACAGTGCCTGGCAAGTTTTCGTGATAGCTAAACATTGCAGCACCCTGATGAACACAGCCATAGCTGGAGCAGCTTCCTCCCTCTGACTGCGACATGGCTGAAGAAAATGGATATTTCAAAAACAAACGTTTCAGTTTGTTACTCAGCATCTTTGTTGGCAAATGATTGCAGATAATCGCCCCACAGCTGCAGGCTGAGCGTTCTACAATTGCTCAGTTCCACTGAGCATGTGCATGGCCAGCCATTCCAATCACGACTGGGACACAAAGCGGCGATTTCTTCCTGCCAGAGAGGGCCAGATGGGGGCATGGGATGAACAGGAGGCATCACTTTCTCTTCTGCACCCAGATCTGCCAGTAACTAGCTGCCTGATTCTGGCCAAATGTCTTTAATGATATTAATAAGAATAGCTGATATTTATGTAGCACCAACTAGATGCCAGGCACTGTGCTAAATGCTCATTCAATTTAACCCTCTCAATAATCCAATATGGAGGGTATAACGTTTTGATTTTTGAAAGAAGATGTTGAGGGGCAGAGAGGTTAAGTCTCTTGCTAAAGATTGAGAAGTGCGGTGATTGTGTGGTGATTGAGAAGGAAAAATGTCTGCCCTCATCTCTGGAATTTCTAATTACTCACAATGTTCTGGGTCTCTAGAGACAGATGCTCTCTGTGGGTCTCTCGTTAGCTCCAGAGTAAATTTCCCCAATGCAGACTTTTTATTTTGTTCATGTTGTCATTATCAAATCAACCTTAAAAGAAGAAACACTAAAAGACTGGGAATATTCTGAAATATAATTATATGAGAACCAAGTGACTTTAGAAAGGACAGCAGGTTTTCATCTCTCCTGACCTTTCCTCCTGAGATAATGAAAGAGCTAGATGAAACTCCTTAACATAAGCTCGAAAATCCCTGTCAAATAGCCCTTCATTAGAGTTAACCACCCTGATGGCATTCCAGCATTCCCCATAAGTCATATGTGTTACTGCATAATAGGAGCCCATGTGGGACTAAGATAGTTAAAGCCATGCACAGGAAGTAGCTAAAACAGCACAAAGCCCCCTGACAAACACACTCATGGAAGTAAATTCTTCATTTCCAGCTCTTCGCCTCAGGTTACCTAGGATTTGCATGTGCTGCATGCCTGGGCAAAGCTGGGCTGAGTTATCTCTTTCATGCCTTGAGTCAGATTTTCTGGGTGTGAAGTCAGCAGACAAGCCAGGAAATGTCACTGCAGAAGAGCAAGGGAGCTCAAGACGCGATGGCAGCTGTCACTCCAGAGTGGTGTGGAGTGGGACGGTATCTGATGTGTCCTCAGATTCGGTTTCCCTTGGGATGTGTTTGGTGCTGACTGCTTGTGATCCATGTTTTCTTGGATGCAGGTTGGTAGAGGTGCAGCAATTTTTGCAGTGAAACTGAAGTCCAGCTGCTCAAACAGAAATGGCCTCATCTAATGGACACTTTAATGAGTAAGGGTGGCATTTTACTCGAATCCTTACATTCAAGTCCCATGACTCATCCCTTATCCCTCCTTAATTGAAGGATGGACTGCCTGCCTTTTTTAAAGCACTAGAATCCCCTGTGTCAGTTAAGCCAGTATATTTCCTGGTCTTTTTCAGGGCTATGAATCCTTACCTTGTCTTAATTTCTGAAGTTACATCTGAATCGCATTATAGTCTTATGTGTTGTAACATTTCTTGACCTATTGCTTAGAAAACATACCACACACTGAGAGGAAAAGGCTAGCTCAAGAAGAGCCGAGGACATTCAATCCTATAAAGCAAATAGAATAAAGGGCTTGGATCTGAGTGTTAACATTCACTGGCACCGTTTTGTTTTCTTTCACGTGTTCAATCCTAGGTGGTCATTCAAGGTCTGCAGTAGCCTGGAGACTCCATAGGTGCTGTTATGATTACATGCGAACCTTGACTCCATAGGTGCTGTTATGATTATATGAGAACCTGAGAGTCATTGTTCCCAGTACCGCTGTCTGCTATTAGTCCTAAGTATGGGAACAACGGATCAGCGAAAGGCCAAAAGCATCACTGAAATAGATTTTTGTGTGTGTGGTTTAAGGATTAGCCAGTTGGAACCAAGGAGATGTTTTCTTAGGGTCTCAGAAAAGTTTGAAAAATTATTGGATTGTTTTTGGCACTCAAATGTAGATTATAGATGTATTACTAGTATTACTAAGCTGAGGGGCTATACTACAAGGACTATTATTTAGCCCTACATTCTTGCAAAAATATTCTGCCCTCAACTCTGTAACAGAAGGCTGCTGTGTGTTTAGATGTCTTATCTTCCACCACATTAATGTTGTTGTAATTACCCACACTTTGAAAACCTCCCTGGGGTGTGGGCCGTCATACAGCTCATGAATTCCTCCAGTCAGGTGAACATGCAGATTGTGTTTCGCCACACACAATAGAAGGCCACTCTCATTCATAGCAAGTGCCCTTTGATTCTCAAGCTGAGGTCAGCCAACCACAACAACTTCTTCCTACCTACAGCTGTCTGACTCTCTGGGGAAGTGCTAGAAAGGGTTTTGTGGGAAATTTACCCACAAATTTCCCAAAGAGCCATAGGACCATTTCTTTTTTAAGAAAATTGCCAGGGCACTTTAGAATTGTCAGCATTGAAACTTTTCATCAAAAAGAATAGCAATTTCACTGAACCTTAACGTCTTCCTAAGTCCTTGGTACCAGATGTATTATTTTCCTATTGGATGTGCCAAAACCACTAGATAGTTAAACACATCAAATCATCTTGAAATGGCCAAAGTTGATTTTTCCCTCAAAAAAGAGCTCCTTCTCAGCAAACCTCATATTATATTTCATACTAGAAAAGATTTCAAATTCCTTTTCCTGTTGTGCACAGACTCAGGGTAAGGACTAACAGAGAGATGGGAGAATTGAGGGGAATGGCTACAGCCAGGAAGATCACAGTAGTCACACCAACAACTATTCTTATTTCCTCAACAACACATCCTTAATCTAAGACATTCCTAGTGAGTTTCCCTACTCACAGAGCTCTCCTGGGTGGAAACTAGGAGAAAGGGGGCTGTGGCTGCCCTGGCATCTTCAATGTAGTGATCGATTTGGCTATTACCAAATAGTGGGTTGGCCTATCATTAAGTCCAAGGACCATGTGCTGAAATTTTTAACACCAAAGATTTAGGGACACTTGGCCAAAAAGACCTCTGGGACCAGTCCTCCCATGTGCTCCAAAGCAATGGCTAGTCCCAAGAGCAGCTTGCACTACATCAAAGATACCAGGGCAGCCGCAGCCCCCTTTCTCCTAGTTTCTGCCCAGGAGAGCTCTGTGAGTAGGGAAACTCACTAGGAATGCCTTGGATTAAGGACATGTTGTTGAGGGTATAAGAATGATTGTTGGTGTGATTGCTATGATCTTCCTGGCTGTAACTATTCCCCTGAATCCCCTCTCTCTGTTAGTCCTTACTCGGAGTCTGTCCACAATGGGAAAAGGAATTTGAAATCTTTTCTAGTATGGAATGCAACCATGAGGTTTGCTGACTAAGAGTTCTTTTGGGGGGAAAAAATCAACTTTGGCCATTTTGAGATGATTTGATGTGCTTGGTAATGGCCTTAATAATGGTCAATAATGGGCATTGCCAGAGAACATTTTAAGTGGCATGCAAGGAGTAAAACAAACAAAAACCTTCCAATTCACAAATGTCAATTATATCTAGACAACTGGGCGTGGGTCAGGCAGGAGAGACAGGGACAACATTCCCCAGAGGGTTTGTCAACTATATTTTCAGACCTTCTTGTGGCTTATAATGTGACCACACCTGAACTTTATGTTTTCTGAGATGTATTAATTTATTGATAATCTCTCTTAATTACTAGCTTATCAAAAACAATTCCAAGCTTCCCATTCACCCTGTGCACCTAGGGCTCCCAGCCCTGGCTTTATATTGGGATCACCTAGGGAGCTTTACAAATTCCTGATGCCCAGGCAGCACTCCAGGTCAATGAAATCAGAATCTCTGAAGGTGAGACACAGGCAGCAGGAGTGTGGAAAGCTTCCCAGAAGATTCCAAGCTACAACCAAAGTTGAGAACCACTGCTACAGAGGATTCAGGGACAGTAGAAAGGGGGAGCCAGTGAGGTAGACAGAATGTCCCACAAATTCTGAGTGTGGAGGGATTAGGGGGATGGTGATTGACAGAGTTATCAGGTTTCAATAGCTGTGGCTAAGGCCCATTAGTCCTTGAAAAACGATCAGCAGAGGCACAGTTTCCTTAAACTATGCATTGATTGAATTTTGAACAGTTCGCCATTAATCAAGTTTCATGGCTGAAATTGATCAAAATATTATTGATTAACCTCAGGGGTCTTAAAAAGAACCCTCTCTCCTCTAGCTCTACCAGGCTCGGGGTTGGTTGGACATGGGTTCTGAGATGATAAGTCCTAGGAGTATGGTCCAGAAGAGGGAAGAAGCCCACAACATAACTTTGGCTGTTATATGGAAAGTTACATTCAAGCAGGTGGTCTACAGCAGTGGACTGGCTCTGGGTTGGCGCTTTGTCTTTGCACTGGATACTTCACCCCATGAGGAGGAACAAGGTGGAAGCCCTAAAGCAATGGTTCTTAAACTTATGTGACTATCAGAATCACCTGCAGAGCTGGTTAAACCGCAGATTGTTGTGTTTCATTCCCAGTTTCTGATTCAGTAGGTTTGTGGTAAAACCCAAGAATTTGCATTTCTAACATGTTCTAAGATATTACTAAAATACTACTATGGAATCACACTTTGAGAACCACTGCTTTAAAGCATGAAACCCAGGACAGGACAAGCTCTAGAAGAAGTACATCAGACTTTATTAGGATTCCTTTGTGCCCTGTAAGAAAGAATAGAACATGATCCTTAAATGAGCTGGGATTTATTTCCATGCATTTATCAAAAGTGTGAGAGCTGATTTCTGTTTAAGTGATTACCCTATGAAAACAGACAGGGTTTTAAAAATAGATATGCATTTGGGTTGTTTGTCCCAATGCCTTTGCATTAGAAATTTGTAATATTTAAATTGGATTTAATTTTAGAGCCTCAACCTTCATCAGCATGAGACTAAAAACAATGACAACAATATCTATAAAAATCATTTAGAGTTTCATTATTGTGGACAGAGAATTTCTCTCTGCAGTAGTAAACTGCTTATATCAACACAGAATAAGACAAGGCCAAAGGCATAGGAAATGCTGGACAGAGTTTCAAATATAGCAATCAGACATCCAGATGAGATTGGCAGGAGACCCTGGCCCTGGCATGCACCAAGGTGACTTGGTCCAGAAATTGCAGATACAGAGCCAGGGAATCTATTGTGGTTGGCTTATAGTAGACACCCGAAGAATGCAGATCTTCCTAGGAATTGTGGAATTTTTTATTTAAACCAAACTTCCCTCTTCTTCTAGTCATCCAAATTGGAGGCCATCCTAGCTTGTAGTGGAATATCCAGAATATTTCCTGAGAAAGTCACTATTACTTCTCTGGTTGCTCCACTGATTAAAAGCGGAGGCTTTTTGTGTCCTATAGGAAGACGTTCAGTGGGCAGGCCCCAGAAGTGGGTACTGCAAGTCTATTAGCACCTCCTGATGTGTAAGGCCCATTCTATACTCCTCTCCCCTCCCCTACTCCTCTTGCAATGCATGGTGGACCTCCACCCAGTTCTTGAACTCTGGGGCCTTTCCTTCCCTTCTTCCCTAATGAGCTCCTATTCATCCTTAAGAACCCTGCTCAGATGTTACCTCCTCTATGAACATGTCTCTAACTAGTCTGGCCAGATAAAACCAATTTCTCCTTCCACTGTGTTTTCATATCATGTCACATATACATCATACTTATCACACTGTACTTTAAATGTTTATTTATATGCATGCCTTTTCCTATCTCTAGATTACTTGCTTTAGGAAGTTAAGTATTATGTCTTATTCTCCTTTGTGTCCCTAGCACCTAACACTTAAAACAGTGGCCAGCACAGGACCTGCAAGTTTAAGTGTTTAATTAATGAAATAAATGAATCCCAATTTTGGGATGAGAGAAAGCACTACTTAAGCATCTAGTAGCAATGCAGCCTGGAAAACATTCAAAGTCACGGAATCTCAGATGATCAGAGCCAAAGGGGACCTTAGCTGTCATCTGTGCCAGCTTCTTATCCTATAGAGGAGAAAGCTCAAAGATGAACTGAATCTCCTTCTATACAGGAGAAAGCTCAGAGTGAACTGAATCAGAATGCAGGTGTGTGGGTTCCAGCCTGCAACCTTTCAGGTTTAGCCAAACACCCAGATGAAGGGTTTATGGACTAGACGAAACCATCTTCCCATGAGTAATGGGACCAGATAATGCCCACCTCTTACCCTGGGGACACGCCATTCTCCCTCTCCCATGCTAACTCCAACCCTGGGAGAGCATGAAAATGTTCTTTGTCACAGAATGTAACCTTTTAAAGAGTGTCTGAGTATGCATTTTCATCACTAGCCTTCAACCCCAATTGAGTATTGAAAGGTTTTTCTGGTACTTTCTGGAGCAAGAAGACTATTTTGAGCAGGATGGGAAAGGAAGAAGAATGGAGACATCCCAGGGCTTAATTTCATGATTTCTAGTAACTTGAAGATCACTTTAGAGGTCCTTGCTACCTCCCCATTCTCCAACTCCTCTTCGTGGTTGGAATTTGGGGAGCGATGGTGGCTTTTCTGACATTTGCTTTCATAGCACAAGCTGAGAGGGAGTTGGATGAAGATATGTGGTGGGGATCCATGCTGGAAAAAGATATCACAGGGAGAAGATTTTTTTGAAGTTGAAGAGAGAATACGGACAGGAAAGTTAAGATGTCATTCTAGAACTTTATTGGGAGGGCATCTCCACCCTACAACAAATTCTGTGATGGACATAATCATTCATTCATTTATCCGTAAATATCACCCTCTTGTTCAAAGCCCTCCACTGCCTTCCTAATATCCTGAGGATAAAACCATAGCTCCTTGCTGTGTCTCTGTAGACCTGGCTCTTCCTGGCTCTCCAGCTCATTTTCTAGGTCTCGTTACTTCATGCTCAGAACCTTTGTCTTGTTTCTAGCTCAGGGCCTTTGCACTTGTTCTTGCTGCCTAGAATGTTCTCTCCCTCATTCCTTCTCATCCTCCAGATCTCAACTTGAAGGCCATCTCCTCAGAGCTCCTCGCTGAGCGTCCTGTCTACAGTGGCCCCTCGATACATCCTGCAGTTGCTCTCTATCATCAGACCCTGTAATTGCCTTCATGGCATATAAAGAATCTGGAGATATCTTGCTTATTTACACAACACTGTAAGCTCCATGAGAGCAGAGGCCTTGTTTGTCTTGTTTACTGCTGCTCAGCACCAAAAACAGTGCCTGGCACATAGTCGGTGCCCAGAAAATATTGTGAATGAATGATGTGCCTACATAGATTACATTATAGAAGTGAGAGGAGAATAGAAAACTTCCATTGTTTCTAGAAACTACAGCCTAAAATTGATTTTTTAAAATTGTATCAGCTCCATAGCTTCCAATCCTAAAATCTGCCTTTCAGTGTGGTACTCTGAGATTCCTGTCTGATTCTGTGAGAGCTCCACATTCTCTCTCAAATGGTCAGTCTGTCTTATTTGTCACCATTACTCATCTGCATTTTTATCAAAGCACCAACTTGCTCTGAATTGTCAGGGATTTTGCGTCTGTATAAGGTATTTTAGGCTGGTTCAGAGTTGGATCTGTTATGTCTGCATGTGTAATGTACTGAACAATTTCTATTTTGATGCCAGATTAGGGATCTGCTGGGGCAAGACTTTGGCATGTGTCTAGAAACACCTGCACTAGGTGCAAGATCAGCCATGGACTGTGTCCAGGCTGAAACCAAAAGGTATGGCGCAAGAGTGAGAGGCAGGTGCCACCACAGGACCATGAGAGGCCAAGCTCCGGTAAATTTTGGTAGCCAAATTCTAGCTCCTTCCTGGGCCTTGATGCTGGTAAAATCCCAGAACTCAAGGAAATGGAATTTGTCCTATTGGCACATGCCTCCCCACTGTGTAGGGCACAGGGAATGTGGTGAGGTACAGTCTAATGCCAGCTCTCCCCCTCCACAGAGTTTTGGCCAGTGGTCGTGCAGTCCAAGGGGCTGGATGGCATGCTGGACCCAAGCTCAGCTCAGCGTCCGGACCCAATAACAGTTTTACCAAGGGAGCAGCTTTCTATCCTGGCCACACTGAGGTAAGTGCCTAAGGGACCTTGGCCTTGCCAAGGTCCTCCCTCTGCAGCTGCCAGAAGCAGGAGTCCCAAGTGACAGGACCTGAGAGGGCAAGTCAGAACCAACTGCTGAGCAGCAGGGGCCTAGAGAAGCTTTCAGTGGTGCAGCAAATGCAGCTCCCCTAGCCCACTCAGGAAAGGAAATCTTTTGTGCATGCAGGTTGGCCCCATGGGCCCCAGGGACATATCAGGAGTCTGAGCTGCATCAAGGGTCTAAAGTTGCCGAACACAGGACCTCGAATAGACAGCGTCAGTCAGACCCTCCACACAACTCTCTGGTCCGACTGAGCAGGGAACTTGCAAAATGGAAGGTTCACAGCCACTCTTTGTGCCCTTCACCAGTGGAGTAGAGGGGTAGGGAAGAGTTCCAAATCTGCACACAGGAGGTGTGGCTCCGAGTTCCACTTCTGTTTGCTGTGTACCTGTGATGCAATTACTTAATCTTACTACATCTCTGGTTTCTCATTGTTAAAATAGGAATAATATGGCCAACCTCCCAGGTTTGTGTAATGGTTAATTAGAAAATTATACCCAATAAATAATAATTACTATTATCTCAGCTCATTCATGTCAAGGTATGTCTTTTAGAATTCAGATCAGTAGATTTGGTTCCCATTAATGTATCCAGCACAGCTGCCCTCCGAGAGCCCAGTGACCCCACAGGCGCTGGTACCTGCTAGTGTTTTCTGGTTGCATATTTCTATCATGGGCATTTCAAGTGCTTTTAGATCAAGTCTACACGGTGCCCAGAAACCTAACAAAGCAGATATGAAAACAATTCAATATCTAAATATTCCCTAATATCTGGATTTATGGCATCAGGAAGGTAAAACTTACAATCTGTTGAATGGAATTTTCATTTCGATGTTGGGGGATGAGTATACTCACCCCACCACCTATCAGTTACAGTGTGCATACGGCTTCAGGCCTCTCTCCTCTAAAAGATAGCAAAGCTGAGCTCAAGTCAGGTGTTCACGGACTGGCCCTGCCACTCACTGGCTGCAAAAGCCCAAGTCACTTAGCCTCTCCAAGGCTCATTTTTGTCTTCTACAAAGTTAAAGAATTAGGCTAGACTCGTGGCTCTCAAAATATGGTCCCCAGACCAACAGCATCAGCATCATCTGGAAACTTACTAGAAATGTAGATTCTTAGTGTCCTCCTACCAGACCTACAGAATCGAGCATTCTGGAGATGGGGCCCAGCAGTCTATAGTGTAACAAACTCTCCAGGTGATTCTGATGCCCTGAAGTTTGAGAGCCTCTGGACTTGAATCTCTGATGTACCTTCTAGGCCATGCCTCCTCCCAATAAATCCTGTCCTAACAGAAGCTCTGGATTTTACTCTGTCGATGCCTCTCTCTGTTCAGCCCACCCCAGGACACCTCTGAAGTACCTTGCTGGAGAAATGAGGAGCCACAGAATTCCTCCCACACTCCACACCAGCTCCAACCCCCAAGAGTATTCGAGCCTTTACAACTGAAGACAGCAGCCAGTTAACATTTAGAGTGAAGGCCAAGCGTAAAACAAGAAATGACCCTTGGCCCACTCTCAGAATGTGGCGAATGAGATGGAGGAGGAGGAGGCTGGATTTCCTTGGCCACAAGAATTTCCTCTCTCACCAACTGTTAGTGACCCTGGTTCACGTATCCCATCTCTAGCCCAAGAATCACTCGTGGCTCTTGGCATGGCTGTCTCTAAGACAGGAATTCTCTCACTCCCTTCTACAACACATCTCCCCAGGCATGGTTGCCAAGCCTCCCAGTGCCATCAGCCCTCCTAACCACAAATATTTGGGCCAGTTGCTTAGCTCTGTTCAGCAGCTCCATCACCTATTCAGGTGAGGCCAGAATCTTTGAAGATCATTCACCTCGTGCGAGAAATTTATCCTATTATTGGAGTGTGTGAACCATTGGAAATCCACAGAATGTATCGCTGGTTCAGAAGAGGGCAAGAGGGCAGGGCAGCCCATCAGTGGCTGGTTGTAAAGGCATCCCAATGGGCTGCCCCACTCTTAGTCATGGATCTTCCATTCTAGGTAGGAGTAGGACAATTAAAGAGCATTCTCATATTAAATAGAACATGTTCGTTCATGTGAGCCCCTAACTGCATCCTCCTCAGCTGATCATTCAGCTTGCAGAGCTCTGCTTAATAAAGCCAGACAGAAAGCTGTCATCTGTTCAGGAGAAAGGCTTCAAAGGGTGTTTTTAAAAAATAAATAAATAAAACTTCTCCCCTGGTTCACATCAACCAAAAATAAAAAGAATGTTCTTTTCTAAATGGTGCATTATATCACTAGAATAGAAAATGCACTCAATTTTTCTTTTATCTACTGATCACTTTTAAGAGAGTTTTTTTTTAAACTTAAAAGTTTATAGGAACACACTCTCATGAGTAAATTAAATATTTTTTTAAAAAAACTTTAAACCTAAAATCTAAATGAGAGATATATTTGAGACATTTTCAAGTCTTAATGAAACATTCTGCCTGTGATACAAATCTCCATTGTGATTAAATGTGATACCATTTGGTATCTTGACTGTGAGTGGAAAAGTAGTGTTAGAGTGTAGGAACTTTGTGAAGTCAGTTCAGTCAAACCAGCAGATGCAAGGCAGGGTAGAAAACTTCATAATTACCTGAAATGAAAGAATATAATGGTTGGAAGATACCTTTAACATCATCATGCAGATGGAGAATTAAGGAACACTGGAGGCAGGAGACTTGTCTACATACTCACAGTTTCTTAGAGGAGGAGTTACCTAGGAGTTCTAGGTCACCTGGGGGCAACAAAGATGAGTAGGACACTTTGCTGCCTACAGGGAGTTTGTCCTCTAGAAGGGAGGATAAAAGAATACAACAGCCCTAAGAGAATATAAAGGGAAGGCTTTAAGAGATAGAGAAGGGGCAGGGCGTGGTGGCTTACGCCTATAATCCCAACACTTTGGGAGGCCGAGGGGGCGGATCACGAGATCAGAGATCAAGACCATCCTGGCCAACATGGTGAAACCCCGCCTCTGCAAAAAATAGAAAAATTAGCCAGGCGTGGCGGCGTGTGCCTGTAGTCCCAGCTACTCAGGAGGCTGAGGCAGGAGACTTGTTTGAACCCAGGAGGCAAAGGCTGCAGTGAGCCGAGATCAAGCCACTGCACTTCAGCCTGGGTGACAGAGCGAGACTCCATCTCAAAAAAAAAAAAAAAAAAAAAAAAAAAGATGAGAGAAGGTAGTTTGTCTCAGAATTAGAAAAAGCTCCCCAGGGGAAGCAGCATTGAAGTTGTTGAAGGACAACAGGAAGGATTCCACCAGCAGAGGTGGAGAGCAGAAAAGGCCCTGAGAGGGTAGGGGAGCATACCTGGAAGGGAAGAGTCTGAAAAAGGGCAGTGGTGGGGAAGCTCAAGCAGGAACTGCCCCCAGGAGTTTTGTGCACTCGGAATGCAAACTATGTGAGGGGAGTAGAAGGAGGCAGGATCCCATTGCCAGGCAGAGCAGTCCCTACTGGCTTACAGACAAGGGACTTGGCACCAGCTCCTTTGAGCAGGGTGATATGATCAGAGCAGGCTTTAAGAAGCTAAATGGGGTGGCCAGGGATAGGAGGAATTGGAAGAAGAGAGATGAGGGTCCAGGATATCAGGTGGGAGACTGTTCCCATGACCTGAACTAGGGGCCCAGAGATGAGAATGGAAGATAAAATACAGTTTCAAGATAATGCTACCAAACCAGAACCAAAAGGGCTGGATGGAGGTCAGGGAGGAAAAAGCAGAGGGATAAGCAGAGGTATGGAGCTAGTGGATGAATGAATGATGGTTCCAGTAACAGAAAAAGGAAACTGTGAAGAAGCGTGTTTAGGGAGATGAGGAGAGAGGATCAAGAGAGATGGTAGCTGTGAAACTATCATCAAATGGTCCAAAATGGGGCTGTTGCTATTGTATGCAGAGAAGGAAGATGGGGAGAAGATGATCCTAATTATGATTATGAGTATGAAGATTTTTGTTTTGGATGTCTTGCATTTAAAATGCCAGTATCTATGGAGAATTGCCCTCAGGAAGCAGGAGGGCAGAACTAGCTTCAAAAGACTAGTTGATTCGAGATCCAGGTATGGGAGTCAATTGCACAGAAATTTCGATGGGCTCCTTAGAAGAGGAGGAGCCCACCAAAGGAGAGACCAAGAATGAAGTGGGAACCTCTGGTAATGGGGAATAGGGAGAGGTATGTCCCTTATGTCCATCGAAACCCTTTTATTTAGTTAATTTCATTTTCCTCTTGAAATTCTAGCAAGTGTTACTAATTTGGATATAAGGGAATGAATTTCAGTTTTCTTTCTTCTCCTTTAATGTATCTGATAAGAGATATTATGTACCGAGAAGAACAAAGAAGTGAAACATGAAAAGGAGCAAAAGTAAAAGGTTTAGATTTGCTGCCAACTGAATATTCAGTCCGCTAAGAGTTGACCGGACATTTATCTGCAAGACCATTAGCCAACAGATCTGGTAATGGTCAAAACCCCAGATATGCCATTGCCTCCTTTGCATGGTCAGCTGGAGAACTGGAGCAAACAGAAACATTCTTCAAAGAAACCAAAGAGAAAAGAATTTGGTGATTTCCTTCTTGGTATCTCACCAAAGAGCTGTCTATTTCCAGCTGAATAAAAGCACAGTATGGAGGAGAAGAATGTGTTGCCTTAAAACAGATTAGAAAAGCAGTGTGTAGCCATATGCACAAAGGCCAAAAGAAACCACACACTGTGATGGAAAGAAGGCAGATGGTGAGCTTCTCTTGCCACTCTCATTCATTCTTTCTTTCATTCATTCTCCTTAAATTTTTTGAGTACCTACTACATGCCAGACACGGCAACTGGCCCTGGAAATATTGAAATGCAAATTGTGCAGCTTGCAAAGCCCTCTCAGGGAGACAGACAAGTTAATGATTATCCACAACCCTAGGAGAGGTGATAGGGTTATGCACAAACTGCTGTGGAATACAAGGGATGGAGTGCCCAGATACACAAGTGGATGAGACACGGCTCCACCCTCGAGTATCTCACAGTCAGGGTGAGACAATAAAAATGGCTTTGAAGGAGGTCTGAGAGAGGTAAAACCAGCAGTAGAAAGCACAAAAGACAAAGTCCTTGACCACAAGGAGACAGAAATAACTCATGATTTACACAAATTTTGTGAGAACCTACTTCATCCTAACAACTACTCTGGGAGATAGTGTTTTTTGCCCACCTCCGATCAATGGGAACGCTAAGGCTCTGGGAAATTAAATGGGTTTCTTCTGCTAACAAGTAGTGGAGTAGGAATCCAAACACGATTTTCTAACCCCCAGACCCAATGCAGAGTTCTTGTCATTACACTGATTTAGTAGGAGAGAACACACACACTCACACTCACATGAACACACACATATGCACATACAATTACGCTATTCTGAAGTGCAGAATGGCAAAAGATCATTTTTGATTGGAGTGATCTGAGAAGGCTTCGAGGACTAGGTCGTATCTGTGTGGAAACGGAGCAGAATGACCCATAAGAGTGGGAAGGAGAGATGGGAGAAAGGATAGAATTGGAAGTTTGTAGAGCACTCTTACAAGAGATATTTCTGATCCTACCAGGAAGATCTATGGAAGCTTTACAGAGGAGCTGACGTTTGCTACACATCTACAAGTATGCATAGGAGCTCCGCGGAGGCCAGTGAGAGGCCCTCCAGGAGCAGAACTAATTCCACAATTACTTGACCAAGTTGGGGGATTATTTGTGGGGTAACTGCAGTGCAGTATGGAGTCCTCTTGGGGACAGTTAGAGCCATACCATTTGATCTATAGTCACATAAGAACAAACAATAAAAAGAAAAGACATGCTTAAGAGTGAAAGAGAAAGGGAGGGAGAAAAGAAGGAAGGGTGGATGGAAGGACACTAGCTTAGTAAGGGGTCAACTTTGGATTCTATTTCTGGTTCAGTTTTCATTTGTGACTTCAGTGCTTTAGTGTTAGTTCATTTTCTGTGAATCAGTTTCCTTATATGTGAAATAAATATGATAAATCCTAATTGAACTCACAGACTCATGAGAAGATAGAAGTGAACACATTTTAAAAACATCACACAAAGAGGAACTATTATGTGGTCCACATTTATATATGTGGGGTAGCGTCTGAAGAGGTGCCTGGACTAAGATGGTCCCAGAGCCACAAGGTTTTTGCCAAACATGACGCTTTGTGAATTCATAACAAGGGCTCCGAGTCACCAGATCTTAGAGCTGACCCAGTGCACTGTCTGAAAGGGGGTACCCAGTTCTGAGGCTTCAAGACATGTCCCCAGCAGATCTTCCCCGTGCCTTCCCAGAGGATTCAAAACTGTTGAGCAGGACGGCACCATCACATCAAGGCACAAGTGCCAGGGAGAGATGTTAAACTCTCCCCACCGGCCTCCCTGGTACACACATGGACACTTACCACCTCCCTCAGCCGCCTTAAGCTTCAGAGAACTCAAAGGACTCTGTAAGTGATGTCTCCAAGCTCATATCGAACTACTGGGCAAAATTTCAGGGGCTCTGTCACTTCCTGGAGAAGCTCGGATGGGGTGACCACACATCCATACTGCCTGAGTCAGCCCCGGGTTACGCCTGTTGTCCCGGTATAACCATTGCTAGCACACCCTTTCCCTCTCAGAAGTGCCCCGGTTTGAATGAAACCTCTTCGTGATCCCCTTGGGAGGTCAACTCTGAGGGACCCAGAAACTGCCTTTTGACTGCATTTAGTACTCCATGAAGTCACCCTCATTTCTTTTTCATTCCAGGTGCATAGCGTAATGTCCATGTTGTTCTACACTCTGATCACAGCTTTTCTGATCGGCATACAGGCGGAACCACACTCAGAGAGCAATGTCCCTGCAGGACACACCATCCCCCAAGCCCACTGGACTAAACTTCAGCATTCCCTTGACACTGCCCTTCGCAGAGCCCGCAGCGCCCCGGCAGCGGCGATAGCTGCACGCGTGGCGGGGCAGACCCGCAACATTACTGTGGACCCCAGGCTGTTTAAAAAGCGGCGACTCCGTTCACCCCGTGTGCTGTTTAGCACCCAGCCTCCCCGTGAAGCTGCAGACACTCAGGATCTGGACTTCGAGGTCGGTGGTGCTGCCCCCTTCAACAGGACTCACAGGAGCAAGCGGTCATCATCCCATCCCATCTTCCACAGGGGCGAATTCTCGGTGTGTGACAGTGTCAGCGTGTGGGTTGGGGATAAGACCACCGCCACAGACATCAAGGGCAAGGAGGTGATGGTGTTGGGAGAGGTGAACATTAACAACAGTGTATTCAAACAGTACTTTTTTGAGACCAAGTGCCGGGACCCAAATCCCGTTGACAGCGGGTGCCGGGGCATTGACTCAAAGCACTGGAACTCATATTGTACCACGACTCACACCTTTGTCAAGGCGCTGACCATGGATGGCAAGCAGGCTGCCTGGCGGTTTATCCGGATAGATACGGCCTGTGTGTGTGTGCTCAGCAGGAAGGCTGTGAGAAGAGCCTGACCTGCCGACACGCTCCCTCCCCCTGCCCCTTCTACACTCTCCTGGGCCCCTCCCTACCTCAACCTGTAAATTATTTTAAATTATAAGGACTGCATGGTAATTTATAGTTTATACAGTTTTAAAGAATCATTATTTATTAAATTTTTGGAAGCATCCTGTGTGCTGATGCTGGTTATTTTTTTTGAGTAAAATCATCTGCAAGTCTGAGGAAGATGCAGGGGGAATTGTCTGAAGCACCCCCTGGCTCCTTCTAAGGCCCACCTGTAACCCTTACCCCACCCCCAGCCAGTGCTGCAACTTCAGGAAAGGCTAACTGGTTTCAGATATTAGCCTAAGCCAGGCATGATTAGCAAAGGAAGCCTGCTGGATTGCAACTTTGTTCTACATTCCAGAGCCAAAGCTACCTAATCATTGGATTACCTGCCCACGGCCTGGAAGCATGGGCCCTGGTCTCCTCCCTTGGAGAAGTTAGTGGAGCCTCATCAGGAGGCAGATCACCACTGGGCATGGGGCTGCCCTGGCCTCAGAGGCACAGTCTCAGTCCTGGGGGCACTCGATAGACAGGAAGAGGCTTGTACCAAAGATCTGTGAGCTGCTCATTTGTAGAGGGAGATGTGCTGTCTGGAAGAGTTGTAACAGAGTAATCTCACGAGGCCTGTCAAAGTAGATCTGGTTTCATGTTCAGCTGGCCTTAGTACTCGTTTTATCCCTCAGCAGCCTCCTGCAGAAAGACTTCATTACCCCAAGAAAACATTAGTGCCTCCGACACTCTTGCAACCCACTAACAGCCACAGTAGCAACTTCCAGGGGCCCCACCATCAGCCCACAGCCAGGGAAGCCAGAGACGGGAGAGAACTTCTGAAAATATTTTTATTCTTAATTGGATGATTTCCATAAGTGACCAAAGGTGACTGGGGCCGTGGGACCTGCAGAGAAGAGGGTGGGGCAGAAAGACTAAGTAAATGGAGTAAGAACCAAATAAACCTGGAGATGTGGAGGACAGGTGGGCCGGCAGGAAACCACGGCTTTCTGCTTCTCCCAAACAGGGGAAATGAAACAAGGATGACAAAGAGAAGGCCAGAGGTGGATGTGAAGAAGGGGAGGGGAGGACAGAGCAGGAGGAGGAGGGAGGTGTGATCTCTCATCTTTACCAGCACTCTCCAGCCTCCAGGAAAGTTAGCAACCTGGGTGGTTCTTGTGGGGCTTTTTGGATGTGCTAATAAACACTGACTCCATCCAGAGCATCTTAGGAGTGAAGGTGACAGAGGGACTCCAGGGTTCAGCCTGCAGCAGGGCTCCACCCAGCCTCACACGACCCCCTTCCCCTGCAACTTTCATTTTGTATTTTCCTTGAAGCCACAATATTCCCCCAGACAGAGCACTTATATTAAGACAGAAAATTTCCCCTCCTATCCATCCTGTCTCCCCCCGAGGATGAAATGCCTACACTGGTTTTCAAGAGAACAGGCCCAAATTGTCCATCCGAGAAAAGAGCAAATGGTCTTATTCATTCCCTCTGTAATTCTCGCTGTCCGGCCCCACCTCCAACGCCATCCAAATAGGGCAAATTAGAAACGTAGGGAGCTTTGGCATGAGAGCCATTTGATTAGGGTAGAAGTATGATGAAATGTGCCCTGTTTTTTCTATCAGAGCCACTGCAATTGGAATAAAGGTTTATGCTCAAGAAACACCAGCTAGAACATTCTGTGCTGAGATTCTAAGTGAGATAAAGGCCTCAGGGAGGAGCCCTCCCAGTGATCTGTGTCTGTGACTTTTACTGGGGTCCAATGCCAGTGGTCTCAGCCGTCCTAGGTGCCCCTACAAAGTTTCTGGGTGGCTTTTTTTCTCTTAGGACTGGACTTTGGGCCTGGGATGTGGGGAGAGGAGTGGAGAGGGAGGCCTTCAGGAAGCTCCCCATCAGGAAGGTTGGCTTGTGAGCAGCTACACCAACAAAGAGGGTCCTGGAGTGCTGCCCGCGGCACTGCAAGACACTGGGACATCTAAAAAATGTCTTTGGCTCCCCTGGGCAGCCGAGAGGGAGGACCGTCTGAGGGAGCACGAAGGCTGAGGCCCTCACTTCCATGTGGGCTGCTCTCCTGCGTGTCCGGTAAGAGGAGGGCCCCTCATCCCAGGAACACCACCACCTTCCCAAAGGCAAAATCTGCTCTAGGCGGAAACACTGGAGTCCCAGCGTGGGAGCCAATGTTTTCACACAATATAAGGGATATCAGTTTGGCTGATCGGCGTCGGAGCCTTCCAAAAACAACCCCGCGCCCGGTGGTTTCCGCAGCTTGGGCTCTGCTCCCACACACGGAGGGGAGCCCTGGCTTTCAGACCCACCCGGGCTGCCCCAGAAAGGCTGACCGGGGTCGCCAGGGCCCCAGCCACTTGAACACCAAGAAAACAGCTTCAAACCGCCCACTATACTCTGCTGAGGAGCGGCAGCAGCACATTTTGCAAAATTTTCCTTCCTGTGCCTCACTGAGATTTTTCTGCCTGGGTTCCCCAAAAGCCCAAAAGGTGAGAGCAGATCTGACTCCTCTCGGCAACTTCGTTTGGTGGAAGGCGTCCTCCACCACGCCCAAGAAAACTAGCGCCGGCCCTGGCTGTCCGCCCTCCTAGCAAGGCTCAGGCCCCGGCCTGGGAGACCGCAGGGTGCCTGACTCTGGGGTACACTCAGTTGTCCCTCTGACGCCCTCCAGCAACCAGAGCGCCAGCCTGACCCCTTCCCTGCTAATAGAAAGCCCACCATGGGGACAGAGTTTCAGCAACAACCCAGCAGCTATTTTCATTTCCGTGAATCAGGAGTGTTCCTCCTAAAAGCCTTACCACTTTCTCCTCAGCATCATCCACATCATGGGAGGAGGATCCGCCCAGAGCTGGAATAGAGGACAAAAGGGCACCCGGGTCTCGTGTCCGCCCTGTCCGCTCCTTGGAGGAGAGACAGCTGGGCAAGAGAAGCGGAGCCGAGTGGAAGTGTGGGCTATGGAGAACCCAGGGGCCTGGGAGTCTTTCTCGCACAGGCCTGAACGGAACAGTGGGAGGCAACGGGTGCTCAGAGTTGAGGTCATCAGCCAAACCCAGCTCCGAGGGAGCAGCCCAGTGTCATGGTACAAACTCTGGGCTTGGTGTCAGCAGAGCTGGGTTCTGGCCCCAGCTCCCCCATTTCTATCTGTGAAACTTTGGCAAGCAGCAGTTCCTCTTTGAGCTTGGTTCTTGCAGCTGTGAAATGAAAATAATCATTCCTATATCCCAGAGTTGTGAGCATGAAGCAAAACCAAGTATTTGAAAGCAAACAGTCCAGTCCTATGCAAGTGTTAGGAAAAGTAATTTATTCCAAACTTAACCATTCCTGTGTTGATTATAGGAGAGAAGCAACTATGTTGGTGCTCACTAAATGTTTGTTTATTGGCACATGTATGGATTGGATAAGGGAAACCCTCTGGTCAGTGGACATCATGGAATATAGATGTGGCATAGCCAGGCCATGATAGATAGATAGATAGACAGATAGATAGATGATTGATAGATAGATAGATAGATAGATAGATAGATAGATAGATAGATAGATAGATCAGGCATAGCCTGCTTTTACCAGGAGGTTAAAAGCAAGAATGGCAGCTATTCAGCTTCAGATGCCTGAATCCGGGTTCAGATAGGCCACCTGGATTCTAGTGATTCCAGCATAATGGTAGGCTTTGGAGTCAAACAAGTACTTCTGCTAAGGCTGTGTAACCTTAAGCAAGTTGCTTAACATCTCTGACAATGATATATGGAAACTCTGACGATTTCTTCATCTGTGAAATATGGATGATAATAGTGCTTTTCTCAGAGGGCTGAGAGATCATTTAATGAGATAATACACATAAATATACAAAACTACCTAGCACTTAAGAAGTGTATAATAAATTTTCGTTTTGAAAGGTAGATTAGCTGAGAACCCCTAAAAGGATGTTGGAATAGTGGAACAACTTTCCACAAGGCAAGGAAGATTATGGACAGTTTTATAGATGTATCCTAGGTTTATTCCATGACAAGCAATGCTAATAGTGACCTTAGCGTTTATTAAGAGCTTGGTATGTTCAAGGCATCGCACTAAGCACTTTATGTGGTTTAGCTCAGGTAAGCCTCTGGGTTCTAAGACAAAAGACTATCTTAAGGCAAGTGTCGGGGAAGGCTGTGCTTTCTGCTTATGTGTATCAATGCCAGAGAAGTGCTCCACAGTTCCCTGGGATGTGTTTACTCCCCCAGCTCTTGGTAAGTTTATAAACCATTGGCTCTGAAAGTTTCCATGTGTCAAGCACGTGGGATCTGTTTTGCTCTAATTCACTTGGGTTTGCAACTGAAAAGCTGTTACCTTCCCAAAGTTCACCTGGGTGTGTGAAGATGGCTCAGGGGGTCCAGCGCCAAGAGTAAGTTGGGCAAATCTTCCCTCCACCACAGCAGCCTGCAGAGAATCCCTCCAACCCAGGGATGCTCCTTAAAGTCAAGGATGCAGCACATCTGTGTTTCTTCAGCACCTGGACCCAATCTTGCATGTGGCAGGCAATCAATGTCCTAAGGAAGGGAAGACAGAACTTAGTTTCCATCTTTTTCTCCATCCCCACCATCCACAGCCTATCTCCTCCTATCCCCGCACCTACCTTGTGTTAGCCATAAATGCGTTAATGGTCTCAGTTGAAAACAGGGTCCTCCCTGAGGCATGTGACACATCTGGGTAATTTTCAGAGGCTGGTATCAAGAGCAAGATCAGACCATCAGGGATAAAGCCTGGCCTCACCCATAGCTTGGCTGAGTGACACTGGACAAATTACTTCTCTCTCTGCACTGCAGTTTTCTTACATGTAAAATGTAGGTGAAAATAAGAGAACCTACTTCATTGTATTGTAAGGCATTTGGTCCAATGTTTGGTACATAATAAATCATTGTATATGAAACATATGTAAATATACAGTACACACAGCTACATATACATATATGCACAGAAATAGACACAATATACAAACATACACACACAAGGATAGTGTGTGTGCTTATGTGTGTGTGTATATGTGTGAATAACCCCTGGAAGCTAAGAAGCAGCCAAGAAGTGCACATTCTACACTCACATGCACCCACCCACTGACTTAAAAGCACAGTGCAACATACAAATCCATCCAATAAACATTCTAAACAATGGCTACAGTAGTAAGAAGTAATCCAATGGAAAGAGTAAGCCAGGAAAGACTTCCTGGAGGAAACGATTTTGAACTACGTGCGGAAAATAAGTTGAGTGAAATTATTGTCCTGTGCTGAGACTTACTCCAGAATTATGAACAAGGTAAAATCCAACCAAGAGGCTGCCCAGCCCCAATGGGAGAGAGACCGCTAATAGAATTGAGAGTCTCTGTCTGTTCTCTCACTTCATTCTGAGCTACAACTGGCAGAGGAGTTAGTTTCTCCTGCAATTACAGACCTTAGAAGAATTCAGAGAATAACCCTGTGAAATCCTGTAGGAAGACACAGTTAAAGTCCCCATATGGTTTTCACAAAATCTTGTCTCTGTTAAGACCAAACACCAAAGAGCTGGTCAAATATCTTCCTGAAGATGGGGCCTCCTCCAGCCATATCAGCTGGGTTTCCTCGATCCCCAAAACAAGAAGAAAAAAAAGGCTCTCAGAGTACGTACCATGCACCCCTGGCTCCAGGGGGAGACTTGGGTTGGAGAGGCCAGCCCGGCGCCTTGGCTAACGTTTGGTGCCACAGCTAAGTGCAGCCTCCAGCTTAGCGGCCTCTCCCCTTTATCTCGCCCCCACCATTCCTTTCACTTTGACATAATGAAAGTGCAACTTGCACACTGTCTCGAGATTGCATATGATAATTGGAAACATGTGTCTGAGCTGGCATCCCTTCAAAGGGCTTTGGAACTCTGACTTGGGCTGTCTTCTGATTGCAATAGCAATCCCCCAAACTGGCTCTCCAGTCTTCACATTCCTTCAGCTGCACCTTAGTGTTAACTCTTGCCAGGAGAAGGCTGTTGCAAGCAGAGCTCATTCCTGAGGGTCTGCAGAGGCTGGCAATAACGGTTTCCCGAGTGCACAGCAAGGCTCTGGGCTTGGCATCTGGGCACTGACTTTTCAGACAATAACAGCAAGAAACAGCAGGTCCATTTTCCTTTTTGCAGAAATGGCACATTGACGAGTTGACACCCAGGCAGAGGCCTGGGTCTTTTGGGGCATTGCTTGGACTCTCAAGGGTTGTGATGCTGGACCCTATCTAATCCAGCAGGGTGCTTTTTTCCTGAAGAAAATATCAAAATGTCATTATGTCACCAGGAGACTCCTGAGGAAAGTACAGAATCAATGGTGACTCCACTACAATCACCCCAACCTGTGTGATTGACAGGTTAGGCCAAGGGGACCTTATTCAGTTCAGCAGACACTGACAGCACATCTGTGATGGGTAAGGTGCCATGCTAGGCCCAGAGTAGACACAGGAGTAAGATGGGGCCCCTGTCCTCCAGGCTCTTACATCCCAGATGGAGACTGAATAGAGGATTGGGTGTTACTTTCAACTTTCAGTCTGGATATACCCATAGACCACATACCCACAGCACATAGAGGCAGCCCCAACACCCTCTGGTGTAGGCAGCAATCACCCGGCCCACCCCCACACACACCTTGGCCTCCACCTGCTTATCGATGACCTGCTCCCACTCCTGTCTCAAACCTACCAAATTCCAAACTCTCAGCTGGCCCTGCACCCCTAACCGTAATCCTGCCCTGGGATCTCTATGGAAGTGTTTCTCAAACTTTCAGGTTCACGTGAATCAGGTCTGATTCAGTAGGTGATGGATGGGGGACTAAGATCCTGCATGTCTAACAAACCCCTAGATGACGTACATAGTGCTGCTCCAGGGACTGCGCTTTGAACAGCGAGGTCCTACACCACACGTGGCTCCCCAATAGTCTCGACCTGTTCTTGCTTAGGAACTCTGACAAGGCTCATTTCTTTGGTTCTCAGGCCAACTGGCCTTGGACAGAGCGCTCCTGGCTTGAGCTCCACTAGTGGGATTCCACCCTCTGCCTTTGGTAAGGAGAAGTCAGAAAGAGGCCCGTCTGACTAACATCATACTGGGGAAAATGTGGTGCGGATGACAACCAAGTCTCAAGAAGGTAGGAACCTATCCCAGAAGGAAGCTGGAGGTGGAGACATGGGTAGGAAGGAGAGGGTGTATGTCAGACCTTGAAGGTATATTTGACAAGAGGCAGAAAGAGCAAGGCACCTGCTACACAGCACCAGCCTTGGTGCTATTTGTAGAAAAAAGACTTGGTGGCAAGCAAAGCACAGCACTGGAGGCCTGAGGTGGAGGTTTTCCCTCTTGAAATAAATCTGAGCAAGCATTCTCTCTACTCTTATCCTCAGTTTCTTCTTCTTCTTGATAGCAAAAGAGAGAGTCCTCCTCCTCAGTGTCAGACATCTTGGACGGTCCTAAAGCTTCCCAGAGGGGCTGTTTTTACTGCACCCAGGAGAGTTTACATAACACTTAATCAGCAATGGTTGTAAAAATGAAAAATGTCACAGTTCAATGTGTGAAACAAGTAGCTCCCATCAGTTTCAGAGTTTGTCTTCTTTCAGCTTTAAGTAGATGAATTCCGTAGTCAAACCATGTCAGGAGTCATTTGAAGCATTTGAAAACCCCAAACCAGGCCTCCTGATGGCCATATGTGGAGTTTCCACCTCAGGCTCTTACTCTCAAAGGGCAATATACAGTTTATTTACAGTTTGTCGTATTTGAAGAATGTCCTTTAAAAATAACAACCAGTTCTATTCCTTCTTTCTTAAGTTGGCTCCTTTCTCAGCCTATAACAGTTGTTGCTGTAATCACAATCTCTCTTTTATCCATTAAATAAAAATATCACTATTTTGAGCAAAAGATCATGAACACAATAAAAATGAGGCTTATGATTGTCACAAGAGAAGCTTAGCTGGAAAAAAATTTTGCAAAGAATTCAAACCACCAAAAGTTTATCAGAACAGATGGCCAACAAGTTCTCTGAATTAATAGTTGCTCTAAGCAATAAAATCAAAGTAAATGTTGTCTGTGTATACCAGAAATCGCATATTCAGATCACCCAGTGAAGCTCTCTGGTTTACATTTAGGTATCTGGTGCCACAGATATGCAGCCTTAGGTGGTAAATATAAGTTTATCTCTGGAAAATATGTTGTTTCAGAGACTGAAGTTTTTTTTTTTGTTTTTTGTTTTTTGTTTTTTACTTTTATTTTACAACATGATTCTACACAGAGCAAGAGCCAGAAGACCAAAATCTGGGTGAAACTCCCCCTAAATCAGTCTTGCTCAGTTTTTCCAGCAGCCTCTGGATTCAGCACAGGCAGGGATTCCAGCTGGGAAAGCTATCAGTTTGCTGCTAATTTTCTTCTTCTGTGCTTACCTTTCACTTGGGTCATTTTCCTGATTTTTCTACACATGTTCCAGGAAGCCTTCCCTCGGCCTCCTGTCAGACAAGACTTCTTCCCCATTGAGCAATCACACAGGATAAGATTCATGGCTGGGGAAAGTGATGATAGGACTGAGGTCTATGAGCAAGAGGGCCCAACATACATCAAAGGGCTTGGATGACTCGTGGTAACAAAAAGCAAAACTCTATTCATTGAGAGATTTATTCTACATAGACTTTAATCATGGCTTTATTCACTGTGGTTTGTGTGTATTTGGTGAGTCACAGAGGTTTTTAAGAGAAAGAGGCTTTTCAATATTTTTCTTCATTATGAAAGCTTTGTCTTATGTAAAGCAATAAAAACACAATTAAAATGGAATATCCAGATTCCAGTGGAATGAGGGGAGAGTGTCAGAAAAAGAAGGTGATATTTAAATTGGAATCCTGGCTGTGCCACTGAGGAAGACAGGCTCAACCCATTGACATATGCAGACCATCTGGAGCACGGGGTAAATCTCAGTGCTATTTTCTTTTAACTGCAGAGTTCAGGTGGCAAGTAGTGGCAGGTTCAGGAAAACACAGTGAGCACTACTGCCCTCAACACACCCACACAAGCTATGTATTTATTTCTGCCCCTTATTGGCTGAGGGTAAAAAAATAAAAATAAAAAAATCCTATTCCATCTACTCCATTAGGCCATATTGGCCCAAACTACAAATTCACCTGTTTGTTGTTTTTTGAATTTTTATGAATTTATATTTTGGTGGGGGAGAGGTAAGTATGGCAGAGAGGTTAGGAGACTAAGGTACAAGAGCAGAATTCCTTGGTTCAAATCCTAGCTCCCCTAATTAATAACTATGTGGCCCAGAGCAAGTTACCTAAGCTGTGTTTCTTTATCTGTAAAATGGAGATGACCTTTTGCCTCAGGGTTTAATATCATATCTGTAAAGTGCCCAGAGTATTGTTAGTTGACAACATTACCTTTCTCTCACACAGAAGTGAACTCCATGGCTTCATTCCATTAAGGAAATCAAGAAGGACTAGAGAAAGGAAAGGCAACCTATGCATCATAAATTCCAACTCTGAGAAGGAGAGGTAGAAAAGGAGACCAGAAAGCAAAGTGCTAAGAGAGGAGACCATCTGGCTCACTGTTGGACAGCCTGGATGCTACAGTGAGTTTTTCCTCATGCTGAACTAAACATCTTTCCTCAACATTTCCACCTTTCACCCAAAGTGCTGTTTCTGGAACAATACATGGAGTTGGCCCATGCCCTTTTCTATGTGACAAATCTTTGAAAATAGCTATTGTGTCCCCACCTAAGTGTTTTATTTCCCAGGCTAAGCATTCCTGAGTCCTTCGATTATCCCTGGATGATGGAGTTTCCAGGCCCCTTCCCATCATGGCCAGCCTTCTCTGGACACACTCTAATTTCTCCATGTTCCTCTTAAAATGTGGTGTCCAGAAGGAAACACGATACTCTAGATGTGGACTGACCAAACACTAATTACAATGGGACTATTAACTCCTTTGATCCACAGAGTATATTTCTATTAATGGAGGCTAAAATTACACAAACTTTTTTGGTGGCCACATCACACTACGTTTTCATTTTGAGTTGATGGTAAATTATAGCCCCTTGGTTTTTTGTTTTGTTGCGTTGTGTTTATTTTTTACTACTGTATTATTTAACCAGGACTCTTCTATCTTGCATCTTGCCAGTAATTATTTAGCTTAAACACAGAAATCTGGCTGACTAAATGGTGAGAGTTAAGGTGTTTGTGGGCAGGAACTATGTCTAGCTCATCATGGCATTCCCAAGTCTAGCACATTGCCTGGCTTATCCATGTGGTAGCACTATCTTCTACCTCTTGCCTCCCATCATGATGACAGCTTAAGGAATAAAGGCACAAAGAATGTACCAGGCAGAAGCTCAATCTTTACTCCTAATTCTAGCATTAGCCCCAAATCCCTATGACATCTCCCACCCTGGCAACTCAGAGTAGAGCATTTTTGTAGGACTTTTATGCCCTTATTTGAATAAGCCTATATGATGGCAAACTCAACAGGGAAGGAAGAGGAAAGGAAAAAAGCAAATCTAAAACAGGGGATGAATAAAATACTGTTTGCTCAGTCCAGCTCCATGTCTATTTGCCTGTCCTTCCCACCAAGAACTCTACCACTTCAATTTGGGGCATTTTGTGAGGAGGGGGGAATCCTTGAGCTCCCCCTAGAGGTTAGAGTATGGGACTAATAAGAGATGTTCAGTACTTAAATGATCACTGATGTTGCATTATTTCTGAATCTCAATCCAGTATTCCAACATATTGATCAATCCTCTCAACTATCAGATAATTGTGAGTTTAAGAAGGATTGGGCCAACCTGGGGCTTCTAAATGAAATACTATTGCATGAGACCTTGGTCCAAGGAAGTCACTGCAAACTCATTTTGCCTGAACATGAACTTCCTTACCTTGTTTGCTTGCTCCTGTCAGCTTTGGACCCCAGGCAGCCTCCCACACACTTCCAGGCTTTGCATTTGCTTAACTTGGACTTCAGATTTATTATTCATTCACTTGGTCATCCAAGTCAAGGGCTGCATAGGCTCTGGGAATACACTAGAGAGAAAAATCAGACATGGGAATTATAATCTAGTGAAAGAGGAAAATAACCCACAAATAAGAGAAGTTGTAGCCAAAAGAAGCACACAGGGTCCTGAGCACCACGACAGGGGGCTCTGACCTTATTGAGGAGGAGAAAGTGATGTGTGAGATGAGAAATGAACACGATCAGCTAGTTAAGGATGGGACTGAAGTGAAGGAATTTCCAAGTAGAAGAAATGGCCTTCTGCAAAGAAACCTGGTACATAAGGGAGCCCAGGAAGTACCAGAAGCTGAAAAGAGGCCAGCATGGCTAGAACAGAATGCAGAGAGGAAGCTCACAGAGAGATAAGGCTACAGAAGAGAGCTGCTTGGCTTGTCACCAAGACCTGCCTCCAGATTAACTCTGACCCATGACCCATGCCTTTTGAGCATGACTGTCACATAACTCTTTTTTTTCCTTTGAGACAAAGTCTTGCTCTGTCACTGAGGCTGGATTGCAGTGGTGTGATCTCGGATCACTGCAACCTCCGCCTTCCAGGTTCAAGCGATTCTCCTATCTCAGCCTCCTGAGTAGCTGTGATTACAGGCATGCACCACCACACCTGGCTAATTTTTGTATTTTTAGTAGAGGTGGGGTTTCACCATGTTGGCCAGGCTGGTCTTGAACTCCTGGTCTCAAGTGATAGCCTGTCTTGGCCTCCCAAAGTGCTGGGATTACAGGCATGAGCCACCGTACCCAGCCAACTGTCACATAATTCTTAAACTGCCTTTTCCATTCTGTCTGCAAGAATTTCATGAAATACATTGTCAAATACTTCAAGGAAATCAAAATACATTATGTGCACATTATGACCCTGATAGAGCAGTGATTCCATTACAGACCATAGGCATAGTATTTCAAGGATGAGTGAAGATTTTTTGTTTGCTTTTCTTATTTAACAGGGAATGTTTGGACATACTTAAAAGCATAGGAAGAAGTCAAAGAGGGAGAAACAATGGGTGCTAGAGAAGATGGTAGAGTAGGGGAAAAACAGATTCCTTCATGAAGAGACACTAGGTGCCTCCCTAATATCTTCCTGTGAATAGTTTCATTTATGTTTTTAAAATCACATCATTCAGCAATACTTTTTATTTGTGCAATGTTTTTTTCTTGTAGGTGAGAAATATCAGCTGGTGACCATGCAAACTGAAGCCTATTTTTCTCCGTTCCAGAATTATTCAATACCAGCTACTTATCTGTAACCAAGCAGTAGCACCCTCTACTTTTATTGTTCGTTTGTCTAATCACCCATTCTTTCAGCAAATATGTATTAAGTTCTGTCTATGTACTAGACATTGGAGATAAAAAATATTAATGAAACAGAGTATTTGCCCTCAGAAGGCTCACCAACAAGTGACAAAACAGTAGGTGCCCAGGACACAATTAATGAGTGATGACTAGACGCAAATGTAAACAAATGGTAACATGAGGTGAGAGAAAGCTCTTAATTCTGTGTATGGAGGAGAGGAAGGCCTTTTGTGTAGGGGTATTTGAGCTGAGACTTGGAGAATGAGTGGGAGCGTACTACCAGTGCAAGAGGAAGGCCCAGGCAGAGGAGACAACATTTGCAAAGTCCTGGAGACAAAGAAAAATGTGGAGTAGTCAGTAGCTGAAAGAAGGTAGCTTGAATAGAGTCCGAGGTGGCCTTAGGAGTCCAGAGAGAGATGAGGCTGGAAGAACAGGTAGGATTCACTCATGATAGGCATTGAACTCTGTTTTCTACAATTTAGATTTTATTGGCTAGGCAAATGGTGAAGCTCCAGTTTGCATTTTAGAAAGACTATTCAGGCAACCATGTAAAAGATAATTTCTAATCATGAAGACCTGAAGAGAATTTTAACTCAACTTGACATCAATAACTGGTTGGTTCATCTACATTTGGCAGTATACACACAGTGCTACCTTGATTTGTTTGGAAGAATATCTAAACCTTAATTACAATCCAGAGTCTCTGGAAAAGATGGCTGGGGTTAGCTCAGTTTTTTCTTAATTGTGTTCTACAGAATGCTAGTTCTATACAGTGTTAGTAGTTGCTAAGGGGTGTAGGGGTGGAGGAATGTCTGCCAGTTATATTTTAGGAAATTATACTTTAGGTTATTACCCTTAGGGAATAGAGTGGCATTATAGGTAACCTGGAAAAGATAAAGCAGAGAAAGTGCTTCTGTGTTTCTTCAGAAAACATCAAAAAAGACATATTGCAGGAAGCTGTAGACACAAACATAACCTCTTGCTTCTTTAACTGTGATTACTTTCCTTGGACTAGGCTAAAATGGGCTGATATTGATATTCTCTGAGCACACAACTACTCATTGCAGTTCTAACTTCAGCTGGGCAGCAGGGAGAAAATTAACTTATGATTTGAGAATTTGCTGTGCAGTTGACTAACCCTCCCCTAGAGAAAGCACCAGGGTGTGTAGATGGTATCAGCCAGGCTGATCAAGGAGAGGAGAAGATTCAAGGGGTCAGGATAAGTCAGAAAGAGAAGGGACCAGGGAAGAGATGAGTGAAGAGATCCAGGACTTCAGTGTTAAACAATGACCATGGGAGAATGTTTGAGTATCAAGATAGAGATGCTGAATCTGACATTAGACCTGGGCCTGAAAAGATCAGTAGGATATTATGTCCCAATTAATGTAGAGACAGAATAGGAAGCTGGGAACAATATGTGAATGAAACAAGAAGGTCTAGGCTTTTCTCCATGAATGGAGATGGGTAGCTCAGAGCATCTTTTTATGAGGTGCTGTCCATGTGATATGGAAGTGGGGGGCGGTTACTGTGCATTAAAGGCACACCACCTGGGTAGGCAAGCAAGGTCATACCCCTGGACTATAAGTTACTAGGCAGGAATCATTTGATTCATTTTAGTTCCTGCAGCATCCAATACAGAACTTGACACAAGAGTAGGTGCTCAGTTAAGATTTATTGAACAGATGGCTAAATAAATTCTATAATTTAAGCTTTCCTCCGCATCACCAAACTATCCCTACCTCTGTGTTCCAAACGAGATTCTACTTTGGCACAGTGTTTCTTTGGAGAATGACCCTCTTAGCCTTTATCCCAACAGAAAGATAAGAAAACCTATATTCATTAAGATGTAGGCTTCCTATTTCAATAGAGAAATGACACCGGTTGGCAGAGCTATTTCTGGTGGAACACCGAAAGTGGCACAGGGTCTGAATGTTTGTGTCCCCTCAAAATTTATATGTTGAAATCTAAACTCCCAAGGTGATGCTATTAGGTGGTAGGGCCTCTAGAAGATGATCAGGTAATAAGGACAGAGCCCACGTGAGTGGAACTAGTGCCCTTATATAAAAAGCCAGAGAGAGCTGCCTTGCCCTTTCCACCCTGTGAGGGAACTGCAGGAAGGCACCATCTATAAGGAAGCAGGCCCTCACCAGACACTGAATTTGCCAGAACCTTGATGCTGGGCTTCTCAGCCTCCTCAACTGTGAGAAATAAATTTCTGTTGTTTATTAGACATGTGGTTTAAGGTATTTTTGTTAAAGCAAGCCAGGTAGACTAAGAGTCTTGCTAACCACTCCTCTCCCTCTTTTTACTTCATTCCAACACTAGGCTGGACTTCCAGGAAGCTAAGCAAGCAGGAAACATGGGCCCAGAAGACAGCTTACTGAAGAGGGACCATGGAAAAGTTTAGCAATGCTACCAACTTAGAATTATTGATCAATAATTTTGTTAGACAAGACGAAACCATAGAAATAGGTAATATTGTGTTATTTTGTTAATTTTTGCTTTTTCCTAGCTTCTATAATCATGGAAGAACTTGAGCATGATTGTCTTTTCACATAAAGGGGGGAAAGGGGGGTGTATGTCTTGAATGATGTGTGGTTCACATTGTGGCCGATCCCTACACCAAGTGCCCAGGAGTGGAGTCATATAACTCACAGGCAAAATGCCAGTGGGTCGAGAGTATAAGAAATCTAACAGTGCCCATTTCCTACAGAGCAGCAAATGGCATTTCAGAGCAATTTTCATGGTGTCATCTTTTCCAAGGTTTATGTACACAGGGAAGATGGAGGGAACTTCTAGATATATTTGCAGGCATATGAAAAAGACAGAAACAAGGGTGGCTGGCACTCAAAGCAAAAGCAAGTTGATTCTGTTGTGTAACAATGTGAAACTACTTAATGTGAATGCACTTAATGCCCTAAAATGTGCACTTAACAATGGTTAAACAGGTGATTAAAATGGTAAATTTTATCTCATATATATTTTACAATAATAATTTATTTAATGAGCAAATAGAATGAGGGGATCAACTCGATTCTTTATAACCTGCACAGAGGGAAGGGAGCAATGGTGCAGTTGGTTCAAAAACATGTTTATTTGGTTTTGGATGGCAACATAGGAGCCCATGTGTGTGGCTGGTAATGTTCCTAGGTATGTTCACCTTTCTCTTGGGCACACGCTATCTGATAACAAAAGAAGAGAGTGCTTCAGTGGACTGAGTAGCATGAAAGGAGGCGCAAAAGCTACTCCTGGCCATGCGTGATCTGCAGAGTGACGGGCAGTAACTGTACCAACACTGGGCAGAAAGGCCCAGCTATCTATGCACTGCCCACACAGCTGATACTCCCCTGGCCCATAGCATGTTTGTGGGGTCCGGCCAGGGCTATCCTAGAACACAGTAATAGGCAGAGACTTCCACATGCTCATACCCAAGGTCTTGTCCTCAGAAGCTCTGTCAGTCTCTGCCTCAGAAAGGCTGGCCGAGGAATGTTCAATTCAGGGGTACTCCCTATCCTGCTCAAAGACAAAACGGTGACAAAAGTGACAACACTTTATGTCTGCAGAGTAATTTATAAGAATAGCCTTGCAAAATTCTCCAGCTTCAGTTGGTGTTTGTCACTTGCTGCCTGATGTCTTCAGTCCAACATTAGTGATAGAAAAATATCAGGTCTGGCCAGGAAAAGGGCTTTTTAGCCTCTCTCTTCTTCTTAAAGGGGGCCTCTCTTCCAACTTAAGAAACATTAGTCAAGCATTGACTGTGTATTCTGTGCTAGATCCTGGGACACACAGAGAAATTAGATAAGACCCCGAGGTCGAGGCATTGCCATCCCTCAAACCTCAAGCCTCATGCCTCCTGGTTGTAACCTTCCCTAGGGGCCCAAGAGATGATTGGTTCCCAGTCAGTCCCTTGACAAGTATTCACCCTTTGCCTCCTCAGGAAATCTCATTCCATTGCACTCTGTCCCTCTAGCCTTAGCAGAAACTAACACATCTTGAGGACACTGCTCCCCTGTCTTAGTCAGTTTGGGTTGCTATAACAAAAATACCATAAACTAAGTAATTCATCAGCGACAGAAATTTGTTGCTAACAGTTCAGGAGCCTGGGAAATCCAAGATCAAGGTGCCAGCAGATTCGCTTTCTGGTGAGGGCTTGCTCTCTGCTTCATAAATGACACCTTCTCTTGGTGTTTTCACATGACAAAGGGTCAAACGAGTGCCCTCAGGCCTCTTTTTCAAGGGCATTGTCCCATTTATGAGGGCACCACCCTCATGACTGAATCACCTCCTAATTACCTCACCTTTTAATATCAGCACATTGGGGATTAGGTTTCAACATGTGAATTTTGAAGCGATATAAACATTTACCATAGCATCCCCCTACCACTCTCTCCATGGTTTCTCATTCTCCCATTCCTCATTTACCTCAAGCTAAGGTGGGGGTAGAGAGGGAGTAGCACTGGGCACCCATTGCTGCTTCCAGGCCATCACTCCTCCTGCCTCCTGTGAGAGTCTCTTCTCCTTTATGACTTTACCATGATGACTCCAAGTGAGGACTCCTCCTCATGCCACCAACTGTGAACCTCCAAGGTACTGAAGAGAACTTCAGTAACATTAAAAAAAAAATCTCACTATCATCAAGTCCTGTGAGTTTAAGCTCTTAGTTTTCTCAGATCTGATCCCTCTGTCTTTGCAACCACTGCCCTGTTCAGGCCCTCGTTATCTCTTGCCTGGAACACTGCTCTAGTTTCCTTACTACTGTATCTGTAGCCAGTCTTGTTGCCCTCGTATCCACCTCCTCTTCCTTTTTAAAACAGAAATATAACTGTCATACTTCCCAACTGATTGTGACTTCATGGTGATACTAACATGTATTAAGGGCTGACATTGTGTGAGACACTGGGCTAAGTGTTTGATATGTTACTATGATTGACCCATTTTACAGAAGAAGAAACCACAGATGAGAAATAGTCAAGATCACACAACAATAAACGTCTCAGATGAAATTCGCAGACATAACTCTCCAACTCTAGAGCCTAAGCACTCAACTATCGTATGTCATTAATGCCTCTGCTCCCTCCAAGCACAAAGGAGGATTTAAGAAAGCCACTGCCTGGCCTCCTTAATGTTAGAAGCAGCCATGTTAGCTGCTTTGGTCAATGAGAAGTGAGTGGAAGTGATGTGGATCATGTCCCAGTGGAAGCATTTCAGCCTGTGTGTAATTCTCCGTGCCCTCCTTCTCTGCTGTGGTGAACCCCAAAACTTTGTGTTGAGATGATGAAATCATACAATGATAGAGCCCTTTTCTGCCTGGATCCTGAGAGACCAGTATGTGTTGAATTTTCCATTAAGCCACAGGGTTAAAGCATAAACTAGAAATAAGCCTTCATTTGGTAAACTTTCAGCAATTGAGATGTCGTTATGCTATAGAGAAAAAAATATATACTCACAGTGTAACTTAGCCTATCTAAATGAATACAAATATACCACCTCACTTCGGTTCTAATAACCAGGCTCTTGTTGCAAACTCCTTCTCATACTTCAGTTTTTAAGTAATTGCACTTACTAGCTCTGCAAATTCAAATAAGTCACTTACTTCTCTCGATCTTAGTTTCTTCCTCTATGAGGAAGTCGAAGGTTGAATTAAATTTTAGGTAACAAACACCAACAGAGAGTTGGTAGGTACCAGGCACCATGCTGGATGCTAGTTGATACCAAACCCCCCTCCTGTATCTGATAGAGAGCATGAATCTGTCCTGACCAGCTGCCTATGACTGTCCTCCAGAGACGGTCTGCTGGAAACAAACCTGGAGCAAGCCCTGGCTCTGCTACTATGCATGATATCTTGGGCAAGTTATTACTTAATCTATCTGTGTCCATTACCTTATTTAGTAAAACAAGCATATTTATTGCTACCTACCAGGTCTGTTGGGAGTACTAAATAAAATAAAGCGTGTGTGTATAACTCCATAGTTAAGTCTATCGGTGATAGAAGCAGACAGATCTGCTTCTAGTTATAGCAGTCACCTCTTACTTGCTGCGAGACCTTAACCATGTTACTCAGGCACTTTGTACCTCAGTTTCCCCATCTATGAGGAGAGAATAATAAGGGGTACCTCTGCCTCATTGGGTTTTAGTGAGAAATATTGAGCTCTTGACACATAGTGGCACTCAAGAAAAGTTCATTGTTCCTAAGAAAGCTGCTTTACACATGCTAGGTTGCTACATATCTATGTATCGAAACTCACCACAATTATTTATTGAATAAGTATTTCTCTACCTTAAAGATAGGGGCTGAGTCTTGTTCCTGTTCACCTCTACAGTGCCTGGAAAGTAGACAGACTAAATAATTGTTTCGGGATTGAACCCAAACACATTCATCACATTTTCTATTCTCCTCTTTCTATCATCCTGAAGAAAACTCAATCTCTTGGCCTTAGAAAGTCACAGGCTCATCTGGGGGACTGTTCAGTTGTCAAAGAAATCATTCTTCAAAATGAAAGGGGAAGGAGTGAAAGGGGAGGGAGCAAAAGAGTGACGAGCTCCCCAAATTGCCTAAGTCTCTGGGTTGTGTTTTTCTGTAGTCTGAGAGGTTTTGTTTTTGATTTAAAGAAACAAAACAGTTTCCAAGAAAAACTCATTTTGTTATGATTCAAAACCATTTAATTTGTGATATTATTTCCTCCGCTGAGCTTTCAACTTTCTACATCCCTCTGGGGCTGAATAGCTCAGGCGCTGAGCGTGCTCTTGCGTATGTAACTTGGTGCTCCACTGCAGACCACCACTGGCTGCAGAGCCCTGAGACGCAGTTCATGGAAATAAATCACAGTCCCTACAGGCTTTATCCAGATGGACGTCAACAGCATCCTTGCAAGTGGACCCTCCCACGCCTCTTAATCATGGGTTTTTCCCTGGGGAAAGTGTAGTGTCGTCTGTGACTAGAGCCAGTACAGCCAAGCTCAGGGCTGTCAGATGAGTGTCTCTGCATGGTTTTGTGGCAACAGTTGGGATTGCCTTATAACATCTGAGGGAAAAATCCATGGAATCCCACATAGAGTGTCTTTGTCCTCACAATTCACAACCATAGAGAGCACCTGCCTTTCCTCAAAGCCCCTCCACGCTTCGAGGTGGCCAAAAGAAAGCTCTTCCTTCACCCACTGGCCATGTCCCCATGTCTGAAAACTGTTCCACAAGTGGCCTGGTGCCTTTGAGGCTTTTCTTGAATGGAGGGAATATTCCACCTGGATCATGGAATTCACGAATGTAAATTCTCTCAGGCAGGAGGAAAGCACCCCCTTCTCCACACCAGCACAGCGAGGAGCAGGGCTCAGGCACCAGCATTTTCCTTACTACTTGAGAGCCTCTTCAGACCAAGGGGAGGATGCTACATTAAAATCATTTTTTAAAATCTACATAAGGCTGAAATTTCTAGAATAATTTTCTAAAAAATGGTCAATTTGACTTGGAATGCAATGAAATTGTCATTGGAATTTTTTGAACACCAGGCAGAAAATATATAGAAAAGATTCAGACAAACAAATATTGACATTAGTTGGTTAGTTATCCCTTTCAATCCCAAGATGCTATAATTGAAGGAAAATATTTTCGCTTAGCAACAAACACTAAAATCCTGGTATGTGCACTGTACTCCTTGAGGTACCATGAGACATGAGGGGATGAGAAGACACAGTCCTTGTACTTAGCCTTACTCAGAAGGTAAGATATCTGTATCAGGCAGGATCACTTAGTTGATGCTAATTTCAGAAACTTGAAACTGTAAATGCCTAAATTCCCATGTATGTGAGGTGTCTTTCGTAAGTCACGGAGGAGGCAGGGCTCTGCGCCACATCCTCCTCGTTCAGGGACCCAGGCTAACAGATGCTTAGCTTTGGGGAATGCTCCAGGTTACTGCAACAACTGGACAACAATATAGGGCAGTATGTAATCAAGGACTCAGTGAAGAAAGTGCCACATTACAGTTTGATGAATGAATGCATGAATGAATGAATGGGAAATCCAAGTGAGTTGAATAATCAAAAGGAAGATTTAGATGTGGTTACACCATTGAAAGGGGAAAATTAAGTAAATGGGAGGCACAGAAAGGAAAATAGCATCTCCAGAAGAAGTGAAAATGACAGAGGAAAGTGGGAAGAAAACTAAAATTTATATATCACCTATTATGCTCCAAGTGCTTTGTAGAAAAGTTCACATTTTATGATCCTCATTTTACAGATGACATTGGGTGTCAGAGAAATCATGAAGCTTATTCTCCTATACACATACTTCTAATAAATACAGAGCTGGCTTTCAAATATAAGTATCCTTGGCTCCAAAGGGTATGAAATTTTCTACACCACAAGAATGTAATAAGCATTATATTTTTCCAGGACCATGAGGAGACTGGATTGTCTAAAGCACCCCTAGGGAACAGTGAAAGATAAAGTTAGAGAATTTTGGCTGTGGGCTGAGTTTGGAACTGATCCATAATCAATGAGGCATCACTGACATTCAATTTGTGTATATATTACATGAACCTCTTACAGTAACACTGGAGGAGTTATCAGTATTAATAAGGTATTTCCTCCCTTCTAGGAGCATACAAAGCCTTAGGAAATAAGAGTTACCCTGTAATACACGCAGAATCTGCTGCTTCATAGCACAAACAGAAGTACAAAGGGTAAAGATGAGAAACACTCTACATACAGGTGTAGGTGGCAAGGGAAGAAAAGGAGACAGGTGGCCCTGATGTTCCCAGGAAGCTAAGGAGAATGGCCAAACCCTTAAGTGTAACTATGCCTTCCCCAAGCCACACTGGCCACAGTAGCACCCAATACAGGAATAACATTTCCCACCAGATATTCTCTACGATTTATTGCATCACTGGGGGTATTTCACCCGTGCTCTGAAACCGAGCCTTGTTGTCTACCACAGAAATGGCCCATCATCTTTTTCCTTGCATTCGCTCCTTCCTCCCTGCATTTTCTCCTTCCTCTAGCTGAATTACAGTGTTGGCTGACCTGGCTTATTAACAATAATAATGATAATAGTAACTTCTGACAATTACAAAAGACCAATGATATGGATCAGATACATTGTTTCATTTACACCTTGCAACACAAGATGAAGAACCTGAGACTCAAAAAGACATGCATCTTATCCAAGATCACACAGCTAGTAAACGTCAGAGCCAAGATTCAAACCCGGATCTTTCATTCTGCACAGTACTGCCTGGAGACTAAGGCCTATTTCTTACAGCAAACAGAGCACAATGCCTGGCACAGAGAAAGTAAAACAACCAATGTTTATTGAAAGGGTTAAAGGAATAAAAAATCAGACATTTGAAATCACATTCCTGTAGTGACAAATATATTTTTAAGAGTGAGGAATGCATGTTAATGAATTAGGAGATCTGAATTGGTGAGACAGGGGTGTAAGAAATGTTGATAGTAGGCACTGGAGGCCAGAAAGTGGAGGTGGGATTTGCTGGCATCTCTAGCAGGCAGCACAGTAATTCTTTGAACAGTGGGGCAGGACCTTCACTCCAGTTGTGTGTAAGAAGGCGAGAGGTGGATGGGGGCAGGAGATATGGTGGTAAAATGAGAACCTGGACTAGGGTGGAGACAGTGGGAAGAAAAGTATCAGATACTGCAGTGCAAATCAGTGGGATCTGGTGGAAGATTAGACATAGGTGATGAAGGAGGAGGAGTAAAGGATGACTCCAAGTTTTCTAGGTGGTGTAAATTTAGCAAGAAATTTCTTGCCATTGCAATATTGCATGGGGCATATTTTATAATAATACTGTGGTTTTTTTTTTTTTTTTTGAGACAGAGTCTCGTACTGTCACCCGGGCTGGAGTGCAGTGGCACGTTCTCAGCTCACTGAAACCTCCACCTCCCAGGTTAAAGCAATTCACCCACCTCAGCCTCCCGGGTAGCTGGGATTACAGTCGCCCACCACCAGGCCTGGCTAATTTTTTGTATTTTTAGTAGAGATGGGGTTTCGCCATGTTGGCCAGGCTGCTCTCGATCTCCTGACCTCATGATTCACCAGCCTCAGCCTCCCAAAGTGCTGGGATTACAGGTGTGAGCCACCACACCTGGCCAATACTGTGTAATGTTATAGATCTTTACCATTTCTAAAGAACCCATGCACCCATTACATTACCTCAATCTATTTTACAAATGAAACAAGTAAGACTCAAAGGGTCTCAAATAGGAATTACCCACCCCAAAGCCCCCCTTTCACTTTGGTAACCAATTCTTTTTGAACAGACAAACAGCTAGGAACAAAGATATCCATGTAGCAGATATAACTCATTAAAGGACTTAAAGGAACTTAGTTCTGGAACTTAAAGAAAAAAAGTTCTGGAAGAAGGAACCAGAACTATATGTTCCCTGTTGAAGACTGAATGAGAGGTCAATGCACACTCAGCATTCAGTTGGATGTTTTCCTGTAGAATAAAGACTGACTTGTAGACTCTAGGAGAAGGACGTGTGTCCAGCCTGAAACCAGGCACTATGGTCTCAACACCTCTGAAGAAATGAAAGTCATGAGAAAGAAATCCTGACAGGAGGGGAAACGGCTGCATAATGTTGCAATCTTTAACAAAATAAAATAATCAAATGTTGTTGGTTAGCCAAACCCAACATCCTTTCTGCAAACCCTGTCTTTCAAGCAAGGGACACAGCAGGAAGCCTTCAGGATTAAGAGGGTGAATCTTAAGTCCAGCTTCTACGTGGAGAGCACTGCTGTTCATGAGGTTCATGAAGGTTGGACAAATAATGACATAATCCCTTCAGATGGATAATAACTAGCAGAAAAAGAAGAGACATATTCTTCACGCTCCCAACCCTAAATGAAACACAGTGTTTATCAATTCCTGTCAATGTCTTTTTAATTCTTTTTTCTTCATTTTTTGTTTAATCACTGTGTATGAGAAGTTAAAAAATAAAGACACTTTTAAGGTTTAATTCAGAACACTTGGTATGCAAAGCAGCCCCAGAGAATTCATTCTGACCTGTGGCTGGAAAACAGGGTGCCTTGGTTAATTCTTTGTAACTAACATACTGAAAATTTTGTTCACAAGTCTGTCTTTTCTGCAGGAATAAGATCTCTCTTGCAATCAGTTACCACACACTTAGCAGATATTAGCCCATAAAAGATAAAAACTCAAAAAATGAATGTGGAATGACAATATATTTTAACTCATCTGTGGAACATTAATTAACCAGGATTACTGTATGCAGTTATCTGAACCGTTCTTTCTGTTCCTGCTCAAAGCCAAGTGGAAGATACACACATTCTATGCCAGCCAGTTCCTACCAAGTTCCTCCTCAATACTCTCTTCTAAGTTGCCTCCCGAAGAACAGGGGCCAACTAGAGCATCACGCTCGCTAGGGCATTGAGATTTACGTAACAGACTTTGCAACTACCCCTCTCTGTAAGTGTGTTCCCCAAGAAGCTGCCATAATATGAGGTTTTCTACACACACAAAAAGCATTGTGGCGCGGGAGGTGGTGAGTATGGCCTGTCTCCATCCTTGCCATGGCCAGACCTGTTAATTGCCTTACAATTATCCTCAAGTCATTTCATATGGGTCAAATTATTTCCCACTCTAGATGTTAAGCTTCCTGAAGATGTGGGCCTTGTTTTTCTGTTGAAATGTATTATCAGGACCAGGAACACAGAAGCCTTAATTAAATATATGCTAAAATAAGAGAAATAGGGGCAGAGAAAAGGCCCACATGGGTGGAAACAAAGAGTTGGGTCGGGGGTGGGTATTCTCCTTTGTGGTAGAATCAGTTGTCTGTGGCCCTGGATTTCAATAGCACAGGAGTTCTGGTCATTTCCATGAAGAAGTTAGGGTCAGACCATGGAATTAAAACTGTTCTTTACATAAGCACAAAAATCTTTTAAAATATTTAATTGAAATGGATTGCCACATTTGTTGAAAACGGTTCTTCACTTTAAAAAAGCAGCTTCAGACAGCCTGTTTAGATTTCCAAAACATCTGTGCCTATAATGCTTGGAAACTCACACTCCAGTGCATAGAAGCTGTCTCCAATAGGTCTGTTGCCAAGCTGCTTAGAAAATAACTAAAGAAGAAGAATCAAACAAACTCTCCAAGTAAGTGTTCCCTTTCTACAGCATGCACACTTGCTTGGTTTTGCTTTTATTTTATTTTCTCACAAAATGGCTTTGTTTGCAAGGCCTTCTTCATGCTGTAAAAAGAGATGGGCTAGAGGTGAGTGGACTGTGGTGTGACAATGGGTGGCAGCCTCTCTCACTGCCCCCTTTCCAGTAATCAGTAGACCAACTCCCAAATGCTCCTGTGCATTTTCCCCCAGACATAACATAAACTCATGAGAATTTTTCTTCAAAGAAAATTCTCCCAAACCTACCAGACCCACAGAATGGCAAATCTCAGAGTCAGCAGGGGCCTTAGAGGGCATATACAAAGACACCCCTCCCCATGCAGGGATTTTCTTGTCACCAGGCTGGCCTGGCTAGGGGCATCTCACCTCTGTGGGGGGCCCTCCAATAACAGGAGCTCACCACTTCCCGGGAAGTCCAGGTCTCTTATTCATGGTCACTTCTCTACATTCACCCAAATTGCTTCCCTGTAACTCAAATCATCAGACCTGCTCTACCCTGTGAAGCTTCAAAGGATAAATCAAATAAATCCCTCTTTTCCATGGCAGACATTCAAATATGTTAAAAGAATTGTCAGGCCTCCTTGGAGTCTTCCCTTCTTGGGGCTAAATAGTCCCCATTTTCTGATACCAGCCTGCACGTGATGGGATTGTGGGGCCATTCCCTAGTCATTCACGCAGCCCCACCTGATATGCTCCCACTTGAAGATAGCTTGCAGACAGGCAGGACACTCCCTCAAAGGAATGAAATCCTCTGAATGTGGTCTGCTGAGTACAGAAAACACTCAAACCATCACTTCCCTTAACCTTTGTTCTTTAGAAAACCAGAAAATTATAGCATTCTGTGGTTTACCTGTGGGTTTCCCTCATGTCCCCCTCCAGGTATTAACTGCTTTTAACTCACCTTCACCCTATCCTGGACTTTGTAGATTTGTTGAGGCATAGAGCTGACCTTGAAATTTTTTTAGAGCTTTACCTCTGAAATGTTTATCTTCACAATTTAAATGCTTCATTTAGCCTGTTGAAATCTTTTTGTACCTTGACTTTGTCATCTAATATGTCATCCATCCCTCCCATCTTTGGGAAGAAAGTGGCTTGTGTGTCTTAATCCAAGCCCAAGATTTAAAAAAAAAAAAAAAAGTGTGTATTCATTAGGTTCCAGAACAGAATATACAATAATTACCAACATTTATTTTTTTATTGTTTACCATGGGCAAGCACTATTAAATGCTTCTCATGAATTTACACATTTAATCTTCATATCAATACTAACATGTAGGTATCATTAGTATCCCTCATTTATTGATGAGGAAACTGAAGCATGGAGAGGTTAAGCAACTTGCCCACAGTCATCCAGCTAGTAAATGGCAGAGGCAGGATTTGAGGCCAGGCAGTCCAACTTCAGAGCCTTTGGTCTTAGCCACTTTTCTACATTGCCCCTACTTGCAGACATCAAGAGACTTCCCTCCACCTTGACAGCAGCAGTCCAACAATCAATGTTCTTTAGGAATAACTGTGATGACCAGCTAAAAGGCCAATATTTATACTATAATTTAACCTATTTTCTTTCATCCTTCCATAAATATATTATAAGAAACTCTATCACATGCTTTCCTGAAGTCAAAATGTACTGTCTATAGCATTACCTGGATATGCAGGTTCAATCACTTGTCAAAGAAAATGAGTTTAGTTTGGAATGATTTGTTCTTAGAGAACTTGTGCATATGCTGGTACTTGCCTGCTTTCTGGCCCTTTAAGCCTGCCTAGCTTGCCCCACATCACTACCCCCAGCTGTTCCTGGTTATTGCAGAGGGCTATTCTTGCTTATTCTAGTTTAGTCCATTCTTGCTCCAAAACCCTCCACTGTCTAGTCCAATTCCTTGGTGTTCGATTGCCACCTTTGATCCTTTCTTCTCACATGGTGTATCTATATGTTTTTTATTTTATTTTATTTTATTTTAAAGTTCCAGGGCACATCTGCAAGCTTGTTGCATAGGTAAACGTGTGCCATGGTGGTTTGCTGTGCCTACCAACCCATCACCTAGGTATTAAGCCCAGCATACATTATCTTGATGCTCCTCCTCCCTGCTTTCCCCGTAAGTATGTTTTATAAAACATTCTTTCCACCAGATAATAGGTTTTGGGTTTTTTTAAGGAGCATTCTTGGGTTAAATAAAATTAAACTATTTTATTTACTGCAGAGCCTTTCGTATGCTAATGTGCATTGTGAATCTCTGTTTAGAGTGACATTCTAGAAAGAATTTCAAATTAGTTGGCCAGGGAATCTGTGCTGTCTCTCCCTCTCTCTCTCTTACTCTCACTCTCACTCTTTCTCATTCTTTTTCACACACACACACACACACACACACACACACCCTGTGTAGAGATATTAGGAGTATGTTATATAATATGGGTATATTTGGACACCAATAACTACTTCCTTGTCTAAATGCACACAAATCACCTGTTTGTGAATGTGTTCTAGAATTCTGTCAAGGAAACAGAGAAATCTAACCAAGCAGTATTAGAATCTATATTTTCCTATTTTCTGAAAGAACACAATATTTGTCTCCATTTGAGTGGGAATAAACTCCTATGCATCTTTTTAAGTCCTCTAGGTACATTTTTACTAAGCCTGGAAGTTTGAACTGCGAGTGACTAAGTGATCTCTTATTTCTTCTTTCCTAAATCAGGCCTCAATGTCCCCTTAACAGTCTCTATGCTTCCCTTTGTAGATTGATTTTTTTTCTTGCTCTCATTTCATGCGTTGCTCAAACATCATGTTCTCAAGAAATAAAGACTTTGCTGACCACCTTATTTTAATTTTCAACATCCTCCCAATGGGTTCTTCTTGCCTGCTGCACAGATAAAACCAATTTACTGAGATAGCAGTCTTGCAATAGAGAAAGAGTTTAATAAATGCAGAACTAGCCAAGTGATAGAACAGAAGTTTATTCCTGAAATCAGCCTCCCCAAGAACTCAGAGGATAGGGTTTTTATGGATAATCTGGTGGGCAGGGGGCTACAGAATGGGTACTGCTGATTGGTTAGGGATGAAATCATAGGGGTGTGGAAAACGGTCCTTGTGTGCTGAGTCACCCTCTGGGTGGGGGCCATGGGAGCAGTTGAGTCATGAGTCACAGGTCTGGATGAAGTCAGTCAGTTGCCAGAATGTGAAAGTCTGAAAAAACAATCTTAGGTTCTACAACAGTGTTGTTATCTATAGGAGAAATGGGGAAAGTCACAAATCTTGTGACTTCTGGCCGTGAGCAGTAAGGGATTATAGAAAAGCAAGCTGGAGAACAATGGCTGGTTATCGTTTAACTATGCCTACATCTTAGCAGAATTTGGGCCCCTCCCATAATCCTAGTCTTGTCAGCTGTTATTAGTTTTACAGAGGCAGTTTCAGTCTCCAAACAAGGAGGGGTTCGGTTTTAGGGAGGGACTATTATCATCCTTACTTCAAAGTTAAACTCTAAATTCCTTGCACTAAGGCAAGTGAGCATAGTACCAGGGTCTTGAGCAGAACTCAGCAGGATGGAGCGAGAAGTTGCTTGGCTGTCTCATCTCATTAGCACAACAGAGTGGAAGTGCTAGTGTGGTGGGTTAGACAAAGCAAGGAAGAGAGTCTTCCAGTGCCTAGAGCTACTTGCTACAGAAATTTTAGGCAGAGGCAGCAGTGAGTTCTATTCCTCTCATCAGCCTTGTAGTAGAAGCAAAAAGTGCATCACTATGGAGCAGGAGTGGAATTTCTAAGATTTGAGATCCTAAGAGAGAGGCAGACCATACCATTAGTTCTTTGGTCTAGCCAAATTCCTTAGATTTGATGACTCTTCAGAATCCCTCCTACTCCTTAAGATGTGGAAGAGCCAAAGGCTGTGTTGTGGTCTGAATTTTTTCCCCAAAAAATTAATATGCTGAAGTCCTAACCCCAGTACCACAGAATGTGACTACATTTGGAGATAGGGTCTTTAAAGAAGAAACTAAATTAACATGAGGTCATTCACTAGGGTAGATCCTAATCCAATAAAACTGGCATCCTTGTAAGAAGAGGAAATTAGGATACAGATAGATACAGAGGAAAGACCACCTGAAGACACAGGGAGAAGATGACCATCTACAAGCCAAAGAGAGAGGCCTCAGAGTAAACCAACCCTGCCAAAAACTTGATCTCAGACTTCTAGCCTCCAGACCTGAAACAACACATTTCTGTTGCTTAAGCCACCCAGTATATGGAACTTGTGATGGCAGCCCTAGCAAACTAATACAGGCTTTCTTCTCTTAGAAGAGTACTCCCCAACCTTGACTGCATATTCTAATCACTTGGAGAGCTTTGTGTCTGGGTCTCACTCCAAAACAAATCAGAACTTCTGGAGTGGGATCAAGCATTGATATTTTTATCAGGGTTGTGAAGCACTGCCCTAGATGGCTCTAGATTTACAGTACCACCCCTTATTACACACTGATTTTCATTTAGGGTGGAAGAAGGAAGCCAGGGACATGCCTCCTAGGGCAATAAAGATACTTTGACAGACTCCCTGGTTGAGAGTTGCTGCCCTAGCATCTGGCAAATAGCGGATATCAGACTCTTTATACCATGGCCTCACCATTATTGAACACTTAATTTTTCTTCATCCTTAGTAAGAGTACATCTTTAGAAATTATTTTTTCGAGAAGGTATAAGTAGGTATATTTTCTGAGTCCTTGCACGTCAGAAAATAGCTTTCTTTTACCTTCACACATGGAAGAAAACTTGGCTGTGAAAATGCACTTGAGTCACAGCTTTTTGGTGTTTACATACATATACATTGCTCCACTATCTTCTGGTAATTAATGTTGAAGAGTATACATCTAAGGACAGCTTGATCTCAGTTCATTTGCAGTATATTGTTTTTTCATATTGTCACTTGGGTAATTCTTTTTTTATTCTGTAATTCAAAATTTTGGTCAGAAAAATCTAGCCAACAATCTCTTTTCATTGATTTTTTTCCCCTGGAACACATTAAATCTTTGTAATCTATATACATCAGTCCTTGTTCAGAGCAGAAAAAGGTTATTCTATTTTTTCTATTGCAACCTTAATTATTTCTTCTGCTCATTTTTCCCTGGACTCTTCAGAAGCATCAGTTATCCAAATGTTAGAGGTTTTACTGGTAATTAATTCATTCAAAAAATATTTACTGAGTGTTACAGCATCCACTATTGATTGCCTATGTAAAAGCCATTTCCCCCTTCCTAAACGCTCATGGAACCTCGATTTTTTTCCCAGTATTTGTTCCTCTTTCAAATGACTTAGGTTAATCCTGCTTGATATAGGCTAATCATGATGTCTCTGTAAATTTTGTCAATTACTGATTTAGGGAGTAGTTTAGGTGGTGGTTTACGGACTCAGTTTTGGCCAATCATGAGAGAAAGTCTCCTGAGGGGCTTTTGGAACATCTGTGTTAATTTCATAAAAGAGACACAAGAAAAAGCCAGTTCTTTTTTGTTTCTGGATACTCATCAGGGACCAGGGAATGTAGCCAACTTGTCAATAATGGCAGTGTGAAAAGGTGTAGAGAATCTGAGTTCCTAATGATGTCACTGAGCCACTCGATCAATCTTGGGCCCACAATACCTCTGAAATTCATGATATATAAGATTAAAAAATCCTATTGTTGTCTAAGCTAGGGTTTGGCAACTTTTCATAAACATTGTGCCCTTTACAGGCCATATTTTCTCTGTAGCAACTCCTCAACTCTGCCATGGCAGCATAAAAGCAGCCATAGACAAGACATAAAGGAGTGGCTGTGTACCAATAAAACATTGTCTTAGTCCATTCGGGCTGCTATAACAAAATAGCATCCATAGACTGGATGGCTTATAAACACCAAAAATTTATTTGTCACAGTTCTGGAGGCTGAGAAGTTCAAAATCAAGGTACTAGCAGACTTGTTTCCTGGTGAGGGCCCAATTCCTAGCTCATAAACAGCTAGCTCTCTTTTTGCTATAGCCTCACATGGCAGAAGGGGTGAGGATCTCTCTAAGGTCTCTTCTATAAGGGCACTAATCCTGTTCATGAGGGCTCCACCTTCAAGACCTAATCAGCTCCCAAAGCCCCACCTACTAATACCATCATCTTGGATTTCAACATATGAATTTTGGGAGGCAATAAACATTCAGTACATTGAAAACAACATTTACACAACAAGCAACAGCCTGGATTTGACCTGTGGGTTGTGGTTTGCTGAACACTGGTCTAAAATATTTTGACTAGGAATTTCTGCTAGACGCAACTGACTCTACCCTGAAGGATGCAAATACTGTGTTGCAAACCCTGCCTATACTCTGGGCAATACATCATGAATCAGATAGAGTTTATGAATATTACAGACTAACCTCCAAGGCAGGAGAGGGAGAAAAGCAAGCAGGTAATCACACCAGAATGTGGTAAGTACTCCAATAGGGTAATGCAGGTTGCTGTGGGAACACAAGAGAAAGGCACCAACCCTAGTTCTGGAGATGTCCAGGAAGGATTGAAAGAAACAACTGGACCCATCCAGATCGTTCATCTTCTCACATCAGTTTTATGTCTTTGTCTCTTTTGTCTGTCTTTTGGAAAATCTGAAGTTTGTTCTTCACATTATTGATTCAATTTTCAAAACTATAAAATCATCTTCTTATTGTTTCCAATATGGATTTAAATTCCACTATTGTATATTAATTTTCCATAATTAAAAAAATTATCTCAGCCCCTCCAAATTGATTCTATGCTCTTTATTTCGTTTCTCAGCCTGCTGATTTTTCATCCCAGCCTGTTGTCTCCTTAGAATTTTCTGCTACTTTTTTATACAAACTACGTCTTCTTGCATTTCACTGAAAATCCCCAATAATTTGCTAGTTTTATTCTGAACCTTTCAGTATATCATTTTCAGAGGAATGTTCTTTCATTCTTCAAATAAAATACATTGTACCATATATTAATATATAGTATGTGTAATTTATGTCTACTATATAAAAGTATTTATTAAATAAGTACACATGCAGGCACCTCTTTCTTTTTTTTTTTTTTTTTTTTTTTTTTTTTTTTTTTTTGAGACGGAGTCTCGCTCTGTCGCCCAGGCTGGAGTGCAGTGGCGGGATCTCGGCTCACTGCAAGCTCCGCCTCCCGGGTTCACGCCATTCTCCTGCCTCAGCCTCCCAAGTAGCTGGGACTACAGGCGCCCGCCACTACGCCCGGCTAATTTTTTTGTATTTTTAGTAGAGACGGGGTTTCACCGTTTTAGCCGGGATGGTCTCGATCTCCTGACCTCGTGATCCGCCCGCCTCGGCCACCTCTTTCTTTTAAACATAGAATATGATAATGTCTTAGTCTGTTCCTGCTGCTATAACAAAACGTCTTAGACTGGGCAACTTATAAACAACAGAATTTATTGTTCACAGTTCTGGAGGAAGTTCAAGATCAAGGTGCCAGCAGATCTGGTGTCTGGGAAGGACCTGTTCCTCATAGATGGTGACTTCTATGTGTCCTTACATGGCAGAAAGGGCAAACAGTGTCCCTCACTTTCATAATGGTATTAATCCTATTCATGGGGCTCTGCCTTTATCACTTAATCACCACCTAAAAGCCTTACCTATTAATACTATCACATTAGAAATTAAGTTCCAACATATGAATTTTGAGGGAACAACAACATTTAGGTCATAGCAATCAGTGTATTTGAAAGTCCATGTAAGCCTTTCCCCTTATCCCTGACCCTGAAATAACTGAAATTGCTGTTAATTATGCTCTTGCTTTCCATTATATGTTTACCATAATTAATATATCCCCCAAAATAAGTTTGTTTGCCTTTTTAGATTTATATAAATTGAATCATACTACATGTATTCTTTCATAATTTTTTATCAATATGAGGTTCACCTCTATTAGTGTGTATAATTGTCATTCACTCATTTTTACTTTTGTGTAATATTTCATTACATAAGTGTACTATGATTTATTTACCCATTCTAGTGTTGATGGACTGGCATTATTTCCATTTTTGCTGTTGCAAACAATGCTGCAATCATAGTCTTGTTCATGTTTCCTGGGGCACCTGTGCAAGTTCTCTAGGAAAGATACTTTGGTGTAGAATTCCTATATCACAGGACATTCACGTCTTCAACAATACCAAGGAATGCCAAATGGTTTTCCCACATGCTTAAGGCAATTTATACTCCAGCCAGCAGTGTAGGAATATTTTTTTTGTTCCACATTCTCCAAATACTTAGTATTGTAAGATTTGTTAGTTTTTGAAAATATAGAAGATATAAGTGCTACCCAATTGTGATATTACTTATGTAGTTGAACATCTTTTCACATTTATTAACCAGTCCTATTTCTTCTCTGCGAAAGGCTTGTTCATATGTTTGGCCCATGTTTCTTTTTCTTATTAATTCACAGAGTTTTGTTCTATAATAGATATTAATTATTTATTAGTTAATATGTTGCAACTATTTTCTAACAATTTGGGGCTTATCTCTTTTCTTTATGGTGTCTTTTGAAAGAAAGAAGTTTTTGATTATGATGCAGTCAAATTTATAATCTAATTTTATAAGGATTTCCTCATATGAATATTGTTTAAGGCATTCTTTCCCACTCCCAAAATTAAAAGCTATTTTCTATATTTTTCATTAAACATTTTGTAGTTTTCCTTTTTCAGTGGAATCCTTACACTTATTTAGAATGTGTGTCTGTGGCAGGGATCCAGTTTTTCCCCCACATAGACGAGCAGTTGTCTTAATGTCATCTGTTAAATGGTTAGTCTTTTCCCAGCTTATCGTCAATGCCAGCTCTTCCTGTAATGGCTTTCATCAGTTATGTATGCGTCTGTCTTTGGGCTCTATTCTGTTCCATTGGGCTTTCTTCCTATCTCTGCACTCAAACCACACTTTTAATTATGATAGCTTGAAATAAGACTTGATTTGGTAGAGCAAGTCTTCCTATCTAACATTTTTCTCTGGGAGTATATTGTGTACTGCATTTTGATCATCCATATAAACTTTAAAAATAGTCAAATTCTTCACAATCTTACTTCAGAATTTTATTAGAATTATATTGAACCTGTGGATTGATTTGGGGAAAATTAATAACTTTTACAATGGTCAGTCTTCCTGTCTGTGACCATGATATGTCTGTATTTATTTAGGTTGTCTTTAATATCTTTCAGTAAATTTTTATACCTCTCTCCATAAAAATCTTGCATATGTTTTTTAAAATCTATTCCTAGGGGCCAGCCTTTTTGAGGGGGAGTGATATTACAAATTCTTTTTTGACTAGGAGGTAGGAAATCCTTCCCTACTCCAAATATTCTCTTCCACGTGGAGGGAGCTTCACCCCTGAAACAATCCTGGTTGTCTCTGCCCCTCACTCACTCTGGCCCTGGGGGAGAAGAAGCAACATAATCTGATTAATGATTTGAAGGGATAAACTTGGCTTTCATGCCCAGGCATTTCCTCTTTCCTTCCTCTTAGGAGCTGCTCTGTCTATGAGAATATGTGGTCTTGATTACTCTAAGCCATGCAGAAAACCTAACAGAAACAACCCCTCCTTTACAGGAGATGCAGAAACACCAGCATCTGGTGTTCATATGCTGCTGGTGACTCACTGGATAAGGCTGTCTGGTTCTGGAATTCAGGATTATGAATCTCTCTTTTGCATAAATATTAGCGACATTCTCCAAAATCAATGTTTTTGGTAATAAAAGTATTTCAGCCTCTATCTACCTGTTCTTTTTTTTTCAGTTTTATTTAGGTAAGATTGATAAATAAAAATTCTATATATTTATGGTATAAAATGTGACATTTTAGTATATGTATACATTGTCAAATGATTACTACAATCAAGCTAATTAACATATCCATCACATCACGTGGTTACCATTGTGTGTGTGTCTGTGTGTGTATGTGTGAGTGGTAAGAACACTTAAGATGTATTCTTTTAGCAAATTTCATGTACATGACACATTATTAGTAACTATACTCACCACGTTTCCTGCATTAGGTCTCCAGTACTTATTTAACTTATAACTGAAGGTTTGTATCCTTTAATGAATACCTCCTCTTTTCCCCCACCCTACAGCTCCTGGTAACCACCATTCTACTCTCTGTCACTATGAGCTCAAATTATTTTTAGTTTCCACATGTTAAGTGAGGTCATGCAGTATTTGTCTTTCTGTGTCTGGCTTATTTCACTTAGCATAATGTCCTCAAGCTTCATCCATGTTGTTACAAACAGTACAATATCTTTTTTTTTTTTTTTTTTTTTTTGAGACAGAGTCTTGCTCTGTCTTCAGGCTGGAGTACAGTGGCACGATCTCAGCTCAGTGCAACCTCCACCTCCCAGGTTCAAATGATTCTCCTGCCTCAGCCTCCTGAGTAGCTGGGACTACAGGCACGTGCCACCGCACCTGGCTAATTTTTGTATTTTTAGTAGAGACAGGGTTTCACCATGTTGGCCAGGATGGTCTTGATCTCTTGACCTCTTGGCCGAGGGTGATCCACCCGCCTCGGCCTCCCAAAATGCTGGGATTACAGGCGTGAGCCACCACGCCCAGCCAACAATATATTTTTTTCAAGGCTGAAGTGTGTGTGTGTGTGTGTGTGTGTGTGTGTGATTTTCTTTATCCAGTCATCTATTGATGGACACTTAGGTTGTTTCCATATGTTGGCTGTTGTGAATAATGCTGCAAAGAACATGAAAGGGCAGATATATCTTCAAGATACTGATTTATTTCCTTTGGATAGATACCCAGAAGTGGGATTGCTGGATTATAAGGTAGTTCTATATTTAATTTTTCGAGGAATGTTACTGTTCTCATAATGGCTGTATCAATTTACATTCTCACTAACGGTATACAAGGGTTCACTTTTTTCCACATTCTCACCAACACATACTATCTTTTGACTTTTAACAATAGCCATCCTAACAGGTGTGACATGATATCTCACTGTGGCTTACATTTGGTTTCCCAGATAATTAGTGATATTGAGTTTATATACCTGTTGGCCATTTGTATGTTTTCTTTAAAAAAAAGTCTATTCAAGTCCTTTGTCCATTTTTAATCGGGTTATTTGTTTAGTTTTTCTGTATCTCTATGTTTTGTCTGGTTCAGAACTCAGGCTGGGAAAATAGATGCTATTAATTGGAATCCCTCAAACTCAATATAAATGTAAAATACTGCCATTATATAGACACACCATAGACTTTTCTATTTATATATAGACATTTGTATTTATACATTGATATCTGACAAACATGAATCTCTAAATTTTAGTTATTTATTTGCAGATTATTTTAGTTTTTTGTATTGAAAACCATATCTATAAACTACATTTTTATTTTTTTCATTTTTTTCCTATTCAAATCTTATAAATTTCATTTATAATTCTTGTTTTATTTGCTAGGTATATCATCTAGAAGAATGTTAAATAGAAGTGTGATAGTAGGCATTCTTATAAGACTTGCTTAGAAAACAGTCTGGGCATGGTGTTTTCTCTTTAGGAAGCTCTTTCAATACTTAATTCCTTAAAATGTTCATACAAACATTCATATTTTCTAATTTTTCTTGGATTAAGTTTGAAAACATTTTATAATGTTGAGTCCAGGAATTTTTCCCTTTCACCTATGTTTTCCAATTTTATTGGTATAAAGTTTTTCATTATACCCTCTTGTCTTTTAAATATTTCCTGTTTCTATAGATATGTTATGATCTATATATGACATACCTCCTTCTTTTCTTCATCAATCTTATAATTGATTTTATAATTTTTATCAGTGTCTCCACTCGGGCTTCATTGATCTTTTATCTTAGTTTTTTAATGCATTAATTTCTGTTCCTATCTTCTTGATTTCCCTTATTCTACTTTATTTGACTTGGTTTTGTTTTTTTCTAACTTAATTTACTAATTATGACCTAACTTCTCTTCTAATGTAAACATTTGAGACTATAAATTTTCCTCTGGGTACAGCTTTAACCATACTTCAAAAGTTGCTATTTTATTGTTATTACTTTTTAAAAATGTTTAGCCATTTTACTATAAAATGAAAAACATATACATAAAACGGCATAAACAAATGTATAGACTAGTGAAATATTTTAGTCAACATTCCTGAACCATCACTATGGTAGAAAAAGAAAATAGAATTTTGCCAGCCACCCAGGAGCCCTCCATTTGTCTTGGCCCAATCTCAACCCCCTATTCCTACAAAAGTAACCATATCCTGATTTTTACGGTAATCACATAAGAATGTTTTTTAATGGCTTTTTCTCTCACCTAAGTATGCATCATTAGATACTATAGCATTCTGTCATGTCCATTTAAAAAATATTGTTAGTTAGGTCTTTAACATTTCTTTTACTCTACAGTTTTTCATCCATTTCTTTCTTTTTTCTTTTAATTTAGCTGTTGAAACCCAAGACTTTTGACTCCCAGAGTTTCCTACAGTCTGGATTTTGCTTATGGCATGCCCATAGTGGAGTTCAACACATTCCTCTGTTCCCTGGATTTTTTAAAAAATGGCAGCTGCATCTAGAGGCTCAATCAGATTTAGGCTTGATCTCTTTCACAATACTACAGGTGGTGTAACGTTTATTCATCAGGAGGCATACAATGCCTGGTTGTCTCTCTTCTTGTGATATTGTTGCTTATTGTCCAGATCCAATAATTAATTAGCAGTTGGATTATGGTGATATTTCTAATTTTATAATTTTGTTTTTATTTGTTAGCTGGGAGAACTTTATAAAGAAATTCTTCCCTCATTTTGCTACTTTGTTACTCAATAATTCAGTTCATTTAGGAAGGCAGAATAAATGCTTATTATTTCCTCTTACTAATTTTAAGATAACAAATTGATTTTCTATCATCACCCAATTAGTTCTTAAAATATCATTATAAACACAAGAATGTAAATATATTTCAATTTTCTTATTCTTATTGATTCTTTATCCCTTCTTTGGCCAAAAGGAGTCTCTTCAAGTTGGTTCCTTAGTCCTTTCGTTATGATTTTAATAGTCTTTGTTACTTTCTTTGCTATTTTGCATGACAAAATATTCTAGTCTAATCTAATACATTCCTTTGCCAAATGTTGAATCAGTCATTTCTCCAAAAAGCCCTGGTATCTTTTCGAAGGAAATGATAATTCAATATTACATTCTAGGTTCTAGCAATGTTCATTGATACTGGCCTAGTCTTTCTCTAGGCCTTTCAGTAGATATACATATATAAAAATTGTTTTTATCCTCAAGGACATGAAGGGTAATAGAATTAAAATATCCATTACTATTCATTTGCTTTAATCCACATTTCACACATATCTGTCTGAGCATAATACTACTACTGCCACCACCAATCATGATTGTAAAATATATTTGCATATGCTATTCCTATTCTAGCCCAATTTTTATGCTAATAGTAAGCATACATTGTCAAATGTATGCCATTACATATTGTGTAGCCACAGAGATGAGTTGCCAAATTCTCCTTCACAGAGGGACTTTCTGCCCAGTTTCAAGAAGTTGGAGCAGTAGAGAGCCTACACTTGGAAGCTACTTCAGAGTCTACAAAAAGATACTTTCCTGAGATACTTTCCTGAGATACTGCAAAGAGATACTTTCCTGAGATTATGCTCTTCTTATTGCAGTCTTCATCTAGTGATTAAGAGAGGAGGGGGTATAAAGACCTGGCCTTTTTGGGCTAATGGCAGACACTCTGATAGTCAATACTTGCTCCAGACTTCTTGCCAAGTTGGCTAAGACTTTGTTGGGTTTGTGTGATAACCCAACAATCCTGCTTTCTCTCCCTTTCCTTCATAGGTGTTGATTCCCTAATAAACATCTTAAGCCCCAAATTCCGTCTCAATGTCTGCATCTAAAGAATCCAAACTACAACAGTTAGTACCAGAAATGGTGTGAGAAAACAGGCAATAAAATGATATTTTGAAGCTGGATTACTCAATGCTTATCTGGCAATGAGAACCCCATCATTGATGATAAGACAGTGTACCAATGGCCTCTGGCATGAGGTGGTGGTCCAGTCATTAAAACCATTAGGTGATGAATTGGGAGAATATACTAGGGAAAGAGAATGTAGTAGGGGTGATGTACAAGTTGTTTGATATGTATGGAGAAAATAGGGCAGGATTAGATGGCTATAAATAAGCACCATTGATGCACTACAGAAAGGTAAGGAATAACTAAGCATAATATGCAATTGAAAATCTGCTGTGAAAGCCGGAGAGCCTCTTTAGGTGCTTACAAAGAAGCTCTCATTTCCCATTATCACTTAATAGAATGGCTAAACATCAAACATGGTTAAATGCACAATAAAGTAGGTCTGATTTAACAAGATCGGGCCCCTATTTGAGAAATCTGGAACCTGGAAACATGAGATAGGGATATCTAGATATCTAGGCCCTGAGTATTTTGACTACCAAGACTTCTCCAAAGCTTCTTAGTTTGCATATGTAGCCCCACTCCTAAAAATCAGCATGGTCTCCCTTACCTTCCTCCCATCCTTTTGTTGGAAAAGAGCCTGGAATCTTCTTCTCTGGAAAGTAACATGTGTCCCTTTTAGTAACCATCCCACCTCCTCTCCTAGCCATTCACTAGCCCTATATCTAGGGTTCAGTTGCAACAAATCCCAGGGCGGTGTGTGCTGGGACTAGTAAGGGAGAAAGTGGTCTATATACCAAAGGAACTTTAAGAACTAGCCAGCATATTTCAGGAGGAGTCAGTCAAGCTTTCCTGGGACTGGATTCTGAGAGCGATTAATCAAGAGGCCTCAAGATATAATTGGATAGAGAAGGATTCATTGACTTGGGAACATTCTCATAAGACACAGAATTTAAAATACTGGCAAGGCCCCCAGAGATGATTCAAACTTCCTACTAGGAGGGCTTAATGGAACATTGAAAAAGCAATGGCTCACACTGAGTAGAGTTGAAAATGCCAGACTTGCCATGACAGATGGTAGGTGAAGAGATTTTCTTTTTTTAATATCCAGTTGGATGGGGAGGTAGGGGCAGGAAATCTCAAGAAATTGGGAATACTAGGATGGATATGCTATGTACTACTAGCAGACCTGCTAGATGATTATTTTCCACTTGAACATAGTTACACATTATTTACAGAAACAATAAAGAATGTGCTGGTGAAATAGCCAGCAAAGAAGTGAAGGCTCCCCTCTGTAGGCCATGGATGATAGTAAAAGAAGCCATTAGAGGACTTAGCTTGCTGACAGCAATGAAGATAATAGGACCCTGAAATAGAGGCCAGGTGGCAGCATTTCTGTTAATGTCTCTCTAATCATTTAAGTTTTTCTCTATTAGAATCCTCAGGAAAAGCTCATAAGAGCAATGTTCCATGAGTTGTGTGTTGACAGTTTTTGTTGCTTTTACTTAAAAGTCAGTTTTGCTGAATATAAAAGCTTTTGTTTATATTTTCTTTCCTAGGCTATCTTAAATGATATTCCTTTTTTTATTCCATCATAAAATTTTTCTGTGAAAAAGTCTGATGTTACCATAATTTTCTTTTCTTTATAAATCACAGGATCTTTTTGTCTGGATCCCAAAAGGATTTTCTCTTTTTCTTTAAAGTTCAATTTTTGTATACAAAGTCTATATTTGTATATGTCTTGGTATTGGTTATATTGGGTGAGTATTCTCAAATGCATGATGTGTGTTTTTCCCATTTGTATTTTCATTTTTTGTTGGAAAAGTTTTACTGTTTTACAGCTTTTAGTATTTGTTCTATTTCTTTTAGTATTTGTTGAGCTTCTCCTTTTGAAACTATTATTCATATGCTGCATCTTCTTTGCCTAGCTTCAATATTTGTCATTTTATTGGACATTCTTTTTCTTCTTTCTTCTTTTTTTTAAAAGATATTTTTTAAACAATGCCAAACTTATAGAAAAGCTGTGTGCTGTACAAAGAACTTTTTTCTGAACTATTTAAAAATAAATTGCCAATCTGTCGCTCTCATCATGCCTAAGCACATTAATTTGTATTTCCTTATTCTCCTACATAACCACAATACAACCATGAAAATCAGCAAATTAAGATCTTTAAATTAATTTGTTGTAATTTTCTCCTTTTGACAATTATAAACAGCATAAAATTAGATGTTACTTTTGTTTTTATCTTCTGAAATCCAGCCTTTTACTTTTCATTGGGGAATTTAGTCCACTGACATTTATTGTAATTCATAATATCTTTTTATGTACTTAAAATGTTATACTTTGTGCTTTCATTTGTTATATTTCTTCTATGCTCATTTAATTTTTTTGCCTTCTTTTAGATTAATTTAATTTTGTAGGGGATTTTTCTTATGCTTTATATTTTTTCCATTGCCTAATTTAAAATTCGTACAATTTCTATTCTTTTATTGGTCATCCTAGACTTTTAACATGTACATATAACTTAACAAAGTCAAAGTTAAGCAAGAGTTTTTACCATCTCCCTGAAAATAGAGCTTAGAACACTTTACTGTTAAATCACAGCAACCTTCCACCCCCCAACCATGTTTACATGTATTTTTCTCCATGATTTTGATTTTATGTTGTTTTTTTCTCCAAAATTGGATTTTATTATAACTTTTATTTAGTTAATGATTATATTTTCCCACATTTATTATTTTCTTTGCTCACTATTTCTTCTTGCATTTTATATCTTCTTTTTTAGTTGGTTTTCTTTCTACCTTAAGTACACCCTTTATAATTTTCTTTATATAAGAATAAATTGATTGTAAACTCTCTGTTTTTATTTCTGTGGAAGTTTTTATTTTATTCTTATTGTTGTCAGAAATTTTTTCTGGGTATATACTTATAGGTTTACAATTATAAGGCATTATACTATTGTCTTCTGATTTCCATTGTTCCTCTTTAAAAGTCTATTATGAATCTAACTGGCATTCTTTTGCAGCTTATTGATTTTTTCTCTTTTGAATGCTTTTATGATCTTTATGATTTTCATGAACTTTCTTGTTCTGCAGTTTACAATGATGTGTCTAGGTGTGGTTTTCTTTTTATTTATTCTACTTTGGCTTCCTGATATAAGGATTGTTTCATTTTTTTAATGATGGAAAATTCTCAGCCATTATCTCTTTGAATATTATCCTTCACAACCACTCATTCTCTATAATGTTTCCTTGTGCAAGTCTGATTAAGGTAATGGCATACCTTATGCTAACCTCCATGCTTTCCAATATTCCATTTATGTTTTTCTTTTTCTTGGCTCTCTCCACTAAAATCTGGATAATATTTCAGTCTGTCTTTCAATTCACTGATTTTTTCTTTTGGTGATTCTAAACAGTTATTTAACCTCTTTAATCCATATGTTGAATTTCTATTTGATTCCTTTTCAAATATTTTAGTCACTCTTATAATCTCCTCTTTTATATTTCTAAATGCCCTATTTACTTCCATTTTTAACAATTCTAATGCATTGTGCATCTGATTCTGCAGTTTGTGTGTTCTGATTCTAGCACATGATGGCCGTGTGTGTGTGTGTGTGTGTGTGTGTGTGTGTGTGTGTGTGTATGTGTGTTGAAAATATTCCTACAGAGGATTTTCATTTGATTTTTCCATGGATTTGGGTAGACTACCAATCCTGACACCGCTTTAAAGTAAATATTCAGCTTGGAGGTTGGTTTTTAACTTTTAGAGTTGTTGGGGAGTTCGGTCCCAGATACCTGTGAGGTAAGCTTGAGGTGAGGACTTCTTGCAGAAGGCTTTTACCTTATTTTACTCCACCCAGAATCAAAGCCAAACAGGCAAGGTTCCCCGCAATCTCGATGGTATGAGGTTTTATTCTAATAGACCACTGAGGATTCTGCCTTACAGTGATGCCAGCTTAATGTAGTAGTTTCAGATCTGACTACACTCTCACCTTACATGGGCTTTATCTTCTGCCTAATTAAAGTCTAGGCTCTAGGCCATGAGGGATCCACATGACAAATGCAGGCCATAACTCTCTTGTCATTTTCAGGCTTTGAAGATTTATTTTACTTTCCCACCAACTTAGAAAAGCATTTAAATAAATTATCCAACATTTTTAGGTGTTCTAAACTTTGAGGGTTTCTCCGGTCTCTTTCATGTCATTAGAAATAAAAATTCTTTCCTCTGAGTTTTCACAGTGATGTTAAATTTTCTTTGTTTTATACTATTTTTTAGTGCTCTCCATAGACAATTTCTCCTGTTCATTCATCCTCTTATGAGGCAGGGACTATATACTATGAGTCTTTGCCAACAGCAGGGTATATGAATTGTCCTTGAGTCCATTCTAACTCCTAGTCTAATGGATGACTCCTCTGTTCAACAGATAAAGGGTAGGTTGATATTCACAGCTCAAGTTACTACCATTTTTAACAGACTTTCATCTAGTTCAGCTTCAGTGGCATTTTTTCCTAAACTCATTGTTTGAGTCTCTAATACCTTTAACAAACATGGTTCCAGGAAATCTATAGTTTCCAGCATGTATTGTTATCAATGTTGTTTTTCTCTCTGACTCTACCTACTTTACTCATGAGAACCACACCTATTTAAATGAAATTTTCCACCACTAGTTTCTCCAGCTCTTCCCTCCATTCTTTTCTCCAATTTCTGTTCATTTTTGTCATCAGAATTATTTTCTAGAAGTACACTGGCTTTTCCCAATACAATGATATTATTTTCATAACTGACCAGACTATATCTGCCTACAAATAGAGGAAGGTAAATGAGTGGTGGAAGAACAGTTTTCAGGTAGATCAAAATGCTCTACCCCATTCCCTAAATGAATGTTGTCCTGTTTTATGGTTTGTAAACATCCTCAGCCTCTGGTCAATGAAGCAGACATCAAGGACTTATGAAATTACTTCCCCCTGCACCCTAGGTGTTATGTTTCATGAAGTTAAATAAATAAAACCTGGCTGTGCCATAAAGAGAAACCTACACAAGATTTATTCCTCTAATTTAGCTCCATCTTTCTTATATTAAGGAGATTCTTCTTAGATTATAGCACTAGATTGTCCATTAATACTAATTTTTAGTGTTACGGGGTTTTGTCTTTTTTTCTGGTCCTTCAGGAATATTTATATCTTTCGGATATTTTGAGAAGCTGTATCAGAAACTGCAAGCCATATGCCATTTAAACAAGAAGACCTTTCCTTGGCCTTCACAGATTACGTGAAAATATGATGCTTTCACCCAAAGTTTGTGTCTTCCACATCCCTGATAAGTTGGCAAATGTTTCCATAGGAGGCTGGCATGCTGAGGGATTTCAAATATCTTGGATCAAACTTGAGAGTGGTGACTGCTTCATGCTCATCTCCCTACAAGAATATATACCAGTTGATAGAGGCAAAAACCAACCCAGATGACCAAGCTAAGCCTATGGTCTCAGGAAAATAGTTATATACACATCCCTTTCCTCCCTCTGACCTATCCCTGATACCAGGCCTCACTCCCAGGTCCACTTCTCTCACCATGAAGGCCAATGTTCAAAGCTTCCTTTGCCAAGTTTTAGGTTTCCTCCCAATGACAATACTTCCTCCTTCCCCAATCACCAAATCCTTGATTTTCTTAGCAGTTCCTCACAACAGCAGAAGCTGCTCATGTAATTGCTGATGAAAGGAACAAAGTGAAAACAGAGAATCCCTTGAAGATTGGGCATCCTTGGGTGGGTGAGGAATCCTTTTATTAGCAGAATTAGGTCTAGTCAGCTCTTCCTTAACATTCTGAGATATCAAGACAAGTCAATAATTTCTCATGTGCATTTCCCAGTGTTCCTCATAGTCAATGAATGAATATTTTGCCCCTGGGTTAGAATAATAATTTCTGCATCACTCCACCTGGGTAGGTGGCATTGTAGGCATCCAGAAACCAATTAATATTGTCTGCCAAGTATATGCATTTTAAGAACCCCACCCAGATTAACAAATAAACTTTCACTTACTAACTGAATGACTGGAAATGGCCAAGCTTGGGAATTCTCAAGGTTGTAGCCTCAATGATAGAACTATTAAATAATTTTGCAGTTCAGCAATCTTACTCAGGGATGATGGATATGTGCCAGTTTTAATAAAGCCTTTAGTGTTGGGCTGAAGGGCTCTGTCACTGGACCTGCTTAGTCAAAATTACGGATGACACAAAGCTGGGAGGAACCACTAGTGGGTGGATTGACAAGTTAAGATCCAGTAAACAGACAAAGCAATGGCCTGAAACAAATGGGGGAAGAGACAGAGCTTTTAACTAAGAATAAAATTATCTGCATTTAGAATTAAAACATTACATTCCTTAATATAATAGTCTAATCCCGGGAATGCATAAGTTGATAGCAACTCCTACAGAAATATCTTGAGGTATTAATTTATTAGACACTAAATATTAAACAATCATGTAATCTGATTAAACAAACAAATAAAAACCCTCTGTAATACTATCAGCCTAAATCCAGACCAAGTAGAGATTATAACCTCCCATCCACTACACTGTCAGAACCATCCTGGGGTAGTGTTCAGGTGCCATAAGTTGAGAATGCTGGAAAATGTGGGCATCCTCAGAGAAGAGCGACTTGGCTTGTAAAGAACCTAAAATATCTAGAAACTCTATTACATGAGAAAAAAATCAGATAAACCAAGTGATGGGGACTGAAAAAGAGAAGATCACTATTTTTAATGATTTCAAGTGCTATCAGATTAATGAGGCACCAAATTTACCTCTGTTTGCTCTATTTTACAGAACTCAGGCCAAAGACAGAAAATTTTGAGGAGAGAGATTTATTTCAACTTAAAAAAGAATATCTAATCAACTTCAGCTGTACCACAATGAATGGGCTACCTCATAAAGTAGTGAGCTCTTTATCATAGGAATCATTCAAGAAGAGTCTAGATGACTATCAGGAGACTTACCAAAATAATTCTTTGAGGGGGGTGGTGAGAGTTGGACAAAATAATCTCCAAGCTTAAGAAGCTCCGATTTTAAAATTATTTTATACTAAGGTTTTAATGACTAATATGTATAATAAGACCATCTGACACACACAATGACTAATGGTACCACCTCAGGCATTATCACAGACATTATCACAGGACTTGGGAGATAAAATTTTTGTCTGGGGTAGGGCAAGGAGGGTCTTCTTAATGCATTTTCACTGGCAACTTCGCTGTTGCATAAGACTAGTTTTGGTTTATTATGCTTGCCTGCATCAGTCTCCTTCCGAGTTATTGAACACAGTGAGCACAGAGAGGAAGGAAGAGAACACATTTTATGTTTATTAAGTCCCTGTGAATTTTAACCATGCACTTTTATATATATTATTTCATGTAGTTTTCAAGACAACCTAGAGCAGTAGAAAAGTATTAAGCCTATTTTACATTTGAAGATAGGACATCTAGAAAAGGTAAGAGCCAAAGGTCACCCAGCTAGTAAATGAGAATGATAACATCATGACAAAGAAAAAGCAGAAGATACATGGGCTCTTTCAAAGTCCTTCTTATGGAATTCCAGATTTCTGAGATGAAAAGAACTTTAGAGGCTCTGTATTCCAACCAACCTATCAGTAACATGAAGTCCTTCTTAGTTTTGGAAAATTGATTTTGTGCACTTAGGTCAACCTAATAAGAGAAGAATAAAGCTGACTTTTAAAACCTAATGACTCTCATGGCTCTGTCCTTCCCAACCCCTTTACCTACCTCAGACCAGGCTCCTGTTGCAGATACCCAGTGCAGATTAATGAGTGCCTGGCCTTGGTGGCAGAGTCCACAGCAGACTGTCCCCACAGGATCCTGGAGCTCACCACTGGAATCTGGAACCTGATGTAGCCTCAGGCCAAATCTCAGTTCTTGCCAGTCTAGGCACCCAGAGAGCTGCCTCTGTTCCAAACCAACCCATAGGCCTGCACCCCAGGGAGCAAGGCTCAGTGGGAAAGAATGTGTTCCTAATATCCATGTCATCAGTTTCGTTTCTTTCTCTGAATTTCCTGACTGGGCTGTGGATGCTTCCATGCTGCCTCAGAGAGAAGGCCCAAAGATGCAATGCTTTCCATGCCATAACTTCCTCTCATTCCTGCAGGCAGCTTTGGGTGCAGTCCAGCCTCAGAGCCAGTGCAAGGGGTCCTGGTGTGATTCATTGGCCTCTCTGTTCCCAGCTTATGATATATCCTGGCTCCAAAGTGAATTTTTAATCTTCATTAAATCTTTGAAGAGGAGCCCAGGAGAATTGAGTGGCATGAGGAAAAAAAAAGAGAGAGAGAGAAGGAAAGGAAGGAGAAAGCAAAATGTCTTGGTCCCTAGCATCCTTCATAGCAGGGATCAAGAACAGGTTTAGCTAGTTCTCTAAATTCTAAAACAGTAAGCTCTGCTGAGGTCTCAGCTCACTCTCCTGGCTTCTAGCACACTGTTCAAGACTCTGGAAAAAATATCAAGTTGTGTCAGGTATTCTCCCTGCCCTTGGAGAGTTCATGCTTCCTGGTAGAGTCTTTTTGGATCCTCGAACTCACAATGCTCCCTTCCACCATGATCTCACAGCACTCTACTTATTCTGTGAGTCTGCTTAAGTCCCTTATGGCATTAGAAGCTCACTAAATCCAAGAACCAGATTTTAATCATCTTTATATCCACAAAGCACTTAGCCTAGTGCCTGGCACACATTAAATGTTCAATCAGTGTAAAATGAATGCAGTCTTATTGGGGAGATAAAAGATATATAAGTACAGATTAAAAGTACGTGCTAGGCAGTACAGATGTGGAATAAATGGGGAGAACCCCAGGTGGTGCGTTATCTCACATGGCTCTAATCCCAGCTCAGCCATTAACAGCTGTGTAAACTTGGACAGGTTGCTTCTACTCTGCAGACCTTGCCAATCCAGGCACCCAAGCTTTCATGTCTGTCAAATCAAGGGGCTGATAAAGAATTTCTAAAGACTTCCAAAAAAAAAGGTTCAGAGGTGGGAGATATCTAAAGGGCTGGACTGAAAAGGCCAGTGTAAACTCAATATCTTCTGGTAGTTCCCACCCTCAACTTCTCTCTTGGAGGTAGGGCTGCCCTCTCCAATTTGCAACTCCTGATTCCTTTGCCACCAGGAACTGAAGGGCCTCAGGTGGAGGAATCCTCTTGCGAATATCTGCTCCTATGCGCTTCTCTCCATACCACACCTTGCCCATTCTGTTTCAGAATGGAAGCAAATTTTCTGGTCTCTGAATTCCTGAATATACTTTTTTCCACCATTTTGAATACTGAGGCATCTGCCCATCCCCAATTTTGAAGCACTTAATATTCCATAATTACATCTGCAATTGCATCCGGCCCCTGGGACGCAATTTATCTGCTTTGGGAATTGCAATTCATTGAAAGACTATGTTACGGGCCCTCTCACCAGCTCCTCACCTCTCAGGCCTCCACCCATTTTTATCACTGGTCCACACCTTTCCTATGTGGAAGATATTCCCCTTAATGGAGACAATGGATACAAAATTAGAGTTTTTGAGTAGTCCTGGTTTCTTTCATTGTCCATTAACATTTCACCAGCCATCCAAAACACAGGCCTGTGACTCCTTTGATCGTCCTTCCATGCTGATCTTAGTTTTAAAAGCACCTTTTGTATTCTTGTTCTCAACACTACTTGAAAACTTCATCTTCTGCAGTTTAGGAGTTCTGACACTCTTCTTACAGGTCTCTGTTAACCCTGGGTAGATCTTCCTTCCATGTGTTAGATATGAGTTCTAAATTTCTCTTCAAGGACTCAATATGTCAGTATGTTCAATTCTTTGCCTTCTACTTTTAAACTTAACTTCCTCATAAAGCAGCCTTTTTTGATTACCTGCTCCACCCTGACTCATTCTGATTGCCTGCTCATTCTCCACTCTGACTCATTCCGATTTCCTGCTCTGCCATAACCATTTTTTCCTGCCAAAACACTCACCCCATAACTCTCTTTAAATTAGCCAATCGGAATTAGTTTAGCCTGTGCTGTCTAACCCTCACCAATAGGGGAACAACACAGCAGCAGGGACCACGTGCGTCAGGGATAAGAACTCCTTCCCCATCCTTGTCCAAGTGTGCACTCACCATTGCTCCGTCTGTGAGGGCACACCCTTCTATAGAAGTACATTGCCTTGCTGAGAATTAAAAAGAAAATTTTATATTCGAATGGTATCTCTTTAGTGGCACCGAAACTTTATTTAGAACACATGTCTCATAAATGTACCTTTAGACAGCTGAACTCAACCAGAGCTCCTAAGGCAACTACGTTATTTCTTTCACCTCACACCTCATCCTCCTGAGTGTAGCTGGGACTACAGGCGCACACTAAAAACTACCTATTTCTACAGGCAGTTTCCCTCTTTCTTCCTTATCAGGGTCATTTGCAACTAAATAGCCACAATTATGACTCAGATTCTTCCAGGCTTTTAAATCTGCTTCCACTTTCAGAGCCCTGCGTTTACATCTGATTTTCTATAACATTTGCTTCACTCAATCCAAGGACGGTGCCAGAGTTCACATCCTTGCTACTTCTAAGACTATTTCTCCCAAAGTTTCTGTTATTTCTTCATCTTTAAAATTAGTTTTTTCTTATTGATAAGCATTGAGTCTAGAGTTTGGAAGCATTCTTCCAAATTTAAAATGGTGGCAGTCTCTGGGGAGGGAGGAAAGGACACAGAACTGAGGTAGGGGTGCAAAGCGAATTTCAACTTTATCTGTAATGACTTAGTTCTTCAATAAGTCCAGAGCAAATGTCTCAAAGCAGTCACACTTGTTAATTCTGGGAGTTAGTTTTACATTCATTTGTGTTAGATTATTCTCTGTATTTTTCATATATTTTTCAAAATGAAATGGTACATTTAAAAACAAGTCCACTGTGCCAATTCACTCCATGGCTTCTTCCATTTTCTAAGACAGAAATTTATAAAGTAATACCAGAATTTATCAGATATTCTACTTCAGATGTTTCAGCTCCACCTTTTAGGGCATACCCTTCACACTGGCCATACACACACACACACACACACACACACACACACACACAAATACATGTCTTTGGAGATTATTTATATAAAACATATAAAATATGTTATGGAGATTATAAATATATCCGTATCATATTGTGTGTGAATGTGTGTATAATCTCCAAAGACATATATATCCAACAGCACCACTCTATCTTCTGTCTTCCTCCCTGGGCTGAAGTCTTTCTTTTATTCATGCAATCAATCCTGGGCACCCACTTAAATCCCCATCTCCCTCTCAAGACACATTTCCTTCTGACATCTTCTATCCTGCTTTATTCTTTTTACCTTGGCTGGGTGTCCAGGACTCATTTATTACCTAATAATTTGAAGCATAATGGTGCAGTGCTCAGGTTCTTTTGCCTTTTCTTCCTGAAAGGCCATGATTTTACTTAGAGCCTACCTCGGGGGTGACTACCTTTTCTCTGTGACAGCTAGCTGAGAGTTGATTTTACAAGAAAAGCTACCCTAAACCACAGCCTGTTACCTGAGTGAGGCTGCATGAGCCCACAGGCTACCTGAATGAGTGACCCTTGATCCTCAGCCCACCTCAGGGAAGAAAGGGACAGAAAAGGAAAGGCCCAGGAGAACAAAAACTCACCTCCCTCTTTTGTGTTTTCTTAATGTCAATTCTGTATAGGACAGACAATAAAACAGAGGTCATTAAACCAAAGTAGGAACCACATTAACAAAATTTACCAATGAGGTTTTGCATGCAAGATATACAGCAGATATGAAATTGTTAAACAGCAAAAGCTTAGCCTACTTCAGCAGGTGAGGAGGAAGAGTTTGAGAGTGCACTGGAAGTAACTATAAGTGATGAAGGATGATGAAGTTAGCATCATCAGTCCTAAATTTTTCTCTTATGAAATCTTATAAATTCTCAACTGCCATAGGCCAAAGAAAGCAGGGATTCTGTAATACACTACAAAATTTGCAAAAAAGACAAAGAAAGTCCTTCTTCATTTAGGTCCAGCATTGTGCACAATTTATTGCACACAATAAATAGCAAAGTTAGAATAAATATTACAGTAATCAGAGGGATGACAATTCTGTACCTTAAACCATTCATAAGACCAGGCGTGGTGGCTTACACTTATATTCCCAGCACTTTGGGAAGCTGAAGTGGGAGGATTCCTTGAGGCCAGGAGTTCAAGATCAACATAGTGAGATCCTGAGGACCCTTTTATACAAAAAATTTAAAAATTAGCCAGGTGTAGTGGTGCATGTCTATAGTCCTAGCTACTCAGGAGGCTGAGATGGGAGGAACACTGCACTCCAGCCTTAGCAACAGAGCAATAAATAAATAAGTAAATAAACCACTCATAGGTGGAGAATGAGCCTTCTCCACAGTCAGTGTGAACCCCTGAGATTAATCAAAGAAAGTGATGTATGGACTGTTCTGAATCAACTTGACACCCAGAAGAGGACAACAGAGGTAGAGGCCTGAAACTCAATTCACCAGAAAAACTCTCCTTAATCACGCTGGCTCAGGATCTCACTAATACTATATAGAGCATGTATTTTTGGTAATAAACACCAGAATCAGAACTATTATACTACTTTGGTTTTCTTTTATTTAACATGTATGATTTCGGTATATACACATACACTTACATACTCACCATGCTCTTGAGTTAGCTACTTGAAAAATTCTACCCAGTTCTTTCTATGGTGCGGATTCAGTTCCTATCAACTCATTTTCTTATATCCCTTATTGTATTCGATTCAGCATAAAGTGATTTTTCTTGAAAGTTGTTAATAAATACTTGAAATGGACTCCACTGACATTTCCTGTGAAAGCTCTGTGCCAAGAATGGGAAACTTGGGAAAGTTGCCCCCTTTAAAGAATTCTTAACCTAGGCAAGCCACATGTGACATCAGACAGGATCTAGAAATGTTTTAAAATTCAGTTTCCACCAGGATGGTGCTTATAGTACAATTGAAAAAGAAAGAATTATTATTACATGAAATGTTAAATAACAATAAGAGTTCAAGGTAATAGTTGAGATATCATGAAATAATATGCCATTTATTGCTACATAAATGTTAGTGATCACAGTTACTACAGTGTATCAGAGAGGGACAGATACATTTCATAGATGGACAGTGAAGTATTTGCATTGCACAAACAGGAAGCTATATACATGCATTGAAATAACTATAAGTTTACTTTATTTTACATGGTTTTAGGACTTTAGAGCTTCCAACACCAATTTACATGCATTTCATCTGATCTTCACAACATTCGTGTACATCAGGCAAGGTCAGTATTACCTCCTTTTAGCGAAGAGAAAAAATAATGCTTAGAACCGCATTATTTTGCTCCTTCAAGGGCAAAAGAACCAAAATAATTAGACAAGTCTTTGAAAACTTTAGCCTTTATTGAAAACTTTAATATTTATAGTTGAAAAGACTCACAGACTTTGGCTCAGGAAATTTAACAAACAATCAGGAGATACAGGCCCTAGGTATAAAGCATAAATGCTCCATAAATTATACAACTACAACATGTTAATGGTGGTGGTTGTTTTCTTTTAGACACCATTTCTGAGCCCAGAGATGTAAATGCCATTTCAGTCTTAACTACAGCACAGTCTGTGAAACATCCCAGACCCTGCTGAGTGAGGAGTCAAGACCTGCTGGAGTGTCCCCTTCCTCCATCGATTCCTGTTGCCGGCAGAGCCAGGGCTGAAGAGAGGAAATTGCAACCCTCCTGTTTTACGACCTTGATGCTGTGGCTGAAGGGTTTAAGACAGCCAGCCTGACTAACCAGGGAGGCTGGACACCTTGGGAAGCCTTCTCTTCATGTATTGTTTGCTCCTAACATGTCGCAGGCCCCGTGGGAGTGATGAAAACAAGTCCTTCCAGGCATCTAGCCCTGGCAGGCCTGCCAGCCTCCTCTAGATCTAAGTCAGGGAGGCTGGCAGTAGCAGGCTGGGTGAACTTGCAGTAGACTTTCCACAGAGCTTTATATGTTGTGTGTTATGCAAACTATGGTGGCTAAGAGAGGGACTCTGGAACCAGCCAAATCTGAGTTCATATCCAAGCTCTGCTGCTGGCTAGCTTTGTAATCCTGTGAATTACTTCACTTCTCTAACCTTGGTTTCCTCTTCTGTTAATATGAGCATAGTAATAATCCCTACTCTAAGAATCTCTAATTCTGTAAAGATTTAATGAGATAATGTGGGTATTTAGCATAGCACCTTGCACAAAACAATCATTGTTAACTATTGCTTTTTGGTTTTTTTTTTTTTTAAGAGATGGGGTCTCACTATTTTGTCCAGGTTGGTCTCCAACTCCTGGGCTCAAATGATCCTTTCATCTTGGCCTCCCAAGTAGCTGGAACTACAAGGCTGTGCCACTGTGCCCAGCTATCACTATTACTGTTGTAACAACTATTACCAAATATTATTACTTAGTATGCCGGTAAACTAATTAGAGCCAAAGGAAGTGAAAGATCTAAGTAACTTTGGGTCCAGGATCTGTGGTCAGTAGACCAGAGTGCTCACTGTTCTTCCCTATTTAGAGTGGCTGGGAGAGATGAGAGGAAGGAGGTTCAGTAAGCACCCCTGATATGTGGGAGATTTACTTCCACTGTTTATGCAATCCTCACCCCCACTGTCATACTACTACCTTTATGTTATAGATGATCCACGTGAGGTTCAGGCAGAGCCCAAGGTCATAGTGCCAGTCACCCAGCTCCATCTAAAATGCCACAAGGCTTTGCCCAGGTCCAAGAAAGAGGTCATGAATCTGGAAGTCTGGAAAGTGAATTCTAACTACTATTTTGTCCCAAACTAGCTGGTGCCCTTGGACAAGCATCTTGCTTCTGGGGGCCCAAGATGCCACATCTATAAAACGAGACGTGGCCTTGATGACCCATTAAGACCCACCATGTCTGCATTCTCAGAGTGTCTGATCCAGGGAAGTCATTACAGGCTTACTGCACTGGGAGACAGCTCTCCCCACCCTGAGGACCTCTCACCCATGGAGCACTGGAGCTCCATCTATACAATTGGTTTTCCTTCCATTCATCTTTCCTGTCCCCTCCTACCCTAGACACACAGTCCCACCAGCCATCCCCCTGTGCATATCCCTCTGCTCTAAGCCATACAATCGACAACATTTAAGTGGACACTACTGCATTTGATAGTGTCCCAGAGTAACATTAAATAATGTTGTTACTTATTTCCTTTGAGATTGAGTTATTAACAGTTCTTGTCCTGAAAGCATAAGGAATGCCCAGTCTTTAAATGTTCTGAGGCCCAAAAAGGCATAACCTGATGTTTGGCCTAGAGAAACCTGTGGTCCTTTCCCTCTGCCCTCCCCATCCCCATCCCCATCCCCATCTCTATTTCCATCTGCCTGGCTATATAAAGAGCCAGGAGACTCTAGGACCACACTCACCCTAATGTCCTCATAGATGGACAGCTATAGCCTCTGGGTTGCTCCATGAAACTCTGAACAAATTCAAAACCTGGGGTCCCTGCTTCGCTGGGAGGAGCAAAGGGTCAGGAACACTAGGGAGACTCACACACAACTATTAACAGTTTATCATCTGAGACCACTCTACCAGCATCCCAGACATTGATGTGGGAAATAGAGCTGGGAGGTGTTAACTGTCCTAATGCCAAGAGTAACCCTTGGGGAAGGGAGAGAGAAAGGAGGCATTCACCCCAAGAATGTGTTCTTAGGGAGGCAGATGTGACATTTTAAGCTGACAGAGGGATGATGAATGATGTGGAAGCTGAAGGCATGACGCTGCTGAAGTGGCACAGTTCTGATTCATAGCCTGTGTGACCTCAGGAGAGTTATTCAACCTCTGTTTCCTGATCTTTAAAATGGGTCTCATCACTGGTCACATAGGGTCTTTTTAAGAATTAAATGAAATAGCGCAAAGATTTTTTCACTTAATAAGCACTCATTAGATTATAACTACTATTTTGGGGAACTGGTGGGTGAGTCCTGCCACAACGCCTACATTTTTTTGTTTGATAAATTCGGATTATCTTATACCAAGTTTTCTTAAATAAATCTTGAGACTATCAGAAGAAAATGTGCTTTCTTTAAAATAGGCAAGACAGGCATAATGGAGAGGAACTATATAAAATATATAGTAACTATATAAAATAAATAGGTGTCATGGAGTCCCACAGGTCCCCAAAGGCTAGTGGCTGGTCCTTCTCCTCAGCACTCCCCTCTGTCAGGGGAGCAGGACCTGCGGGCAGGGACCCTGAGGTGACATGGGCTAAAGTTCTGGGTTGGGGGAGTGGGGTGCAAAGACAAATGCTCCTGTACAGACAGCATCCTCTCTACAGCACCTTTCTGGCTAAAGAGCAAAAGTCACTGTGACCTTGCAGTGGGGGCTCTGCACCTCTTATTCACAGTGTCCCCTGACTCCCCTTCCTTGCTGCTGTTGCTGAAAGGCTCACTGGCCTGGAGAGAGCTGAGAGCCAGCCTGTCACTTCTCAAGAGGGACAAGAAGCAGAGGCAGCCACAGCTGGTCATCATCCCTTAGCTGCCCTATCCCAACTTTGATAGTCCTTGAAGATTTTGAAGTATATTTAGGAGTGGCAAGGTGAAGAGCATGTAGCAAAGTGGGCAGTTGGGTGACAGTTGTTGGTCATCACTGTTCTACAGCTCAGCATGCAGCTTGCTCTGGGATGGTTCTCACCCAGAAAATGGCAACCATCAGGAAAACAGACCAAAAATGTGATATAATACTATGGGGAAGATGGGAACAGGCAAGACCAGGAGGAAGTGAGAACTGATTCTTTCCCACAAGGGACAAGAAATTAACAGGTAGAACTTTCATGAATGAAAGAAACAATGTATCAATGAATTAATGAATTGCAATTATTCCAGCTGGTTCTTCAGTGGATTGATGCCAGAGGCATGTTAGGAAAAGAGCAAAAGGAAGCCAGTATGGAGGCTCTAGGGACCTATATGGGCTTGTCTAAGACCCACTTCAGCCTCAGAACAGGAGCCATAGTGTTTGAACATATGAAAAGTCCCACAGTGAGAAAAACCTCCAAATACAAAGTCATGTTGAGCCATTAGGCTTCAGGACAATATATGCCAGAATTACTTCCTGCACTGCCCTGTGTTCAACAAATACAAAAACGTGTTTGTTCTATGAGGCTGGCTCATTAAAGTGACATGAGCTAATCTTACCACATCTAGAGATGTCTGAAATAAAACAAAAACCATAGTTGGCGCCGAACCAACTCTAAACACTCAGAATGTTTAATCCCAAGATTTTCACCCACTGGTGGGCAGCAGGGCATTTAGCAGAACCCCCTCCTTGTGACTGAACTTGTCGCCCTCCCTCATCTTCCCCCTCCAGCCTCATGAGCTGAAAGCTTTGCAAGCATTTTTGACTCCTTTCTTTCCATCCTTCCAATCCTAACAGTCATTATGTCCTGCCATTTCTTCTTTTGAGAGAACACCTCCATATACTGTCAGCATGTTGGTGTCCTATCAATCTTCCTAAACACAGATTTTTCAGGTCATACCCTTATGTCATGCCAGTGGCACCTCATTGCTACCAAGTCTTGTCTTCCTTAATTGCATTGAGTTTGCCATCATTTGAATCTTGTATTAGTCAGGGTTCTCTAGAAAGAACCAATAGGATGGAGAGAGGGGAGGGAGGTGAGGAGGAGAGAGGGAAAGAGAGATGAAAGGGGACATATTAGGGGAATTGGTTCACAAGATTATGGAGATCAAGAGGTTCCGCAACAGGCTGTCTGCAAGCTGGAGACTCTGGGAGGCTAGTAGTGTGGCTCAGACCAACTCAGAACCAGGGAAGCTGATAGTGTAACTCTCAGTCCAAGGCTGAGGCTTGAGAACCTGAGGGGTCACTGGTGTAAGTCCTACCGCCCCAAGACTAGAGAGCCTGGAGTTCTGATGTCCAAGGGCAGGAGAATAAGAGTATTCCAGCTTCAGGAAGAGAAAAAATTCGCCTTTCCTCTGCCTTTTTGTTCTATTGATGTCCCCCGCCAATTAGACAGCACCTGCCCACATTGAAGATGGCTCTTCTTTCCCACTCTGTCCACCAACTCACACACCAGTCTACTCTGGCAACACCCTCACAAACACACCCAGAAATCATGCTTACCATGTTAATCCATTGACACCTCCATTCACAGATCTGTTCCATCATCAAAGTTTTGAATCCTGAAGCCCTCTATCATTCTCTGGCAGAGCCCTGCCCAATCTTCATAGCTGCTCAGGGGCCACCTGTATTGTGAAGCCTTCCCTGACTCTGCAGAACAAATGTTCTATGTTACTTTACTCCTTCCTTTTATGTAACACTCATCACATTTTATCTTTTAAGTGGTACTTATAAAGTTAATTATTAGCTATTTATCCATCTCAACCAACCCCCTTGCTGCCAGCTCCCTGCATAAAACCTCACAATAGTGAACACTGGATAAATATTGTTAAATTTATCCTAACCATTCCCAACATGTTTACACTTGCCTGTAGTCCGTTACTCATGCTTACCCCAACCAGCCCACAATCCTTTTTATGATCCCCTCCATTTTTTAAATCCTACCCTCCCATCAAGGCTCACCTGTGTTTCTAAACTCCTGCGCAGGAACCTGAAGTACAAAGTCCTACCATATTAATTTCATCTCCTGCTTCAACAAGATGGCTCTAGACTGGTAGATTATGAAATCTAACTTCATAGTGAATCTGATTGCAGCAAAGCATTTGACAAGCATTTCAAGATAGCCTCACGGACAAGCATAGAGAAACATGGGCTGAATATTAGTGTGATTAGGATAATTAATAGCTAATTGAATTACCATGTCCAAAGGGTATAGGCCTCAGTCCTGTACTTATTCAACAAATATTTATGAAGTTTCATTTTTATTAAGGGCTTAAATAAAGGCATGCTTAATACATAAGTGATGAATATCAAATAACAGCTGCCCAAATAAAGGGAAGAAGGGTGAAGGACTTTACATATGATTTATCAGCAACAGGTTTGAAAAATATGTAGGAGGTTTGATTGACACTAAAATCAATATGTAATAATAGTGTGATAGAAGAAGGAAGAAAAGAACGGAGAAAGGGAGGGAAAGAGGAAAAAAATAAATGATTTCAGATGGCTTAAATGGAAGTTGAACAGTGCCACCCAAAGCTTCATGGCACACTAGGGAGGTTAATGAGTAATACTTTAACAAACGGCTCAGTGGTCGAATAATTCGGGAAAAATTAGATGAAGTAAAGGTAAACAGGACTACTCAGATCCTTTAGTACTCTAACACAGATTCTGAAATCTCCAAGAGGGATATTAGTCTGCAGGATTTCCCAAACATATTTGACTGTGAAACTAAGTGACCACCTACCCTTGACCTCCAGAGCATGTCACAGGGGCTTGGATGAATGGAACACACTTTGGGAAGCATCAATTTAAGGCAAAAGATTTCAGTTCCCTGGGTTGACTGGAGCCTGTCTAGAGTGTTGCATGAAGCTGCAGGCACCTCAAAGGAAGAGGAACAGAAATCAGTTGAACTGGATTAGGAAGAGCCGTCACGTCGGCAAAAGGATTCAAAACCAAAATATCTGAGGAATGCTAGAGAAATTGACTTGTTTTGCCTAGAGAAGAACTGACTTGGCAGGAGAGGGGGTGGTCACCGAAGGCTGGGGGCTCGATCATTATACTTAAATATGTGAAGATCTATCATATGAGAAGGAATTAGGCTTGTTCATGTGTAACCTCAAAGGAAAAATCTAAGACCTAGAGTTGGAATTCTCAGTGAGTCATATTTTAGCTCGATCTAACATGGTTTATTTTATACATACTCCTTTTGACTAAAATTCTGGTGCAATACTTACTGCTGAGCAGAGTATTATACTGTAAAGTTTCCAATTCCCTTGCCTTTCTTTTTTCTTTGTCCAGCAACAGAAATTGAGTCACAAGGGATCAAACAGGGCACTCAAATCCTATCTGAGGTAGTTTGAAAAAAGAAAGGTGAGTCCATGGGTGGGTCTCAGCCAAGACCTTGAGGGAAAACTGAGAATCAAGATGGGAAGAGAAAATAGCAACCCCAAGTCCAAAGGGCAGAGAACAGCTAAGGCCAAGGGTCAGGCCAAGACAGCAAAGCACTGACAGGGGTACAGGTCAAGAGCCTGGCCCAGATGATTGCTGTGAACAGCAACTCCTCTGCAGGGAGCTCTGATATGACATGTCAGGCTAGCAGGGTTCACAGAGGGCCACGCCAGGCAGCGAAAGGGTCTTTCTTAGCTACCCCAGGAATATCATTTGCCATAGACAAGAAGCAGTTAAGTGTCACTCATACAAAACACCAATATTTGCATCACTTCCATGAATCTCCTTCAATTAACCTTTTAGGACTAGTATTTTAAGACTCTTCCTCTTACACTGAATTTCTTCAGAATTCATATTCATTGGTCCAAGCTCCTCATTTGACAAATGAGGAGGCAGAGGTCCAGGGAGGGGAAATGATTTGTCCCGGTGACAGAACTTGATAGACAATGGAAGGAAATGGCTTGAACCAAGACCTTCTGGATTGCCCATCTCATATCTGTCCCTTTGTGCTCATAATGATGCCCAATAAAATGACCAGTTCCCAGTCTGTGCCCCATACGTGTTGGTTGAAGTAAATTAGGGGGACAAGAGTGTATCAAGGAATAGTTTGACTTCTCTATTTAAATGGCAAAAATGGAAGACTCAGGAACAAATGCTGTTTCTGCTCTGGATGTAGGCTGATGTCTTTATTTGGCACTGGGGAGTGAGGCATATCTTTTCCACAGAGTGCTGGCATGAGCTGTAAGGGTCACCCCAAGGAAGGGCCTGTGAGCCCAGACACACCACACTGAGGTGACGCTGGAGAAGTGTTCTGGGGAGTCTTTTCTCCATGGCTGCCTATAAATAAAGCATAATTTTCAGTTGAAATACGGGCTATGGGTTTCTTCTTTCCTGGCATTTGGGAATTCCCTGAGGCCCCCAGAGTTGTGCCGCCAGAAAAGGCCATTAACTCCCACAAACTCAGGGATAAGTTCTGCTTCCCAGCCAAGGCTCATAAAATTTCAAACAGAAACCCTTCTGAACCCAGGAAGATCGGCCTCATTGACAAGAAACACATGGGCAAGGCCAACACATGGAATGCATTTTGCTCGGAACAGCTTCTTTTGATGATATTTCCAAGGGCTGAGACCACAGCTCTCGGCACCTTCATGGCAAGGGCTCAGCTCTTGTCTCTCTGGGTCTTGGCATCTTGTTAGGACACCTAGTCTTGGGGACTGCTGACTCTCAATGCCTTCATTGTGCCACAGCGTGGTCCCTGGCCCTTCAGGCACAAACACAAAGCACATTGTCACTATCTTAACCAGACCGTTTCCGCCTCCACATGGATTCAGAGCCACAAGTGTAGGCCCTCCTCGTGGGCGGGCAGCCTGATGTGGAATGTGCATCCTTGCTTGCACCAAGGACTGCTTCCCTGCTTGTTCCACCTCCCCAGTAAGCTCCAGGCCCACAGTGCGTGCCTTCTCCATGGGATGCTTACTGCACCCTGACAGGGCTCCCTACCTCATCTATTCCTGTAGCCCTGCCTCAGGTGCCATCACTACTCTCACGACCGAGTGCCCTACCCATAGATGGCCCATGGAACATGTTTGTCAGTCCCTTCATCCCCACCCTCAGGCATCCCCTAGGTCTTCCTTGCAACCTAGAATGCTTGGTCTCCTCCCTATCCTTTCTCTTCTACCTCATGTACTTTTCTAGGAAAGTTTCCTGAATTGACCTCTCCTATTTTTTTTTTTTTTTTTTTTTTTTTTTTGGTGGTGGTTGTTTATTTTGTTGTGGATTTTGAAGGAGGAAGAATACGTCTGTCATTGTTACACCCTCATTCTGTTTAAAACCCTTCCAGATGCTTTACTGGGGCTCTGTCAGCAGTGAGAGGATCCCCATATCTGCTTCCCAAATCCATGGGCCCAGATAATTGCTTTTCTCCTTTCATTTCCAGCCCTCCAGTCCTCCAGACACATCACGGTTACTTGCATGCAAGCGAATAAAACTTTAGGACATTTGACCACATTTATCTTCTAAAAATGTCTTCTCTTTCACTGCAGTTAATCATTGTGGATGGATGGATCAGTGGATGAATGGATGGATAGATGAATGGATGGATGATTTAAATAAATAGATACTTCTACCAGATACTTCCAGATGTTGTCTAGCCCTAACTTCCTACGTTGGATACGAGAACCATAAATACCAAAGAAAGTAGTTGGTACCTTTCTCTGGCCATGAGGCCAGTCAGTTTTTCTATGACAGGAAACTGCCCAGCCTCTAGGTTCAAATAATAATATCTTTTCTGTTCTGAGAAAAGCAATCAGAGGTCCTGGCCTTCTTCCTTGTCCTTGTCTGTGTCTGGCCACCACTCCCAGCAAAACCCAGGAGACCCTTCCTTAACTAATTCAGCTCTTCTCCCTGTCAATCACCAGCTGCTCCCAGACCTCCATCAATACCCACCCAAAGCCTCCAGTGCCTCGGTTTTACCCTTCTGTCTTTACATACAGCAGCAATCATTTTAATATTTTTCTGTTGGCATTTTCTTAAGAATGAGGAGGAGTTGGGGTGCAGAAGTTAAACTTCAGTCGTAAGCAGAGAAGAGCAGATAATTTTTTAAAAAAGAAAAAAAAAGCCACTGCCCAGAGGGCTTGCAGTGTAAATTAGACACACAGAGGAAGTGTAACAAGACAGGGCAGGCACCCATTGGGAAACAGGCGGCAGCCAGGGATAACTGTCTTTGTTCTGGTCAAGCCAGCCTGTCACCTGCCACCTTCAAGGGAGCTCAGGGGAGGCTCAAGGAAAAGATGAAAAGAGAGCACAGAAGTAGTAATGAATTACTTTAGATAATAAGTGGAAATGAAAAGCATGGCTGAGAGAGGCCCAGACACTTTACTTCTGGTTCCTTTCCTCCTTATATTCCTACAAGTGAGAAAGGAGAATACCAAAGAGTTTCCCCACCCCCACAAGACTAAGAGAAAAAGGCAGGCATGAGGACCCTGCAGGGATGTCCAGGATTTAACACTGGCTTTGCACTCTCTCTCACTCTCTCCCACTCTGTGTGTGTGTGTGTGTATGTGTGTGTGTGTGTGTGTGTATGTGTGTATTTACTGTTCCAATGTTAGTTTATTCTTCTAACATATGTTGCTGTGCTGAAGCTTTGTGAGTGGGTAACATCTTCCAGCCTCACCCCCACCATAACCCTGCAGTATTCTCTTTTTGTAAATTCCAGGGCTAGAGCCCAAAGGCATCTCAGTCCAACACATCTTGTCACATCAAAATAAAAGCAAAATTAAAGCCAAGACATCATGGAATGCCTCATAAAGCTCTCCCAACAGCCAGTCCATGCTCAAATCTCCCAATATAAAATTGCTGCTGCTAAGACAACTCTCTTGATATGCATGTTGCATATGAAGGTCAAAAAGGATAGATTTTAATTTTTTCGCTACAAGAAATTACATCAGTTCAAGGTGCAATATTGGAGGAGAGTGTCTTGAGAGAGATTTATAAAAGTTGGCAAAGTCTGTCCACTGTGGGACTCAATCCTGGGTTCATTGAGGACACAACAGGCCCTGCACTGAGGACCCACAATGCCCACCTCTCTCATGTGAATGCCACACATGAATGGCACCCCTCCCGCCTTGGATCAGCAATTGTGAAATAGAGAAGAAACGTGGGAGGCTGTGAGTGCCTGAGTCCTGGGCCATGGGCTCACCTGTCCACTGTACTTTCATCCTTGTCTTAGAGAGTCACCCATACCTGCACTTACTTAACGGTGATTACCTCAACTATGCAGCAGAACATGACAATATTATTTGGAATTGAGTTCTTTGTATTTCTGCCATTCTTCAGGGATTTTAAAACTTGTTTAAGATGCGTGTTTTAGAGAGAGTGAGCCAGAGAAAAAGAGAAGAGATTCACCAGGTTTGACAGTTCTGATGAAGGGGCAATTGAAATATCAGAGGCTGATTCTTCAGGAGCCATGGAAATAGCAGGACCCAGAGGGCAGCAAAAGCCGTTCTTGGAGAGAGGATCTCTCTGCTTTGTAGGAAGGTGACGGCCTTCAGCTCCTTCCAAGCTCCTCCTATGACATGGGAGATGGGAAGTGGCAAGACAAGGGCAAAGAAAGCAGCCTCCCTGGTGTGCCTAGGTCCAGGTTGCCAGCATCCAAAGCTGAGCCCAGGCTGGACACTAGACCCAAACCCTCCCTTCCTAAACTGTTTTGGGGAAAGGGAGGCAGAGGCACCTTAAGCCAATGGTTCACACCCCGGCATCTTCCACTGTGAGTAGGGAAAATTTGGGACAAGCCCTGATGTGTGTAGTGAAAGTTGTCTTTCTGGATTTGCAAGTAGATGAATAAGGTTGAGTTTTACAGAAAACATGTTTCCAAACACATTAGCCACAGGCCAAACATCTCTTCAGAGGAGCTTTATTTTTAGAAGAGCTTTAAAAGTATTTTCTTTATGGTACTTGAGACTAAATTCAGTCCCTGTGATGACTTGAAACCCCATTTACATAGACCTTCTGAGACTGGAGACTCATTTGACAAATTCTCACCACAGCAGCACTGTACACTTGATGAGCACCAGAGGAAATGCACGTGGAAACTGGGAGTGGAGACAGTGGGAAACCTCCGGCAGCTACACTAATCCAATTCCTGCTTTTAATGTCTGAAGGAGCCTGAAAGTTCAGAGAACCAAGTTCTTATTTGGCTTTGTCACAATCTTGGGCATGTCACAACTTTTCTAAATCTCAGTTTTCCTATTTATATAAGAAAGAATTGCAAAAGTCCATTTACTTCCTAACCCAGAAACCACAGACACACCTGAGACACATTTCATGGATCAGTAAGTCTGGGATTGTTTGAACATGAGTAAGGATGGAGTGAGGATTTAGCCCCATGCTGTGCCACCCTCTTCCCCATGATTAGGAGAGAAAGCATTCAATCAGGGACCCTTTGGAAGTCATATGACCTTCCTAAATATCCCTGGGTTCTCAGGGACTTCAAGTCAGGGTGCCATTATCAGGGCCAAATCTTTAAAACTCACCCAAATTGATATGCTGTTGGCTGTGGGACATCCAGAAGATGTGGTAACTACCTCAATGTCTTCCATGAAGACGTCTCACGTGATCTGAAAACTCAGTCATATTCCGAGGAAGTCCAGACCTTACTAACCTTCCACCTCAGACTGCAGCACATTAGGGCCATTCTTTTAAACAATTATTTGTGTGTCTTCTAAATCTATTATCTTCTTCTTCTTTTTTTTTTTTTTTTTTTTGAGACAGAGTCTTGCTCTGTCACCCAGGCTGGAGTGCAGTGATGCAGTCTCAGCTCACTGAAACCTCCGTCTCCCCAGTTCAAGCAATTCTCCTGCCTCAGCCCCCCGAGTAGCTAGAACTACAGGCGTACACCATCAGGCCTGGCTAATTTTTTGTATTTCAGTAGAGACGAGGTTTCACCATGTTGCCCAGGCTGATCTCGAACTCCTGAGCTCAGGCAATCCACCCACCTAGGCCTCCTAAAATGCTAGGATTACAGGCGTGAGCCACTGCGGCTGGCCTAAATCTATTATCTTCTTAATGAGCTTTGGGCCGCAGAGCCTGTAGGCTATACTTCAGTGTCCTTTTTGCCCTTCAGAGAACAGGAAGCCGATATTCCACATATGCATCAGCCAGGTTGGTGGGTTGGTTGGTTGGGCTGCAGGAAGCTTGGGGAGACCCCAGGTTACCTCTCCAGAAATTCCTAAAGGACTGTGTGAAGAGAAGGGGGAGAGAGCCATGAAGCTACATTTCAAAAGAGCCCAAGAAAGCAAGCTGTCCATCCCAATAGGCCAAAGATCTCAACCTCACACTCAACTCAGAAGGGTTAACAGCCAAAGCAATGTAAAAACGAGAGGACTTTTTCCCCTTCAGGAGTCTAGCAAAACTGCAGCAACAAAAAAATGCTTCTGTGTTCTAAGCAGTAAGTAGCAAGTTTGCTGCCACTGGGGGTATAAAGGCAGTGTCCCCAAGCAGGGTGTCAAAAACCACATGCCCCTGTCCCAGAATGATAGCCCCGGTTCTCAGGAGCCCATCTGTGCTTTTCCTCTCTGTTTTCCTCCCATACATATATCCATAAGTTAATCAGACTCCTCAGGTGCACTGGAGTCACCAGTCACCTCGGAGGGCCGAGCTGGCCCAGAGGGATGCTTTAAAACCTACTTTGCATATGGAAGAAAAAATTCTCTTCCACTCCCAGACTGGTGAGAAAATAATGAAAAGGAATAGAAACATTACCAACAATTTACAACACATTCCATTTAAAAAGAATCCTCAAGTGCAATAAACACTTCATTACACGTATATGACTTCATTATTTAAAAAGTTTTCCACCCAATTTGTCATCACAAGGTGACATCCCCCCACCCCTCTGCCCACAAATTCTTCAAGGTATCTCAGAACCTGTCAATAGTCCATGAGGATTCAGGAAATGCTGATGCATTTTAATACCAGCCAAAACAAGCACAATACGCATAAGCCCGCTATTCTCCTCCCCTGCCCACCCCCACTCTCTCTCTTTATGCCTCCTCCTCACATACACACAGGCGCACACGAGCACACACACACATACACACAATTCCAAATCGAATTCTTCACGATTTGGGATTTTTTCCAGAGCTGGGGTTTATCCATATTCCTGTTCCTCTAGAGCCTTCACTGTGGCCCATTCTGTTATCTTGATCAGGGAAGCAGCAGTCTTGACATCTCACCCTGTGGTTTTGTTAGAAACAGAAAAACAGCAGGAATTTCACAGGATTGGACCGGACTCTCAGCAGCACAAATCTGGGACGTGTTAGAGACGTGAAAACAGCTCCACGTTTGCATGGTGCCTTCCTTTCTCTGAGCTCAGGATGAGCAAGAGACTTTTCAGTGGGGGCCTCACTAGCAAGGCAGGGTCCCATCCAGCCCATCAGCCAGGCCTCTGCGCCCGACCGACTCCCCCTGACCACAGAAGGCCTCCCTGGCCTTCTGCAGTCAGGTTGGACCCCATCCCTTCAGCATTCCTGACTCCGCGGTTCCAGGCCAAATTCCCAGTTGATAATCCAGTCTCCATTTGTTTCCCCTCTCCACAAAATTTTAAATGAGAAATGTGTTGCTCTTCATTTCCTGTCTCACCCTCTCCACTGGTTTTTAAAGTCTGCCACTTCCCCCACCCCCCCAACCCCGGAAGCAGATGTCCTTCAGTGCCCCAACAGTGCCATGCCAAGTGGCTGCACGAACTCTAGTTGGTGCCCTGAGCTGACAACACAGGCAGGGAGCTTCGGGATCTGTCTGATTCAGAATGGTCTAGCTGGCCAAGATGTAATCTGCTGGATCCAGGCTCATGTTGAGCTCTCCACTGCAGGCTCCTTGTGCAACTGGCCCTGCTCCCCAGTCCACCCTGTACATATTTCCTCCCTTCCCTTAGGAATCACATCTTCGGGCCTCTGACGTTCTGTGCTAAGGAAGAGACAGGCATCATTCCCCTGTTCCCAAATTTGCTAATCGCAAGCAGCAGGGGAGATGGAGATGTTACGCCCCTCTTTGTGGGAGATGAATGCACACACACATAGCTCAGTTCTCCACCCTTGGAAGGCAGGGTTCTTTATTGGCTTGAATTCCCAAAGGAAGTGGCTATTTCTAAACCAGCCTAGGGGATATGAAGATAGCCAACCATTCTTGTTGTCCAAAAGTAGAGCAAGATTATCCAGAAGGTGAGAGGCCGTCTGTGGTTGGTTTGAATACGTTCTTTAAGTTTTACATTGAAGCTGATTCTTTTCCCATACAATTTCCATAATGTTCCTCTTCTTTATTTTTCCACAAAAAACTGTCCTCCTACACTCTACTCTGTGGGTCTCTCAAGGCTTATTAAAATATCTTGAGAGTAAAAAACACAGAACTCTCCCCAAGCACATTATTAGTGCCCAATAACCTGAAACCTGAAACAAAACTGTGAAGTTCAGATTTTCTCCAATGCTCACCCCACCCCTCATCCCCATACTTCGCCTATCTCCCCATCTCGGGGTCCTCCTGAGCCGTCCTGGCAGCCTTGGGCAAGCCACAGTGGCACTACCCACACCTTCCCTTTCTGAGCTATCCCTTACGCTCTAAGTTCATCTCTTACACTAATGCTTAATCTCGCAAACTAGTTCAAATGCATGTGTTAATGGGTGATAATGGGAAATAATAAGAACAATTTATATGTGGATAGAATGAAATACTTTTCAAAGCCTCTTCAAGGCTTTTACATTAATCATTTTATTTAATAATGTTATTACATTGACCCATCAGTCAGACAGGTATTTAGGCTAAAATTTTCTTCTCCATTTTGTGGGTGAGGAAAATGAATTTCTTAGAGTGTATTTGTATGGCGCAAAATCATACAGCAAGAAGGGTGGAGAGCTGAGATTAGACCCTAGCTTTTCTGGAACCTGGTTCCCATACTGTGGATGGACGGTTACTCTTTGCAGCCTGTGTCTTCTTTTGAAAGAGAATAGCTGGAATAGGCAATGCCTTAATTGTCTCACAAAGTAGAGACACGCTAGAACCATTTGGGATACTTGTTCATAGTGCACATTCATGGGAACCACCCCAGACCTACTGAATCTGAATCTCTGAGAGTGGCCTCCACCCAGAAACCTGCAAATTAACATATTTCTAGGATGACTCCTATGCACACTTATGTCTGAGAACCTTTTCCTTAAGTCAAAGAACTAGATTTCTAATGGTGAAAGTTTAGACTTCAAAGAAAGAAATACTAAAAAACTATGTGAGAAACAAACTGTCGTGTTTAATGCCATTCATACTTTCTGAGTGCCCACCTACTATGTATCTGCTCCTTCACCCTGGAGCTGCCAGGCTCTGCCTAAGTATTGTTTCCACAACTCCTACCCCACTCCAAGTCTATTTCTATCCAACCAGGAGCACCCACCTGCAATTTGGAGGAGGGGTCTTGCCCTACGCTTCTTTCTCTTTTCTGTCCTCAGTCTCCATGTTCTGTTTTGCTGGATGCTGTTAAACATAAACCCCAAAAGGAGAAGAAAGTATAAAAGGGTATGAAGAAAACACATTCTTTTTCCTTTCAGAACATTTTTCTCTCACCATCTTGCAAGAATAATATATTATTACCATGGACCAAATCCCCACTGTGGCTATGTCCAGGTACAATTCAAAAACATCTGGATAACTGATTGACTTTTTCTCTTTTCATTTGAATGTACACCATTGTGTACAACCGGTCTGTGAGTTCCCCCATGGGAAATGCCGAGGATGTGAATCCATCCCTCGGCTCTTTAACTAAAGTTGCAAAAACATCAGAAGGGTCTCACCCTTGCAAACACTGAGAGCTTTTCCTGGAAATAGTTCTGCCTTTTGTGTTAACAGATGTCACGGGGCAGTTGGGTCGGAGAGTGTTGTTTTAAAATTCTCAATCTGCCTTGCAAGAGGTTTTTCGTTAGATGGTTCCTGGATAGCACCACACCCTTTTCTCTTTTCAACTTGCACATCACTTCATGTAGCTTTTCTCCTCTAATTCACCTTGAATGTTTGTCATGTGGACCAGAAATCACCCAAAGGCCAGCTCCTCAGATCTGCGATGGCCATGACATGCCATCTGCTGATTTCCCTGGATTGGGCCACGTTTGCCTCCTGAAACTGAGAGTAAGCAGCTTTGTAATTATGCAATATTAGGCACATCTGCCTGACTTCAAACATCTGGCTGAAAAGTGGAGAATGCTTTGAAAATATTAAGATGCTTAGCATCATGGTGACAAAGTTCTACACACTGGACAGAATTTTTTTTAATCAGACCCTTTTTAGGTTGTTGGTTTCAACGCCTCTTTGCATGTTGTTTTGTTGACATTAAGCAGCCTTTCAGGCATGAATTCTTCTGTCCCAAGGAAAGGAAGCAAGCTTCTAGAAGGGAAGCACTGTGTGCCTTCACCCAGATAGGGGACCGAGTCAGCAAGGAGAACTAAGAGAAAAAGAACGCTTCACAGATGTAGCAGAGTGAAAAGACTGAATGCACAGGAGAGTAGAGCCAGAGATTGTGGAATCCTGAAGATAAGCAAGTCTGTGTTTGGCGATGGCCTAGCAATCAGTCCCAAGATTTGGCCAACAACAGCTAACGCGAAACAGAGATAAGTCAGTGGAGCTGACTCCATCAAGAAACTGAGCTGGGAGAGTGCAGGGATGGGTCCGAGTGGATGCCAACATCCCTGAGATGATCACAGCATCTCGGCATGTGCTCAAATCATGGAGAACAGCCACAGATTGTCCACATTGGAGTCACATGATAAATGCAGCGAGGCAGTAAATGGTGTAAGTATGAAAGAGTTGGCTTCCAAAGTGGGCTGTGCTCAGAAGCAGAGTAGATACAAGGATTATCCCAGCCCAGCTCATCATTTGGGCATGCACAGGGAGAGAAGAGGTGCCTCCAGGACTTCCTCACCCTCCTTCACATTACTCCCAGCCAATCCCACTCCCTCATCCCATTGCCTGAGAGGTTCTGGCAAGGCTGTCAATCCTTGTCCCTGTGCTACAGGATCAGTCTCTGTGTGCTGGCTGCAGAAACATTCCAGGGCCTATAGCTCTGTTTAATCAGCATACAGCAGAAGGTGAGAGGGGACAGAAGTGAGAGTCCACCCAAGGAAAGCACCGCAGGAGGAAAGAGAGGCCCCCATGGGAATGGACTCTGAACCTCTGACATCTTGGAGCCAAAGTTAAGTAGCAGTGGAGGAATCAGCTCAAAGAGAGAAATGGTGCTCAGGCAAAAAGAAACCCTTGGATTCACACTGCCCTTGGAAATGGGTCTCCAAAAGCCAAGGCTGAGTGTAACATGACTGATACCCGACAAGCTGGTATCATGGGGAGTGGCAGAAAGAGCACTGGGCTGAGAGTCTGGAAACTGAATTCTTGACCTGACCATCACAAATTTCTTGTGTGACCCTAGGCAAATCAGCCAATGTCTTTGGGGCTTAGTTTCCTCATCAGTAAGAGAAAGGGGTTAGGTGGGCAATCTCTATGGCTTCCTTCAGCTCTGACTTCCAATCCCATCTGGTTCAGGGAGGAGGGAGGTGAGGGAAGTGCAGAGGCACTAGATGATGGGGTATTGCTGCCAAAATCACCCTTTCCCCCTCCCCTGTCCTGCTCTCTCATTGACATGCCCTTTATTATCTTGTTGTTGTTGATGTAGTGTTTTTTCCCACAGAACTCTGTGGGATAGGACAGCAGAGCACAGACAGGGCAGATAGGAAAGGAGGGTGTGAGCGGGAAAGGGGAGAAAGGGCCTCTCCAGCATTTCCCAAGCCCCTGCTCTCCAGGCCGCAGGCTGAGCAAGTGTGCCTTCCAGACTGGGAATCTGAGAAGGCCAAGAACCCTCAGCTTTCCCCTCCCCCAAACTCTGCACCCTTTCACCAATGCTCCCCGTTCCACACCAAGGCACCGATCATTGTTCTCTGCCACATCCTGCTCTCCCCAGACTTCTTTGGGACTGTGGCTCCTTCCTATAAGGCCAAGAAGTGAAGTTGGTAGGATCTGTAAAACACAGTATACTTGTGATATTAGAGACTTTTTGCTAAAGAATGAAATATCTCAAATCAGTGATTTATAGTAACAACTATTTTATTTGCTTTAATTCTGAGTCACTTAGGTGGTTCTGGTCTGGGATGACTTGGCTGTGGCTACATGGTCTAGTATAGAGCTGTCCAATAGAAATATGATACAGACCATGTATGTATTCAAAATTTTCAAGTACCCACATTTTTAAAAATTAAAAGAAACTAGTAAAGTTAATTTTAATAATATTCTAACATTTAACCTGATGTACTCAAAATATTATTTCAATATATAATTAACAGAAAAATTATAAATGAAATATTTGGCATTTGTTTTATCATACAAATTTTCAAAATCCAGTGTGCATTTTATACAATACAGACAGCACATCCGCATGTCGACTACCCACGTTTTAAATGTTTAGTAGCCACCATATTGTGACCTCACGTCTGAGGTCTCTCAGTTGGGATGACTGGCATGGCTGGGATGGCTGAAGCTTCTTGTCATATAGCCTCTAATCCTGCAGGTTTGTTCTCCCATCAATCTTTTATCAGTGCAGGTTTGTTCACATGAAGGGAGAAGAACTCCCAGCAGCAAGATAGTCCCAACGCAGAAGTGCTTTTTAAATGTTTCATGTTTGCTAAAGCTCCATTGGCCAAAGCAAGTCACATGACCAAGCCCCAGCATCTGTGTGAGAGGGGTCTCCCTGAGGCTGTGGTTACCTGGAGGTAACAAAGAGAAGGTCATTTCTCCCAGTGCCCCAGGCCCGGGGGAAACACCCACCATCACCAATGCCGTCCTCTCTCCATCATAGAAAAGTTCAAAACAGAGAAAAGCACAAAAAAGGAAAATTGAAATAATCTGTTAACTCCATCTCCCAGAGATAACTACTGTCAACTTTTGGTTATCTTTCCACTATTTTTTCTGTGTCTGCATACATAGGCATTTTACAAATTTGCAATCAAATTCTACAATACTCATTATTTGCATTTAACAACGTATCCTAACACGTCTCCATGTTATTAAAAATTCTTCTCAGACATGAATTTTAAGTTGATAACATTCTATTGTATAAATGTACCACAGTTTATTTAAATAATCCCTTATTGCTGAATGGCTCTTTCTCATTTTTCACACTTCTAAATAATAAGGAAATGAACAATACTAGTTCACATATTTTCCATTCATTCATGCCTATTTGTGAAGAATAGATTTCTAGAAATAGAATTTCTAGGTCAAAAATATTGCATACTTCATGGTGTCTGATTTACTTTTTCATTCAACAAATAGTTACTAATCATCTATAATGTCCAGACACTCTTAAAGGTGCTAGGGATGCAGAAGTAAACAAAAAAAATCCCACCCTCATGGAGGAGCTTACATTCAGCTCCCTTCAGTAAAGGGAGGCTGCAATAAGCAAAGAAGTAATATATTATCTAGTGGGTTTGAGACTAATAAATGCTATGGGGCAAAACAGATAGGGAATGGGGGTGGGGAGGACCAAGTAGGGGGAGAACTACAGTGTAACTAAGGTAGCCAGGATAGGCTCACTCACATGACATTTGCTTAAAATATATTGTTCAGTTTCTTTCTTCAGGGTATGTAACATTAGGGAAGGGCAGGACCAGTGGGGCAAAGCACTCAAAATGTGACCAAAAAGGCCAGAGTCCAACACATCTCTGTCATTCTGCCATGAGTCATACTATTTGCCTTCACCTGTACATGCCTGTAAAGTTTTAGCTAGACCTCAGGCTGCCAAGCCGAGGGTCCATGGGGGAGAGCTCCCATATTGCTAGCCCCAGAGGTACACACACTGTGGTACCCATGTAACTCCTGATGACAAACACAGTGAGGGAGATGTTGTGGGGGCAGTAGGGTCTTTGAGAATTTTTCCCATAGGCCAACTCTCAGTCTCCTAGGAGTAGACTCAGCTCTTTAGTCAAATGTTCCTTCTGATTGGCCAGAAATCCCCCAGCAGCTGCAATCAGTTCCTTTTCTTTTTCAGAAAGCTCAGGCCACAAATACAGAACCTCTTCTACAATCATATCAAAGTGTTTGGAAACACTGAACATTGAGTATATGTTTGTCAAATAAGTGCATGAAGATTAAATAAATGAGCAAATTATTTGACTTAATTAAAGACAAACTTTTATTTAAGGAAGATGAAGAAGGCTTCACTATTCACACAGCAAGCCCTTGACATCCTGGAGACAGAGTGAGAGACAGTCGATAGTGGTCCCGTGAAAAGAGACCTGAGGTCTAGCTGTAACTCTCTCACGAACTAGGTTTGTGTCCTTGAATGCAACATTAATCTCTGAAATTGTCACCTTTTTTCTGGACATATAAAAAAGAACAGTGTACATCTCTACCTCTGAGGGCTGGGTCATAGAAGACACCTAGAAAAATCTCCCAGAAACCATTCTTTGCGGCTACACACAAAAGCATTCATATGATATGCCTATTCTGTGTCATGCATTGTTCTAGGTGTTGAGGAAAACTGTTCTGGGTGTTGGAGACAAATAAGAAAAATCAGTCCAAATCTACATTCTACAGGGGGAAGTAAATATTAAGTGCATGAATACAACCAGCTATCAGTACGTACTATAAAGAAAAATTAGGAAAATGGTGATGATGTCATAGAAAATAACTGAGTTTTCCTTTAAGTTGGGTGATCAGGAAAGCCTTTTCTGAGGAAGTGACACTTAAGATCTAAGGCCAAGCAGGAGCCAGGCATGCAACAATCAGAGGCAAGGGGAGTAACACCCGTCTTGAGACAGGAATGATATTGGCTTGGCATGTTCAAGAAAGAGAGAGGATGGCCAGAGTAGCTGGCGTGGTGGGGAATGTAAGATTGGTGTGAGATGAGGGGCAAATAAGGAAGTCACGTAGGAGTTCTGATTTTAACCTAAAAGCCATTGAAGGGTCAAGCCATTGAAGAGCTTTGGGTAAGAAATTGCATTTTTATTTGATTTGTGTATGGAAAATGGAGAAGGGATTGAAGGGAAGAGTAAAAATAGAAGAATCAGAGAACAGGCTACTACTGCTCTTCTATAATGATCTTGGTAAGAGAGAGAAGAAGGATTAGAGCAGGAGGGGTAGAGAAGAAAGAAGTGCACTGATTTTGTTGTATTTTTCAATAGGATTTCTCATGGATGAGAATTTGGCTTAGGCTAGTGGGTAGGTAGTGGGGTGATTTACAGAAATAGAGAAAACTATGGGAGTAGCTGACTTGGAGGTAAACCTCAAAAGATTTGTTTTGGTCTTGTCAACTTGGAGAAGCATACTAGCTATCCAAGGGAGATGTTGAGTAGACAGTTGGAAATTAGTCCATAATTTCAGGTAGAGGTCAGGTTTGCAAGGCACCATTCTAAGATGGTAGGACATGGCTGTGATTCAGTGTAATCACTTATTAACTCCTCTCGTTAAGTTGTCATTAAAAAAGAATAAGTGGTTATAAGAACAGTAAGGAACACTAACTCAGCTTCATAAAACCAGAATAATCTGCCACTTTCTGAGCAAGTTGCTTCCCCCTCTCTGATCTGCATTTTGTCTGTGAAATGGAGTTTGTGGTATTATCTACCAAGAAACATTGCCCTGAAGCTCAAAGGAGCCAAAATTTGCAAAAGTGCCTACATAGGGAGCTATCTAATGCAATGTAGGCCTTTTTCTTTTTTTCTTTTCTTTTCTTTTTTTTTTATAAACGAAGCCTTGCCCTGTTGCCCAAGCTGAAGTGCAGTGGTGCAGTCTCGGCTCACTGCAACCTCCATCTACCGGGTTCAAGCGACTCTGCTGCCTCAAGGTCTTGAGTAACTGGACTACAGGTGCACGCCACCACACCCGGCTAATTTTTGTATTTTTAGTAGAGACACGGTTTCACTATGTTGGCCAGGCTGGTCTCAAGCTCCTGACCTCATGATCTGCCCAACTTGGCCTCCCAAAGTGCTGGGATTACAGGTGTGAGCCACCAGGCCCGGCTGGCCTTTTTCAATAAATGGCCATGTATTCAATCTGAAAGGCCTTCTAGAAAATGCAAAGAATAATGTGGGGACCACCCTCAGCAGGAGTCTTCTCCATGCCTCATGGACCTTTCCTTGGCAACTTCGGTAAAGGCGAAATCACAGTGCAGAGCCTCATTTGAATCTGAAACCAGCTGCTTTGTGGGGAAAAATGGTGATAAATTTCTTGACAGCCATGCTATTTGTCAGCCCATAACATATTTTTCACAGATAAACTTGAGCCAAGTAACCAACAGTAGAACTGCATTCTACAAATATTTATTATTGCTTCTGGATGAATTTTTTGTTGTTGTTTTTTTTAATTTTGCTTTTTTTTTTTTTTTTTTAAAGAAAGCATCTGCAAGGAGCCTATTTTGGAGGTTGGCTTGAGTTGTTTTCATGGCTGAGATCCAGGGAGGTTCATAGTAAGGGTTGCTCAAGCTGTAGATAGTAGTTTTGTGGGTTATTTGTTGCCACTTTTAAGTGCCTAAAAGACCTCTTATTCCCATATCTTCCTAATTCAAAAGGAAGCTGCAGGACTCCTGACCACTAATAGTGAATGCAGATCCTCCGAAATCAAAGGGTTGAAGAGGGAAGGGGGAAGGGCTATTACTTCATTCCATGGTCATCTGTTCCCTTCTCATGGGTGGCAATTCCAAACTGGACCTGCTCCAGGATCCTGGTGGGAAAATCTGTAGACGGACTACCACAGCAAACAGCACCCTTGGGGAATGTACTTGTGGTGTTTCTGTCATAAAGGGGCCATTTGCGCTCAAGAGGTTTCCACAGAGGACATCATCCCAGCATAGTGTGTCATGAAGAGGGCACAGGGCCTGCAGTGAGCCACCAGGGCCCCCACACAGATGTGGAAGCAGGGGCCAGCAGGGCTGGAGCAACCTGTAAACAGGAGACTGTGAAATGGCCAGCTCCAGTGGGCACTAAATTCTAGGTGGGTAAATTAAGCCTTCATATGTCACATGACTGGCTCTGCCTGGAAGTACAAACCCCCATTCTGAAGTTGTTGGGAACACTAAAATCTCCCTGGAGCTTCTGTCTGAATGAAGAGAGCTTCCCCTGGAGACTAAAAATAGTGCGTTAGGCTGGAAGGTGCATCTCATCATGGCAGCAAGTAGAGTAATGAGGAATAGGCAGAAATCCAGGAACGAAATCAAAGCCGAGGGGAGTTGAGTCTCAGAGATATGTACTCACCTGTGTGCTCCATTAAATCATAAATCCAGAGAGCAGATTGCATCTGGATTGTTGCCTCTAGGGAACTGAAGCTCAATACATATTTGTTGAATGACTGAATGAAGTTTCCTCAAAGAAGCTCAGTGTCAGATGACAGATCTCTCCCTTTCATTTTACCCAACTTCTTGACATTCCCTGAGGCCAAAGAAGCTCTTCCAGGGCAACGCACATTGCAGAAATGTAAGGTGAGGAATTCTGAGTGAGGAATTTCTTTTCCTTCCGGCATGTGATTGGGTCAGGACCAATCACCATTCACAGGACTGCACAGCAGTAAGACTGCACTTTTGACAGGATATTGGTGAAAGCAAGGCGAAATTGAGGAGGATCTGCTTTATCAAGATGAAGCTCAGATGACTCAGTCATATACATGTGTCAATCGTTATGAATGCATAATACCATTACCACAAAGGTCTTTACTAATAGATTATGGACACATGTCTTTGTAGTAAAACAAGCATGGGAACAAGATACCAAATTTAGAAAAATTATTATCTCTGGGGAGGAGGGGAATTGGAAGATGCACTCAGAAGTTTTCGATTGAACCTTAAATATTTTATCTTTTGTGCGAGCTGGTAGGTACACAGGAGTTTGTTGTATTATTATTTATACTTTTGGTTTACCTATAATATATCAAAATAAAATAGTTTAATACTACATTTAATGTCTATGGATAACCCAAAACAACAGACAACCCTGAGCATATCTGCTTGGATCTGGAACATGCCATTTTTTAACTGTTTTTTATCAAAGTTATACAAGCACATAGTCAACTAGATCAAAGTTTATGAAGTCAAATGGTAGTCCCCAGCCTCCCTGCCCCTGCATTTCTTTCTCCCCACAGCAACCCCTTGCATTTCCTCTTGCTGATTCTTTGGGTTCCTTGGGTATTTACTTCCTACCTCTTAAAATATTTGCTACATTTTTTTCCAGTTTTAGGAATTATCAACTAAGTTTTCACAGTAAAAGGTGAAGTTTGGCTCTTCCCTTGCCCCCATCCCCTGCCCACTCTGCCACATACATTCTTCCCATCCCTTCAACCTCTCAGTATACGTAGATCACAACTTTGATTAGAACAATATTTGGGATGATGACTATTATGCAACTCACAGCTGAGTTTTATGGTAAGCTCTAATTAATTCCTTCCCTGCAGAACTTTTTGCTTTCTCTAGATTTAATAATTATCTTTTCCCCCATTTTCTTCTTTTCCTAACTATGATTAATTCAACAAACTCAGTGCCAATTGTTTACATTTTCTCTCAACATATTCAGATACTCCAGGTAATCTGTCAACTATATCTTCTAGAAGACGCCTCTCCTGAAGTTTTCTCACCTGCTACTATCTGACTTTTTGTTTGTTTGTTTATTTTTTTCTCTGCCAGGTGCACAGCTCTCATCACAGGATCTCCCTTCACCATCATCCTGAGAATTCTCACTTCTCTCCTGTATTGGGTCTCTTACTTCCTGGATCCTTTGTCTTCCTCTTGTTTGATTTTCTATCTCACTTAATGGAACACATTCTGTGGTAGGTTCCTGAGAAAAGGTAAGGCAAGTTGAGACCTTCAATATCTGAGAATTGGTTTACTCTGCACTGACCCTTGATTGATAGTTTGGCTTGGTATAGATTTCCAGGTATAAGTTGCTTACATTGAAAAATTTTAAAGCATTACTCCATTTTTTCTCATTTCCAGTATTGCTATTGAGAAATCCAAAGCCTTTTTGCTTCTTGATCTTTTGTATATGAACAGTTTGGTTTTCTCTGAAAATGCATAGGATCTTCCTTTTATAACCCATATTGGTATACAAAACACCAAGTATTGCATGTGCCCCTCTGGGTTTTCCAGCCTCTCCCATAGTTAGGTTGGAGCCATGTTCTTGCAAGTGGCCTGGGAGCAGAAGTGACACGTCACCTCCAAGCTAAGGAAGCTAAAAGCCAGTGTGCTTCCTTCAACCCTATTTTCTCCTGCCACAGGTACTTCAAGGGACACATGATTCAAGTGGCATGTTTACAAGGTGAGGTGGGACCACCTGAAATACATTAGACCAAGGCCATCCAACTCGCAGCCCATGGGCCGCATGCAGCCCAGGACAGCCTTGAATGCGGCCCAACACAAATTTGTAAACTTTTATAAAACAGTATGAGACTTTTTTGCAATTTTTTTTTCTTTTTTTAGCTTATCAGCTATCATTAGTGCTACTGGATTTTATGTGTGGCCCAAGACTATTCTTCTTCTTCCAATGTGGCCCCGGAAAGCCAAAAGATTGGACACTTCTGCACTGTATTTTGCATAAATGAGAAACAAGCAGTTTCATTAAGCCACTGAGATTTTTGAGGGTTGTCTGCTTCAGGAGCTGGCATTAATAATCCTGACAAATACACCAATATTCTGGAACTTCACATGCATGTGCTTGGATGTGGATCTATTTTTAACCATTGTGCTAGACACTCAGTGGGCCCTGAAGACTCATAAACTTTAGTTCTGGAAAATTTTATTTCATTGATATTTTCCTCCCCTTTGTCTTCTCTGGCTTCTTTTTTGAACTCCTATTATTCAGTTACTGGACCTCCTGGATTATTCCTCTAATTTTATATCTTTTCACTGCTAATTTTCATTTATTTTTGCTATAGTTTCTGAAATATTTCTTCCATTTTATCTTTCAATCTTTCTACCAAAATTTTAACTTGCTATGTTCATGACTTTCAAGAGCTCTCTTTCTTACCATAAAAGTCCAAAGACCTTTTCCCACATTTGATATATTATTCCCATGCATGATTTTTTGCCTTTACTGTAGATACGTGCCTATAACCCATCACTGGTTTGCACGTTTTAAAATCTTATATGAATACTCTACTAATGTATCATTCTCTGGTTCACTTTATTTACTTATTCACATTGATAAATATGGTTCCAGTTGATCCATTTCACTGTTGTGTAGATTCTCATGATTATACCACAGTGTATTTGTGCATACATATGTGGCTGGCCATTTATGATATTTCCATATTGTTGCTGTGGCCCACATTTCAGAAACAGGAAAACTGAGTCTCAGAGAGGTACTCACCTGTGTACTCCATTAAACCATAAACCCAGAGAACAGATTGTTTCTGGATTGCTGCTTCTAGGGAATCTGGGGCCCATGGAAGAAGCTCGATACATAATTGTTGAATGACTAAATGAAGTTTGCTCAAAGGTCCTTAGGGTCAGATCCAGTCCCAGAACACAGGTCTCCTCCTTTTCATTCTATCCAACTGCCTGACACATTTCTGAAGCCAAGATGGCTCATCCAGGGTAACATGCATTGTAGAAAAGTTGTAAGGTGGTAAATTTGGAATGAGAACAGTTAAAAATTTCATCTATTACATGGATTTGTCTGTCTTCCTTTAGTTCTGTCAGTTTTCATTTCATAAATGTAAAAGCTGGCCAGGCGCGGTGGCTCATGCCTGTAATCCCAGCACTTTGGGAGGCCTAGGCAGGCAGATCACCAGGTCAGGAGATTGAGACCATCCTGGCTAACACGGTGAAACCCCGTCTCTACTAAAAATACAAAAAAATTAGCCAGGCGTGGTGGCGGGCGCCTGCAGTCCCAGCTACTCAGGAGGCTGAGGCAGGAGAAAGGCGTGAACCTGGGAGGCAGAGGTTGCAGTGAGCCGAGATCCACACCACTGCACTCCAGCCTGGGCGACAGACCGAGACTCCATCTCAAAAAAAATAATAATAATAATAAAATAAATGTAAAAGCTTTGCTATTAAGTGAATACTCATTTATGATTGTTATGTCTTCCTAATGAATTCATTATGATGCCCTCATTTTATTATTATGAAATGCCTCTCTTTTCTCTGATCACATGCTCTCCCTTAGAGTCTATTTGTATATTTTCCTTTGTGAAGTGGTGTTAAAATCTTTATTGGATCATTTGTCTTTTTATTACAGAACTGTAAGAATTCTTTATATATTTCAAATAGAAGTTTTTTGTCAGATACATGTGAGACAAATATTTCCTTCCAGTCTGTGGTTTGCCTTTTTCATTTTCTTAACAATGACAAAGAGCAAAAGTTTTTAATGTTTGTGAAAACGAAACAATGTTTAACAATTTTCATGGTTCACAGTTATTTTAATTTTATCTATAAAATTTTTTGCTTATCTTGAGTTTGCAAAGATTTTCCTCAGTGTTCTCTTGTAGAAGTTTTATGGTTTTAGCTTTTACTTTCAGATCTAAGATTAATTTCAAGATAATATTTATGTAAGGAATAAGTTAAATGCTGAGGTTTATTTTTAAAAAATGGATAGCCAATTGTTCCAACACCATTGTTGAAAAGACTACCTATTCTTATTGAATTATCTTGATGCCTTTGGTAAAAATCAATCAACCATGAATGTGTGGGGTCTGTTTCCGAATTTTCTGTTTTGTCTCATTGGCATATTTATCTATCCTTACATCAATATCACACTGTCTTATTTACTATAGCTTCACAGTTTACTATAGCTTCACAGTATTAAAATCAAGTAGTTTAATCCTCTGAATTTCTTTCTCTTTTAAAAATTATTGGCCGGGTGCGGTGGCTCACGCCTGTAATCCCAGCACTTTGGGAGGCCGAGGGGGGCAATAACAAGGTCGGGGAGATCACGAGGTCAGGAGATCAAGACCATCCTGGCTAACACGGTGAAACCCCGTCTCTACTAAAAATACAAAAAAATTAGCCAGGCGTGGTGGCGGGCGCCTGTAGTCCCAGCTACTCGGGAGGCTGAGGCAGGAGAATGGCGTGAACCCGGGAGGCGGAGCTTGCAGTGAGCCGAGATTGCGCCACTGCACTCCAGCCTGGGCGACAGAGCGAGACTCCGTCTGAAAAAAAAAAAGAAAGAAAAAAAAATTGACCTCAGTCCTTTGCTGTCCTGTAAAATATTAGAACTATATTGCATAGTTTGCAATGGAAAACATTCTGGGATTGTTGGTAGGATTGCATTGCATCTGTGGACCATTTGGGGGGAACTGCCATTTTAACAATATTGAGTCGTCTCATCTGGGAACATTGGTTTATACCTCATTTTACTTAGGTCTTCTTTAATTTCACTCAACAATGTTTTGTAGTTTGCATTGTACAGTCTGGCCTATAATTGTTAAATTTATCTTGAAGAATTCCAAATTTGATGTTACTGTAAATGGTAATGTTTTTCAACTTCATTTTCTAATTTCATTACCAGTATATGGAATTGCTATTAATTATTAATTTTTCTATATTGTCCTTTTATCCTGTGATCTTGCTACACTCACATTACTTTTGGCAACTTTTTTGTAGATTCTTAGGATTTTATGGAATTTAATGGAAAATAACACTATGCTTTATTTTTATAAGAAAATAAATAATATATACAAGATTGTATCATTTGAAGCCTACAGTAAAATATTGAAAAGTGGTAGTGAGTATTAACATTTTCGCCTTGATTATGATATCTGGGGTGGGTGTGGCGGGCAAACTCTGTCTTTCTTTCATTGAGCACTATGTTAGCTACAAGTTTTTTTGTAGCTAACATTTATTAGATTGTTTGGTTTTGTAAGAAACTGCCATACTCCTTTCCAGAATGACAATACCATTTTACATTCTCACTAGCAATGTATGAGTGATCAATAGCATATCTTTTCTATCCTTTTACCTTTAAACTATTTTTTGGGTGGGTTCCTTTTCAATAGCACATAGTCAGGTTTTGAATTATTAACTAGTCTCACAATCTATGCCTTTTAATTGGATGATTTATGCCCTTTCCTTCAATGTAATTATTGATATGGTTGGGTATAAGTCTACCACCTTGATATTTATTTTACATTAGACTATGCTTGATATTATTTTACCCATCACAAAGACACTGTTTTTTTAATTCTTTTTTCTCTCTGTGCTTCAAATTGAATATTTTCTATTGCATGTTTTCAAGTTCACTCGTTTCTTCCTGTTGTGTCTTATCTTTTGTTAATCCCATCCAGTGAGTTTTTATTTCAGATGTTGTGAAATGTTCAGAATTTTTCCATTCCCAAAGTACTAGTTGGTTCTTTTTGTACTATTTCTCTTATCATTATGTTTGTTTTCTTAAAATACTTAAACATATTTGTAAGAGCTATTTTAGCATGTTTGCCTGCTGTTCCCATTATCATTTTTATTTTGATGTTCATTTCTATTGACTGATTTATTATTATTTGTCACATTTTTCTTCTTCTTGTCATGTCTAGAAATATTTAGTTGCTCACTGGATATTATGAATTTTATGTTGTTGAGTGGCTCAATTTGTTGCCATTTTAAACAATAGAATTATGCTTCATTTCTTCAGGAAAGTAAATAATGTTCAGTAATCTTAATCCTTTCAGAAGTTGTTTTTAAGCTTTTTGTTGTTGTGAGTCTAGAATAGAACTCACTTTTTCTAGAGATATTTTCACCTTACTAATAAAGTATGACATCCCCCAACCCCCACCAGGAGTCTCTATTTTGTGCCATTGGGTGATTAAAGAGAACTCTTTCATGCTGGTCGGAATACAATTGTGTCCCAGTCCTGTGTGAGATCTAGTCATTGCTCAGCTTATAGCTCCACAGACTTTCTTTGCCCAACCTTTGTGGAATTTCACTCTACACATGTGCAGCTTGGTATTCAGCAAAGACTCAGTTGGACATTTAAGATACAGATTTCTGGATCTATTTTTCTGTTTAGCTTCCTCCTCTACAGAGCTCTGCCCCATGAGTTCCAGTTACCTCAGCCTCCCTGAACTCTGAGCTCTGTATAATCACCTAACGAGACTACTTTTTATTCTGCTTAGGATACTTCTCCTATACTTTCATTTAGAATGTGCCTCCTACTAGAATAGCAGAAATACAGTCCTGCTGTATAGCTTTCACTTCATATATTTTCCTTCTTACAGGAATTATAAGCTCATGCTGCCTGTTGTCCTTTGTTGAAAACATTGTTTCATATATTTATTCAGCTTTCTAGTTGTTCATAGTGGGAGGGTAAGTCTAGTTCTGTTATTCCATCATGACTGTAACCAAGTTATCTTTTAAAGAAACTGAGAGAAGAAAAACACAGCATGTTTTATTTTTTTTACATATTTACAATTTTGAGTTCTCTTCATTTTTTATAGGTCTAAATTTCTAGTCTGAAGAATTTATTTAGCAGTTATAATTATGTCTCCTGGAATTGGTTTCTCTCTGATTTTATCTAAAAAATCTTAATTTTGCTTTCACTCTTGAAGTAAATTTTTGCTGAGTATAGAATTCTAGGTTGACAGGTTTTGTTTTGTTTTGTTTTGTTTTAGTTTCAGCACTTTAAAGATACTATTCAGTTGGTGTGAAAGTAATTGCGGGTTTCAATGGCAAAACCCACAATTACTTTTGCACCAACCTACTAGTTCTTTATCTTTTATTCTCCACTATTCCTTACATGTCTTGTTTTGTTTGCTGATTTTTAAAAATATGTATTTATTTCATTAATTTATAAATAAATTTGGTGAAAATTCAGAGTGAACATATACCCAGTTAAATTGAATTTAAGAATCAAAGAATAAATAGAGATAAATCATAGTTATTTTTGAAGTTATCTCTTCTGCTTAAGTGGCAAAATGAATTAACCTTAAATTACAGAGTAAAAATATTTTCTAGTGTGTTAAAAAATAAGATAAACTATAAAATCACATGTAGTATAGTGTATATTGTACCCCAACAGGTAGATTTTTTTAATCACTTGCCCCCTTCCTGCTTGCCCTTCTCTGAGTTTCCAGTGTCCATTATACCACTCTGTCTGCCTTTGCATACCCATAGCTTAGCTCCCACTTATAAGTGAGAACATACAGTATTTGGTTTTCCATTCCTGAGTTACTGTACTTAGAATAGTGGCCTCCAATTCCATCCAAGTTGCTGCAAAGGACTTTATTTCATTCTTTTTTTTATGGCTGAATAGTACTCCATGATATACCATATTTTCCTTATCCACTTACCAGTTGATGGGCATTTAGGTTGATTTCATATCTTTGCAATTGTGAATTACACCATAATAGACATATGCATGCAGGTGTCTTTTTGATATAATGATTTATTTTCTTTTGGGTAGATACCCAGTAGTGGGATTGCTGGATTGAATGGTAGATCTAATTTTAGTTTTTTTGAGAAATTTTAATACTATTTTTCGTAGAGGTTGTACTAATTTACATTCCCACCATCAGCATGTAAAGCTGCTCTTTTTACCATATCCACCATATCTATTATTTTTTAACTTTTTATCAATGGCAACTTTGGTGGCAGTAAGGTGGTCTCTCGTGGTTTTAATGTATTTATCTGATGATTCATGGTGTTAAGCATTTTTTTCATATGGCTTTTGTATATCTTCTTTTGAGAAATGTCTATTTATGTCATTTACCCACTTTTTAATGGGATTATTTGTTTTTTTTTCTTGCTGATTGTTTGATTTCCTTGTAGATTCAGGATATTAGTCCTTTGTTGTGTATATAGTTTGCAAATATTTTCTCCCATTCTGTAGGCTGTCTGCTTACTCTGATAATTTTTTTTTTTTTTTCTGTGCAGAAGCTTTTTAGTTTAATTAAGTCCTGTTTGTCTACCTTTCTTTTTGTTGCATTTGCTTTGGAGGTCTTCATCATAAATTCTTTGCCTAGGACAAGGTCCAGAAAAATTTTTCCTAGGTTTTTTTCTAGAATTTTTATGGTTTCAGGTCTTAGATTTAAGTCTTTAATTCAACTTGAATTAATTTTTATCCATGGTGAGAGATAGGGATCCAGTTTCATTTTTCACATGTGGCTATCCAAATTTCCCAGCACCATTTATTGAAAAGGGTGTGCTTTCCCTAGTTTGTGTTTTTGTATGCTTTGTCAGAGATCAGTTGGTTGTGTTTGGCTTTATTTCTGGCTTCTCTATTCTATTCCATTTGACTACGTACCTATTTTTAGACCAGTACCATGTTGGTTTGGTTACTATAGCCTTATATAATTTGAAGTCAAGTAATATGATGCCTCCAGATTCATTTTGCTTGCTTAGGATTGGTTTGGCTATTCAGGCTCTTTTTTGGTCCTATATGAATTTTAGGATTTTTTTTTCTAATTTTGTGAAGAATGATGTTGGTATTTTGAAAGAAATTGCATTAAATCTGTAAATTGTTTTGGGCAATATAGTCATTTTTATGACACTAATTCTTCCAGTACATGAACATGGGATGTATTTCCATTTGTTTGTATTACCTATGATTTTTTTCAGCACTGTTTTGTAGTTCTCCTTGTAGAGCTCTTTCATCTCCTTGGTTAAGTATATTCCTAACTATTCTATTTTATTTTTACAGCAGCTGTAAAAGAGATTGAGTTCTTGATTTGATTCTCAGCTTGGTCACTGTTGGTGTATAACAGTACTACCGATTTGTGTATATTGATTTTGTAAGCTGAGACTTTACTGAATTCATTTATCAAATCCAGGAGTCTTTTGGAGGAGTCTTTAGGGTTTTCTAGATACAAGGTCATATCATGGGCAAACAGAGATAGTTTGATTTCCTCTTTTCTCATATGGGTACTTTGCATTTCTTTCTCTTGCCCAATTGCTCTGGCTAGGACTTTCAGCACTATGTTGAATAGAAGTGGTGAAAGTGGGCATCTTTGTCTTGTTCCAGTTCTTAGGGGAATGCTTTCAACTTTTCCCCCATTCAGTATGATGTTGGTTGTGAGTTTGCCATATACGGTTTCATTATTCTGAGGCATGTTCCTTCTAGTCCTAGTTTGTTAAGGGTTTTTATCATAAAGTGATGCTGGATTTTATCAAGTGCTTTTTCTGCATCTCTTGAGATGATCATGCGGTTTTTGTTTTTAATCCTGTTTATATGTTGTATCAAATTTATGGACTTGTGTATGTTGAACCTTCTCTGATCCCTGGAATGAAACCTACTTCATTATAGTGAATTTTTTAAATATTCTCTTATATTTGGTTTGTTAGTATTTTGTTGAGAAGTTTTGCATCTATGTTCATCAGGGATATTGGTCTGTAGCTTTCTGTTTTGTTGTTGTTGTTGTTATGTCCTTTCCTGGCTTTGGTATCCAGGTCATACTGGCTTTGTAGAAAGAATTAGGGAGGATTCTCTCCTTCTCAATCTTTTGGAATAGTTTCGCTAAGATTGGTACCAATTCTTCTTTAAATATCTGGTGGAATTCAGCTGTAAATCTATCTGGTCCTAGGCTTTATGTTGTTCTTGGCAGACTTTTCATTACTGATTCAATCTCACTACTTCTTACTGATTTCTTCATGATTTCTATTTTTTCCTGATTCAAAGTAGGGGGATTGTGTTTACAAGAATTTATCAATTTCCTCTAGATTTTCTAGTTTGTCAGTCATCACACATATTGTTTGTGGTCATTTTTTCAGGTGTGTACTTTTAAAATATTGTTTCATTTGATTAATGTAGTTTAAAAGCAGTATGAAAGAGTGTGCTTCTAGTAATGGTAGAGTAGCTTGCATTGTATTAACCTTCCTGCAAATAACAATAATACACTCTAAATAAAATGTTAAAATTTTAAAAAGCATTTATTTCCCAGTGTTATCTGCCAGCATGTTTCTGGGTTTTTTTGAGTCAACCAGCCTTGAAAACAACTTAATCTTTGTTAATACTGAGAATTACAATGTTGATATTATGTAGATGATGGAAAATTTTGGCTCTTAGGACTTATTTTGTGAAAAAGAATTATTATCACAAGAACAGATGAGATAAGAATTATTTCACAAGTCTCTGGACGATTTCCTTTCGTTTCTGTAGAGCCATTGTCTTTTTACCTGGAAAAAATGGAAAACTGCTCCCACACTATTGGACTGTTTCCTTGTGGATAAACCCAATTATCCTAGTATGCCCCCCAGCAAATGACTGCACCAACTAGAATGAGTTGTTGCAAACTGCTGTGTCACTTGGACCTGAACTTTTAAAAAACATTCCACATCTCTCACTTTAATCACGCTAAAGTGCACTTATTTAGGTCCTGGCTGTGCATGGTGTTATACCCAGCAAGTTAAACATATGCAGCCTCTATTGTCAAGGCAGACGACATCATGTCAAAGCAGTACAAACAAGTCAGCATAAGCACTGATTCCTTTAAGTCTGTGGTCTACTGTGCCTACAGGATACCAAACATCTGGATGAAAGATGAGGCTTTCAGTCAGGAAGTTTGCTGCTCTTCCAGATAATTGAGTGGACTTTTATATGAATTGTATAAAACCAGCAATGATAATAGTTATAACAACTTATATTTATACTATGATTTACAACTGCGGAGAATGTATGTTTGTGTATGTGTATGTGTGTGTATATAAAGCCTCATTTAATTACCATATCTTTAAGGAATATGTGTAATTATCCCATTTTACAGATGAGGAATTTGAGAGACTTTATCAAGCATGTATTGATCTCATACTCTGTGCCAGAAACAGAGCCTACAAAGGAGAAACAAAATAATCCCTGCCTTAAAGGTGCTCACAGACCAAAGGAGGAGCTTGAAATTGAATGAACCTGACTTGCCCAAGGTCACACAACTAGTAACTGTCAGATCTGGGACTCAGTCCAACTTTTCTGGCAGCGAGTTCAGCACTCTCTTCACAGCTGCCTCCAATAAAAGCCAAATGCACTTACAGAGCAGTGACTGGAAAGGAGAAGGGACAGGGGAGCCACTGGAGTTGGGAGAGTCTTATTAACGTCAAGATCAGAAATGAAGAGCAAGTCGTTAAAATTACAATCACAAAGACTATGACCAGACATTGGAAAAAGCTTCTGATGTAACGTTTGGTTAAAAAAGAGAGAGAGAGAAAGATAGCAAAACACAAATGGCATGTCTACCAAATTCACTTGATATACATGTGGACACACACAGGATGAACACATGGCAAATTAAAACAGCTGGATTTTTTTCAGGTGGCAGGGTTATAACCAAACTTTCCCTTTTTTTCTTTCCTTTTTCTAAACTATAAACCTTTACTTTATAGTTTCATTTATGTTGCTAAAATATAAACTCTAGATAGGAAAAGGGATAACAGAAATATTAAGGCTTTCATAGACAGACAAGCCTGGATTCACATCCCACTTTTGCCAATGACTTGTTGTATGATCTTGGGAAAGTTATTTAACTTCCCTCTGTCTCAGTTTCTCTGGCAGAGAATAATGTTAACCTTGTAGGATTGTGTTTAGAATTAGAGATTATATGTTAAACACCTAGTACACACAGAGCAGCCACTCAGCCTGTAATTAATTTTGTCATGATTACATAGTGTGAACCAAGAAGTGTGCTTGAGAATATTGCTAGGCCTGCTGTGAGCCACAGGTTTGGCCAGGAGTCTGCAGCGACATCTTTAAAACAAGGAACAGTAACCTGGAATCATCCTTATCCATAGCAAAAACAGGTATTGAGCCAAGTCCTAGGGATATAAAAATGTATAAAACACTACCTTGTCTTAAAAGAATTTATTATCGATCTCTTTTTCTACTCAATAAACACCTAGCACCTCCTGTAAGTCAGAGACTAAAAGAAGAACTAGAGGTATGAAGATAAATAGGACACAGTCCTTACTATAGTTCAGTGAGGGAGAAGCAATAATGGAAACAGATTAATACAATATAGTGTGGCGATCGTAGCCTTGGGTGTATGGGAACACAGATCGATAAACACCTCATCCAATCTGGTGTGGGAAGAGGGGAAGTCTAGGAAGAATTTTTGAAGGGGGTTGGCTCCTGAGCTGAACCTTAGTGTATAAGTGGGAGTTAGTTAGGAAAAAGGGACTGGGCGGAATGTAGTCAAGATCCCAGGCAGAGAGGAAAACACATGCAATAGCATTTTAGAGAACCACAAGCAGTGCAGTCTTGCCAGAGCACAGAATTTGAAGCAGGGGATGAGGTTGGAGAGGTGGGTAGGAACCAACTCATATGCGGTTCTGTACACCGTATCCGGAGAGCAACAGAGGATTTGAAACTGAGGAGACAGGCATTAAGGTAGCCAGAGTGACATTTCAGATAAGGCCTCTGCAGCCCTGTGGGATTCCAGGTTCCCTGTGGAGGGAAAACTTGCACGGGACAAGCCTGGCTGCAGTTAGGGGTTACCTTGAAGGGTTCAGAAGTAAGACGCATTTGGATTGGGATGGTGATCATAGGGATGGAGATGAGAGGTATGGAAATCAACTGGCAGGACTGTCTTTAATGATCCCAAGAGCCCAGTGAGAAGTAGAAAGGAAATACTTAAACTTCGGGAAAGGCTTTGTCACAGACACAGTCTGGGAAAGCTTCATGGAGGAGGTGGGACATGAGCAGCCCTTTAAAGAAGAACGGGACCTAGGTGGAGAAGAGGGGCAGATCTCAGGCAGGGAAACAGAATTGACAAAGCCAAAGAAGCAGCATTATTTAGGTGGTGTTCACAGAAGAAGTAGGTCAGTTGGCGGTAAGAGGGTGTGATCATCAACATGCCTTCTACATTGTGAATTCTCATCCCCATCATAGGGAGAGCATTTGTGGCAGGATAGATTACATTTTCTCCCCTAAATCCCCTCGTTTCCTGAGGCTAGGCATAAAGAGAGACTAAAATAAGCTCAAGGTAGAGAAAGATTCAGAAATTCTTCTAGATTATAAATCCAGAAAAGATATGACAGAGTTGCCCCCAGTGGCATGGAAGGGCTAGTGGTTGTATGGTGACTTCAGGCTGCGACCAGACAAGGATAGAGCCCTTTTCCTCTGCTCCTTTCTCATCCTCGCCTCCAGCCCCACTCCCTGTCATCCACGGGCTGTCAGGGGTGACTGGCTGAGAAGTGTGCCAAGAAGAAGCAGCACAATCGGGAAGGGTGGGCCCCTGGGGAGGGAAAGACAGTGTCCAAAAGCGAGAGATTTCCTTACAACCTGGATATCATAGGGCTTCCCCAAGGGTTAAAGCAGGGGTCAGCATACTTCTTCTGTAAAGGGCTTTGTGTGAATTCACTCTGCCTCAACTACACAGCTCTACCATTGTGGAGAAAAGCAGTCACACATAATACATAAAGAAATGAGCATCCCTCTTTCAGTAAAACTTTATGGACAATGAGACTTTAATTTCATAAAATGTTCACACTGCAAAATACTATTCTTTTTACATTTTTAAAAACCATTTAAAAATGTAAAAATTATTCTCAGATCATATACAAAAATAGGCAGCAGGCTAGATTTAGTGTGCAGAGTGTGGTTTGCCATCCCTGGCCTAGAAAAAGGATCTCATGACAGATGGGGAGCCAGGATGGGTCAGCTGGCATAGAGGAGCTACTCACTACACTCCTGTGGAATCTATGTGGGATGGAATATTGGACCGAACTTGAAGAAAAGAACTGCCCTCTATGCTTTTATGAATTTCACAGGTACTTCTCTGACTGACAGTAAGTTGTGTAGTCATGGATTGTACCACCCTTTCCCCCACAATTAAGGATGTAGTGATGGAGTTTTACATGCTTTTATATTAATTACATTTTAAAATATTGCTTCCTATATTTCTATAAACTATATCAGGGTAATTAAAGTCCTCAAAAAAAAACTAAATAGTAAAACAAAAGCAGGCCAGGCACGGTGGCTCATGCTTGTAATCCCAACACTTTGGGAGGCCAAGGCAGGCAGATCACTTGAGGTCAAGAGTTGGAGACCAGCCTGGCCAACATGGTGAAGCCCCATCTCTACTAAAAATACAAAAAATTTAGTAGAAAAATTTTAGTGGCGGTCACCTATAATCCCAGCTGCTTGGGAGGCTGAGGCAGGAGAATCGCTTGAACCTGGGAGGCAGAGGTTGCAGTGAGCCAAGATCATGCCACTGCACTCCAGCCTGGGTGACAAAGTGAGACTCCATCTCAAAACAAAACAAAACAAAAAATAAACAGAAATACATATCCTGGCTATCATATGCTCTTCTGGCTACTAAAAATAATCCAGGTGACACCTGGGCCAGACCACAAGCAGTTGGACCTCTCAGTTGGCCATAGGCCTCAGTTGTCCATCTGGGAAACGGACGGAGCCTCTTAAAATGCTTGGGACTTGCTCTTGCCCAACTGGCTGCTCTTACTTGTGAGATTCTCAGACCTTCCACAGAAACACAGATATTTATTTACCCTCACAAATCTCAATCTCTTCCCTCACTGGATACTAAATGATCTTTTCTAGTTTCCAAAGATTTATGTGACCTTATTAGGAAAATACTTGAAAATCCTTGAGTTTTGTCTTTTCTTCTAACAACATAACCAAGGGGTAGCTGTGCATCAAAATAAGATCATTGGGAAGACGAACTCGCAAGATTCTTGAAAAAGAGCCCAATCGTTTTCCTTGGCTTAAGTACAAGTCTCTGGATTTCCTTAAAATAAATAATCAATATCATGTCAAATTCAGTCTCTAAAACCGCTGGCCTATAAATCCCTCCCTCCGCCCAAGCCACTGCTCCCAAAATAGAAGGATTCATGTAATTACACTTCCCCTGTTTTCTGCTTTTTGGAAGCAAATATCCCCCCTTATAAGAGAAAATGTTTGGGATGTTTCCATTGTCCTGTTCCCTTACCTATACTCCAAGAGTTCCCAGACACCACCGCAGACTCTTTCTCCTCCTACACTCATAATCTTTTAAAGGTGGGTATGAAAGAAAGGGGCCAAGGAGAAGAGCCCCTCGGGAAAATAAGGATTATGTTGTGGGTTCTTATCCCTGATGCTCCTCCTGCTCTCGGCTGGCCCTTGTGACAGGAAAAAAAGCCAGCCACTGCACCGAGGACCTAAAAAGCATGTGATCTACAGAACTCACACCTGAAAGGACTCAGCCAAGGGGTACAGAAGCGTATATGGCAAACTTTCTTGTGTGCATTTCCAACAAGTCAAAGCTTACGGAACTGGTCTGGCTCTTAGCAGGGAGCCCATGCCTCATTCCAATCTTAAGGCTCCGGGCAAAACCCATTTTCTGTCAAGAGGCACAAGACTGGCTCAGCTGGCTTTCCACAATCTGGTTCTGTAGGAAGCACACAGCTCTGCTGAAAACACATTCACCCTCTTCTCCCATTTGATCTTTCTTCCACATGCCTTTTGGATTAATACTGGCATTTTGTTTCCATCTGTTTTCAACTCTTGGCTAGAAATGTACAAGTCCTGCTCTACCCCCTCTGCAGGGCTAGGGGCTCCTCTGCAAAGTGCTGCCCTGAAGAAAGGGGTGGCAGGAGATCTGTGGAAGATCAACAGCATGCCTTCTTTCAAATCAGCAAATTCTGAATGAGTGCCTTCTGTGTGCCAGGCATCATGCACTTGCTAGATGCCAAGTCCCAGAGCTGCTCAAAACTCCACCCAGGCTCCAATTTCACCCTTACAATGGCCTAGAAGACCTAAGATGACCCCCTCTCCCACCTCCCTGACCTAATCTTCTACAAAACCCCTGGTCTCCACTCTCCCACAGTCATGCCTTGGGGCCCTTGCACTGGATGGAACACCTTTTCCCCAGAGTGGCTAACTCCCTCAGCTTCTTCATTCATTGCTCAAATATCACCTTTTCAACAAGGCTTAAACTGACAGTGCTGTTGAAACTGCAGACCCTCCACGGCACTCCTGATCCCCATTCTGAGCCTGTCTGCTCTGGGTTTGCTTTTTCCATCGCACTTAGCACCTACTGCCTTGGCAGGGATCTCTAGAAAACATAGCTCAAAGGGATGAATTCCAGGGAAGCAGAAAGGAGGGAATAGAGGAGTAAGGAGGGAAAAACGAAGAGCAAATATAAAGGAGTTGTTTCCAAATGACCACCGCTCTGTAACAAGCTACTGGCTGGGTCTCACAAGACATCTTCAGAAAGGGACTAATCTGTCTCCACTGTCTGCCTAGGGGAAGGAGAGAAAACAACGTATCTTCAATATCTTACTCCCATTGGTCAAAGTTGGCCCTGTGGGTGTTGGTTTTCTCATACTTCCAGGTGATGAGAACAAGGGTTGTACTCGATCCCTTACCTAAGAGTCAATCAGGAAGCCCCAGGGCAGAAGGTGAGAGTGGAGAGGTATGCAGCTCAGGCAGCTAGTGAGGAGATATGGACCCTGCATGTGAGCAACAAGAGGCACGGAGCAATCTTTACAGTGTCCCCTGAGCCTGCAGGAATGGCAGCAGTGGGTAGAGGAGACACCAGCAGCCCCAGGACTGCAGGGATAGAGGAAGCTGTTGCCAGGGCTGCTCTTGCAAGACAAGGTAAGTGTGTGGATCTGGACTGTGCATAAACTGAAACCCACACAACCTTCCAACATGGTATCCATCTCCCACAGCTAGAATATAAGCTGCACATAAGCAACAGCTTTCTCTGTTTTTCTCCCTGATGCATCCCAAGAGTCTACAACAGGCTTGGCATATGGCATATCTTTAACACACTGTTGAAAAATCAAAAGAACTATGATAATGTGTAAGAGACAGACCCAGTCCTCAAGGAGCCTACAGTACTCAGAGGGACACAGATGATTGAGGAGATCATTGCAGTACAGATTGGGGAGTGCTGTGCTGGAGACTGGCAAAGAAGTAGCAGGGCTAGGATTTGAGCTTGAAGCCGCCTCTGTCAAAGTCTAAGCTTATAATCATCTCCCTCTAACACTGTACTCCTGGGTCTTAGTGCCTTTTTGTAAAATGAAAAGATAAGACTAGATAATCTTTAAAGCCCTTAAGCCACATTCTAAGTATGTCAATATCAAAGAGAAGTGGTCCAACCCAGACATAGTGAGAAGCGAATGGGTACTCTGCAGGACTAATACACCTGTATTAGTCTGTTCTCACATTGCTATGAAGAAATACCCAAGGTAATTTATAAGAAAAGATGTTTAATTGACTTGCATGTGGAGGCCTCAGGAAATTTACAATCATGGTGGAAGGCACCTCTTCACAGGGCAGCAGGAGAAAGAATAAGTGCCAGCAGGGGAAATGCCAGACGCTTATAAAACCATCAGATCTTGTGAGAACTCACTATCATGAGAACAGCATGGGGGAAACTGCCCCCATGATTCGATTACCTCCCACTGGGTCCCTCTCACAGCACATGGGGATTACGGGAGCAACAATTCAAGATGACATTTGAGTGGGGACACAGGCAAACCATATCAACACCTATGGTATAGTGTGGGCCACCAAGCAGGTATGAGTCACCAGCAGCCTCCTTCTGGCCCCAAACCTATGGTCACTAGTCTCTCATTCTGTGCATGAGCACGTGCACAGGAGACCAGCCTGGTCAGGGTAGAGGGATGCCGGAGGAAACATGAGGTGGGATCATAAAGACACATACAAAGTGTCCTCTGCAGCTCCAAGTTATGAAACGTGATTTATGGAAGCTCAGCTACTCACGTGCTGCATAACTTGAAGGTTGGAGGATACCAGAGCAAGTGAAGTCAAAGCCTATGACTCAGCAACAACATGACTTAGGGCCTCAATTGGCAATCTAGATCAACACTGTCCAGTGCAAATATAATACAGGCCATATATGTGATTTTGCATTCTCCAGTAGCCGCATTTTCAAAAGTGAAAGAAAGAAGTGAAATTAATATTGATAATATATTTTGTTTAACCCAATACATCCAAAATACTATCATTTTAACATGTAATCAACGTAAAAACTTATTGAGATATATTACATTTCTATTTCTCATACTATGTCTTTAAAATCTGGTGTGTGTTTTACATTCACAGCACATCTCAACAAGGACCAGCCACATTTCAAGTGTTTGATAGCCACATGTATTGGACAGCGCAGGTCTAGAGTGTGCTACTGGTGCTGACGGAGGACACACGCACATGCCCACATAGACACATGCACAATGCACATGCACACATACCCACACATACACATGTGTGCACACACATATGCACATGTTCATACCAGACCAGGACAAATCAAGGAACTTGGTCAAATATCAGCATTGGGACCAGCAAATCACACAAATTAGAACCTTGCACCCAAGCATCTGGGTATAGCAGTAGAAACAGCTTGAGGCCCAGGGGAAATGGATACCAACCTGAATTCATACAGAGTGCAGACAAATAAGAGAAAACCAGCCCCTCATGGGGGAAAGAAGGCATCCGGCTTACTGCCCTTTGAAGTTCAATTCACCTTTTAATACCAAGTAAAAGGCCAAGAAAAAGAACTGGAGGCCTTTAAGCAATTGAGGCAAGAGGTCAGAGGTCCTTGGTCAGTTCCTTGGGAAATGAATTTCATATGAGATTCAGGAGAGGAAGGAAAATTGTTGAAAATGTTTAAAGCTAACAGTTTGTGCACTCAAATGGTGTCAAACCACAAGACCCTGGAGCCCTAACACATTAATGAAAGCCTCAGCCCCAAACTCATTTACACAGAAATTAATTACTGTTCCAGCCAGACTCACAGAAGCAAGGGGTAGCAGGGAAGCCATGTGCTTTTCAAAAGTGAAGGACTTAGAGACTGCTGGAGGATTGTGGTTTTTCCAGGAATGGGATGGATTGAAATAGATTTGTGAAAAAGAAAGAAAGAAAAGAAAACATTTTCAACCCTCCTTCATAGCTCCCACATACCAACCAAACATGCAAAGAAATGAAGGAAGGATGCCTCTTCTGCCACCAGGAGACCTTTTCCCTCCTTAAGGTGCAAGCTCTCGCAGTATATACACTTTCTGCACCCTTGGTCCCCAGCCCTTCTCATCAAGACCACAGCATATGGGCTACACTTCAGAATTAGACTTGGGGAGTGTTTACTTGCTACACTTGTGAGGTGGAGACTGGAGCCACATGGAAGGCACATGCAGGAAATGCGCTGTAATAATCTTATGTTTATAATTCTGGGAGAAGGATGGCAGAGTCAAGGATGGGATTGATCAGGTTCCAAACCTATTTCCTGGAGTCAGATTTAAAAGAGAGATGTTAAGGGCAAAATCTCTAATGGCATGGGTACGTTGCAACAAGCAGCAAGTTTATTTCTATCAGTGTTTGTACAGATTTTTTAAATCTGTTGCTTTTTTCTCACATGTACCAGCCCATCCCTGCCAAAGCTTACAGAACTCTGAAAACTGCCTCTTGTAATATATTCTTATGAAGTTCAGAAAACTGACTTTCTAAGGGTTCACTTAGAGGACAACAGCCCCCTTTTGCTGTAATGCTGCTATGGCTTTTTGTTGTTGTTGAGATTGTAAGCATTGCCATCTGAAAATCTTGTATATTTTCATGGATGTTAACCATTTCTCCAATCATAGTCCAGTTTCTAAATTCCTCTCTGAAATAAACCAAAGCTTAGAATGGATCTGTTCCCATTCCCCAGCAGACCCATCCAAGGAGACGTTTTCAGGCCTGAGCTGGCTGCTCCCCTAGAGTTGCCTCTGAATCACTGTTCCTCCTTGTCTCCGTCAATTAGGATGTGAGGTTTTATAGCTCTTGCTGGGAAGTAGATTTCCTAGGCTCCCTAGCATAGCATTTAAATTTAGTTACATGACTCAGATAGGAAAGCCATGAGGGAATGCAGAAAGGCAGGTGAGCTGGAAAACTAACTGTAAGGATGACTAAGGGTAATTCCTACCCTCTGTATGGCACTGTACAGATTATAAAATGATTCTGCACACAGTATCTCATTCGACTTCAAGCACTCAATGATGTCGGAATTTAACTTTTTTAGAATGAGGAAGTTGAGGCTTAGTTTGCAGACACATCTCACTTAAGGTCACACATACAATTCATGGTGGAGCCAAGAATTGGTGAAGTTCTTCAGGTAACACATCCCTGCCCGCTCTGTCCATGACTCATTACTTTTAGACAGCAGCAAGTTATTCCAGACACCAGAGATGTTTTCATTTAAGTTACTTAGTCAAACCTTGAATATGTAAGGCATATATAATCACAAATTAACATGCCTCTTTTACCTAACACATTTCTTTTTAAAAATTTTTAAATTTTATTTCTAAATTTTGATTGATTATTTATTACTTATTTATTTATTTATTTATTTTGAGACTGGATTATGAGACTGGCAAATTTTTGTATTTTTGGTAGAGACCAGGTTTCACCATGTTGCCAAGGCTGGTCTTGAACTCCTGGGCTCAAGCGATCCACCTCAGCCTCCCAAAATGTTGAGATTACAGGTGTGAGCCACTGTGCCCGGCCTGCCTCACATATTTCTAAGCCCTTTCCTTCATGCCCTTTTGATGGTGCTTAAGTGAAAGAATTTCAATGTTCACCTCAAATGAATATAATGAGAGGAAAATGTAAAACTTCAACCAAATATTTATTGAAGGCCTACTACGTAAGAAAAAACTTGATACCTACTCTCCAGAAGTTTATATTGTTTGAAGAGAAAAGGTATAGATTGTTGAGAGTTAGATAGCAACACAAGGTAACAAAACAAGATCTGTCTGTTGTCAAAGCCATGAGACGCATACTGGGCTGGAGGAAACCATGAGAATCTGTGGAGAATTAAAAACATGGGCAAGCCCTGGGCAGTGACTCCCAAGCTTCCCTGAAGATAAGAGTCACCAGGAGCACTTAAAGGTATGGATTCCCCGAGTTTGATCCAGGCCTCTAGAATTTCCAGGAAAAAAGCCTGGTAAACCGTGTATTTAACCTCTGCCCCCGCTGACTCTTATCTCAGGAAGGGCTAGGAAGCAGGGGGCACCATGAGTCTGCTCCAGAGGCTGAGACATTTCAGCTGTTAGAGGGGGAGGGGAGAGGAAGAAAAATGTGGTGGGAGAGATCAAGAGAGGTGCAACTAAACTAAGACAAATCCCAAAAGATTTAATCCCAAAATAAGAGCAGGGCCATCAAGACTTCAGCAGGCTGCAGGACAGATAGAGGGAGGAAAGCTTCCAGGAAAGAGAAGGCCAGCTCCCCACTGCCACTGAGAATGAAGGGGATGTGTGGGCAGACACCTTCATGGCATCACTTGCTGGGATGGCCCCCCCTCTGCCTGTCAGTCTGTCCTGGGAACCACAGCCAGTCCTGGCCTCCTGTTTTCAGCTGGCAGTCAGGGGTCAGTAGATTGACCCAAGTTGCTAAATGGCATCAAGTTTTTGCTCATGCCTAAATTCTCTTTCTTCTTTTAACCAGACTAAGCCCTAAGAGATGCCAGGGAAAATGTGTTCCAAAGGAATCCTTTAGCAGCCATAATGAAAGTAGAAAGGCCTTCAGTCTAGGAGAAATCTAGATTGAAAACCCAGTTTCATGAGAATCTCACAGTGCAAAATCATTTCTTCCTCATTTAAATAACAATAATACCCAGTACTTCTATACTGCTCAATATGTGCCCAGCACTGTTCTATATATTTGATATGTTTTAATCCACTTAATTCTCACAACAACCATGTGAGGAAGGTTCTAGCATTGCCCCTGCTTTACAGATGAGAAAACTGAGGCAAAGAGAGGTTAAATCACCTGTCCAACAAGTAATTGACAGAGCCAAGATTTGAACCCAGACAGTCTGGCTCCAGAGCCTGGACACTTAACCACTGTTCCTTACCACCCCCTAAGAATAACAACGTCCCGCCAACACAGAAAGAACAGGTGTGTGTACATGTGAGTGTGGGTGTGCAGGGGAGGAGCGGGAAAGCTATTTTAATGAGGTGAGAGATTTGTTGATGAATAGGATGACAGTAGATCTTAAGACAGAAGATGATTCCAGGCTATAGTGGGTTAGGAAGTCCTCATGAAGGAAGTCCATCCACCTGATGGAGGGCACCCAGAGGAGTGAAGAAAATCAATATGGGAAAAGGAATTTCAGCAGAAAACACTTAGCACACAATAGGCTCATGCATTCAATGCAGCAGGTGTTTATTGAGTACCTAGTATGTGCCAGGCCCCATTCCAGACATTGTTGAATCAGCAGGCACCTTCCCACCTTCATGGAGCTTACAGTCTAGTAGGGGAGATGGACAAAGAGAAAGCCAATGAATGAATAACACAGCTAGAAAAGTGATGGCTGAATGAAGGAAGGAGCTGAGGAGAGATGACTAGGTGATAGGAAGGCCTGTCTGTGGAAGGAACATCTCAGGTGAGGCAAGAAAGAGCTGAGTGGGTGTGAGATGCTGGAAGAGCAGCAAATCCTTCTGGAAGAGGAGCACACTAGACAGGGAAGAGGTGACAGGGCCCCAGAGCCAGACAGTCCTGGTCACAGCAGCCTCTGGAGGCCACCAGAAGGAGTTTGGATCTCATTCTAAGGGGAGTGCAGAGACACTGGGGGCTTTCTGCAGGAAAAAGACACCCCAATTTATGTTTAAGAAAAGATCTCTGACTCACTATGGGGAGAACAGCTTGCAGGGATGTAGCCAGGAGGGTACTGCTGTCATCCAGGCAGGAGAAGGTGGTGGCCCAGAGAGGTGGTGGTGGTCAAGGCAGAGAGCAGAGGCATTTGGGAGATATTTTAGAGATAGAATCCACAGGTGCTCATACCTTTGTTTCTACCACCGTTGGGAAACAGTTTTTATAGGCGGCCACAGAGTTTAGAGCTCAAGCAGATGACTTGATGAAATGATTTGCCAAGCAACAATCCAAAAGAAGAGGGCAGGAAACGTTACGCACCCCCACCCAGAAGGAAGACAGACAGACACAAAGGGATGCTTCGTCTTCCTGGAAGCAATGGTCCCCAGGCTGCCCTCCAGGTACACACAACTCTGAAGGACAGATGCAAGAGAGAGCCAAGTTCTCAAAGGCACTTTTGAATGAGCTTGAATTTAGGGCAGTGATCCAAACAAGAACAATACACGTTCTGTGGAAAGCAGAGCATGATCCCCACTGGGCACTTGAAGGCAGCCATGGTAACTGAGAGCGTCCTGGCATATGGGCTCACTGGGGAGACCCCAAGTAGCTCCCAGACCTAGGGAGTAGAGATGGCCTTCTGCAGAGGGCAACAGAAGGGAAGAGCTCACAGAGGCTCAGAGAGGGAGAGGGAAACACAAGTCAGAGAGTCCACGTTTGCAGCTGCGGAATCATAGCCAAGGACAACGTCTGTTAGAATTGGCATAAAATTGCCATTGGTCTTGAAATTCTTAGTATTATATTTCAATTTAATAGATTTTTTCCTTTTAAATAAAACCAGTAGTGTTCTAATCAGTTATTTTGCTAGCTTCCTAATCTTACTCCTTCATTTATTTATTTAGTACCTGGTTATTGGCACAACATTCTAGACCAGGGCTTCTCAAACTTCAACATGCACATGGATCACCTGGCTCTCTGGTTAAAATGCAGATTCTGGTTCAGTAGCTGTGGGGTGGGGCCTGATATTTTGCATTTTTAATTAGTTATCCGGTGATGCTGATGGTCATTGACCCCCACTTCAAGTAGGGAGGCTTTAGTCCAATTAGACATTCCTTTCACCTGACCTTTGGTCCACTTCTCACTCCACTTTGAAGTTAAAATAAAATGTGTTCCTTCATTATTTGAGTACCTACTAGATACAAGGCAATGGATTAAGTGTTGGGCAAGAAGAGAGATAATACAAATGCATATGATACCATGTTGCCTTTAAGGAATGACCATCTAGTTGGAGGTGGAGAGAGAGATGGGTACTAATATGAAGTCTGAGGCTTACACTCTGCCAGGCCTCTCATTGCAGTAGAATTACAGTTTATGCATTGCCCCACTTAATCTTCACTATCATCCTGAAATAAGAGTGGCTCTATCTTACAGAGAAGGAAAGCCAGACAAGGAAAATTTCACTAGACTTCTCAAGCTCACACGGCCACTGAAAAGTTGGATTTTGGTTCAAATTTGAGTCTGTCTGGCTCTAAAGCTCAAACTCTCTTCATCAAGCCATACTGAGGACATAGACAAATGTAAATGCCCCCAAGCTTTGCATTTTATGTGATATGTGCAAAATGAGAAGTACAAACAGCTTGCTGGAGGCAGTCGGGGTAGGGGGGTGGGAGGTGACCCCACTGTAGACTCAGTGGGGAACTACAGTATAGTTGTATATTATAGTTATATACTATATACTATATTTGTATACTATAGCTATATACTATAGTATATAGCATATATACTATATATAGTATATGGAACTATAGTATATTTACTAAATTTGACTGGTTTACCAGAAAACAGCAGCAGTGAAGACATCATGTTGAAAATGTATTTTTTCAACATTGCAGAAAAGAGACAGGTTTTCTTGTTTGTTCATAAATTCTCCTTTTATGGACTCAGTTCCACAGTCCAGGAAGCCACTTGCCCAGCCAAGAGATGTTGGCGTCTCTGGCTCAGGGCTCCAGAGCCAGACAAAATGCTAACAGGCATTTTGTCTGCAAACACCCAGAGTAAGCGCTGCCCATCCTAGGAGCAATCTTCGGTTACATGTCTACCTTAAGCCAAGCAGAGAGCAGAGCACAGCCTGGAAACCCAGGATGTGAGAGCATTCATTACCCTGCATTATTTGGCCAAAAACCTACACGGGCATGTGCACACACCCCTCACAGAGAGGTTCTCTTCCCCTGTCACCATGGCTTTTCAGAGCCCCTGCCTCTCAGCATCGCCCTCCCACATTAGCCACACAGCTGGCTCCCTCACGGTCCGCCAGCTACTCCCTGGATTGTCCACTAACTAGGAGCCCATGTGGCAGTGTGTCTGGGATTCAGAAATGACTCCACTTTTTCTGCCACTGAGTCATTGTTATTGGGACAGAGATGGGAAGACCAAACCTATGAAAGTGAAACTAGTCTCTGTCTGAGGGCCACTCCTTACACTGCCATACTGGGAGAAGCAGGGCGGGAGGTCCACCTCAGGCTCCAGTGTGCCTGGATGGTGGCGAAATGTTCCATTTCATATTTAGAACAGAAAGGCAGTCTGTCATTAAGCACTGAAATACCTGGAAATCAGGCCCTCCCCAAAACCTAAGAGAAGGCTTTAGTCACACTCTCCTTTCCTCAGCACTGACGTGTGCTTTCTATTTCCTGCACAGCACACAGTAAACTGAAGCATGCTAATTAGAAAAAAGGACCCCGTCAACATTTCCAGGCAGGTGTCACTTCCCAAAAGCATAGAGCAGCTTCATCTCCATACCTGTCACTACTCCTAATCTCATTCACCTCCAGAAACCCCTCCAGGCCACAAAAGCAAAGGGCAGTTTGTGAGTAGGTGTTTCTCCTTTGGCCCCAAGAATGGGGACTCACAGAGCTATTTTTGTGCAGTCACACACATGCCCAGCAGCCAATGGTACATTTTGTCATTAAGTAGATATGAGAGGGAACTGAAGGCACCAGTATTTCTTTTGCCAAGCATTGTGGAGAGGGTTTCTGGAACCGCTGAAATTCCATTTCTCTCTTCCAGCTGCTGACTATAGGGGCAGCACTCAGTGTCCAAGGATGACACTTTAATACAAATTGAACCTCTGCCATAATGAAACGAGCTGGGTTTTAGGGGTGATTTGTTTAAAAGCCACATCATAAATCAGCTGTCAGTTTTTCTTTCTTCCAAGTCTGGCAGGCTCACCTTTACACTGAATTAATCGCATCTGAAACTTGACCTTCCAGCCCTGAAGCCTGCTGGAAACAACATGTGCTCTACAACTTTCAGTCGAAGCAGCAAGAACTTAAATTGTTCCACATTTTTAATAAATGGGCCTGGAATCCACGGGGCGACTCCCATTGACCTAGTTGCTCAACATATTGATCAAATGAAAAGGATAGAGTCATGTTTGCAATGACCAGATTTAGAAGATCATTTACTGACACTGGCAGGACCAAGCATGGACAAAACTGATTCATGATCTTAAGCACAATGAGAGTGAGTCCCAGCCTGAAGAAAAGCCCAGAAACATTACATTCATTGCCAATAACAGCTTGACTGGGTAGGGGGTGGGGAGTGGGGATAAGTGGAAGTGAAGAGAGGAAGGAGGGAAGGCATGCAGGAGCACCCGCCAGGGAGGGGAAGTTAGCTGAAGCCTTCTCAAAGGAGCCGGGGCTCTGGGACTCCTTCCAGCTTCTTGCTCCTCTGATGCTAAAAAGCGAAATTTGATTGCTCGGGAAAAAGTAACTTCGGAGCTGGTTGTCACAGGGCCTAGGAGTTCATGCTGTAAGTTGGCCCTAATAAGAAGCCCCCGGCACTGTGCTAACCACTGGACTTAATGATAACACAGATAAGGGCCTTGCAATCTTGGGGGAAGAAAACATGAAAATCGATTTTGGTTTTTAATATGATGAATGGCTGCTACAGGCCTGTACTAGATTCAGGGATACAATAGGGAGAAAGATACACAGCCCCTTCCCCACAAGATACTTACAGTCGAGCTGGGGAGATGGATATAAAACACAAAGCGTGATGGGGTTTGTGGGAAGGCTTCACGGGAGCCCATAAGAAGACCCCAGGCTTGGGAGCACAGGGACTTCTTACCAGGAGAAGGATGTTTAACTGGTTTTTTTGAGGATGGGCAGCAGTTCACCACATGGGGCTGCGGGGCCAAGGAAATTGGGGTCAGAGGAGGGCGCCAGTGTCACACACAGAGGGACTAGGTATGAAAGCTCAGAGGGAAGGGAAGGCCTAGTGCACCTGTGAAACTAAGAGGACACAGTAAGACTGGGGCATAGAATTCGGCAGCTGAGGGGGTCAGAGATAAAGCTGGACAGCCAGCAGAGCCACCTGGACCACACATGGCAGGAATTTAAATAGAGGGGTGCACAGATGAGGGAGTGATGGAACTTACTGAGGGTGGCTGGAAAACGCTTTGACCAAAATAAAAGCCTCTTAAAGGATGATTAGGGACTTACCAGAAGAAGCGAGGCCATTCCAGGCAGAGGAAACAATATATGCAAAGGTATTTTGGCACTTTGAAAATTAACCCTATTCTCTCTCCTATCCCGAGTAGGGTCCAAGATGAGCAACACACCCTCTACCAGACTCTCCTCTGTAAAGTCATATCAAGGCTCAAGATTGTGAAGCTTCAACCTCCAAAAAGAGTGGAGGGAACCAAGAATAAGCAACGCTTGCTACATAGACCAGGGACCCTCCTGCTAAGGAAGGCCTGCGTTCCAAAACCAGAAACATAACCCAGCCAATTGGAAAAACTTTGGAGGAACCAGGAAAATTATCACCTCCTAGGGGAGGTTCCTGTAAGCATCTATTGCTTATCGTTAATAATGTAGAAATACCCTCAAAACAAGGATTTCAGAAATTATGCCAACTCAGTAAGCAACACCTACCATATGCCAGGCCCTGAACGGTAAGTGCTCCACAAGCACCATCCCATCAATCCTCTAGTCACCCCCATGACACGTAAGTGTTCCCATTACTTTCCGGATGAGTAAGCTGAAGTTAAATACCATGCCCAATGTCTCAGATGGTTGGTAAATGGCAGCTGGGGGAAGGACCAGGACTCTGTGAGCCACACTTCCCCACACTGTGCCCTGCTGTTCCCCTAGGTGATAACCACTCTCCCTGATGCCGCTGAGGAAAATAACATGGACAACAGCAAGAGAAAAATTATTTTTTATTAAACAATTTTTTATTTAAAAAATATTTTTTAATAATTATTTTTAAAAATAATTATTTAAATATATTTTTAAATAATTATTTTTTAAAAATATTTAAATAATAAATTTAAATATAATTTAATTATTTAATTTAAATTAAATTATTTAAATACATTATATTTAAATAATTGTTTTAAAATATCTATCTAAATATATTATTTTTAAAAATATTTTTTATCTTAAAAAATTTTTATTTAAAACAATTATTTTTTGTTATTTATTATTTATGGTACACAAATACGTGTGTACCAAAGCGATGACTGTGAGGTTTACCTGAAGTTAAAGTCTTTACCCTTCTCGGGCAACAACTGGCAGCCAAATCTCCTCAGCTTCCTAAAGATAAAGCTATCTTTTCCAGGAGGCATCCAGACCATCTTACGTGGGAGGCCCCTTCATATACCTTTTCTTGAGTGATCCCCAATGTTCCCATATTACAGGTAGGGAAGTCAAGATTTGGAGCTAAGTATCTTTTCCAAGGTCTCACTACTATTAAAGCGGTGGAGCCAGGACTCAACCTAGGAGCTATCTGACTTTAGGAACTAAATCTTTCCATAACATCACACCTCATCACAGCATAGTCCAAAGGGAATCAAGCATGTTCACAGGAGGAGACACTTTGAAGCCAGTGGAAGAAAGCTAAGGACTCATTTTGCAAGGCCTCTCACAAAGAAAAAATGTACTTTACAAGAATGCTGACATATCTATTCTGCCAAATACAGGTTCTTGTGGGGTGGAGGGGAACTAACTGACAGTTATCAATGCCAAAAGAGAGAGAAAGGCCATCTGCAGATGAATACAATGCTTGCTCTGCCCGCCAAACTTACAGTTAAACTTTCCACTCTTAGATGCCATTGTTAGAAAGTAATTCTTACGCTGCGGATTCTTCATAAGACTACACAAATAAAGGACGGGGGAGGATGGGTCCCAAGGGCCTAGAATGGAATAATGAGATAGGTTACTTGGAGAGGAGGGCCAGAGGATGGGGAAGGAGTAGCCCATCTGTGTGGACTTGTAAGATGAAAGCTTTGTTGTATTTTATCCCAAATTTATAGACTCTCAAGCTGCCTGTAATCCTGTTCAGAGTACTGAGAGGTGATGTCAGAGAAAGAGCACTGGGTAGAACAGGGACCTGTGTTCCAGTCTCGGTCTTGCCACCATTTCAGGAAAGTCACAGAAGCTCCTCTATCTCTCATTTTCTTTGCCTATTACCTGAGGAAATTGGATTAAATGAGCTCTGAGACCCCTCCAGCTCAAAAGCATGTGATCATAATTCTAGCACCCTTCTCTCATCACATTCTTGGAATAGGCAGCAGAGGTGGGGCTCATCTAAAAGAGTAGCCCACTAAACCAGGACCATGAGGAGATATTATTAAAGGGCTTGGAGCCTGATGAGAAATCATATCTATATCACAGCCTTGCCGCAATCCATCCTTCAGTCCATCACAAGCCCTGGTCACTCGGCCCCCACAATACTGAGTTCTCTACTTTTATTGAATCTGCACCCACACACTGTTATCTAGATCTTGTCCCTTCCTTCTGCTGCCAGCCTGTACCTGCTGTGCTCCGATGAGGTTTGGGGTCTTGGAAAGTCAAAAGATGAAGAACCCCTGATCTCAAAATGAGGATGCTCCCAAGAGGGCAGAGAACTCACCCTAGGGTTGGAACAATATGTACAAGTCATTAAGAGCAGCAGGTTTTAGGGTGAAACAGAACTGCCTCTTAAAAGCTTAAAAGCTGTGGGATCTTAGGCAACTTTTCTGAGCCTAAGTTTCCTGACCTGTAAAGTAATAATGATGTTAATACAATCTGATATTAAATATCTGATGAAACTCTATCTCACAGAGCTACTATGATCATCAAATTGCACATAAAACACAGGCTCACTAAATGGGGTGACTGTTGTCCCAGGGTGAGTCCATGGACAATCTCCAGGAGTCTTGGTGCAGGGCTGGGTGCCTCTGCATGTGTGTGAAACTCAGTACAAACACGCAAGCGGCCCTTTAGCTATCAAAACACTCCCACATTACTACCCACGTAGTGGAAGGAAGCAGACTTACTCTCTTCAGGCAGCAGGAAAAATGAAGCAGGTACGTAGGAGAAGATCCGGCTGCTCAGGCCAGACCAGGAAACTAGGGAGCCGACCAGTCACCACCAGGAAGTGTGGACTGGGTGAGAGATGGGGGTCCAAAGAGGTGTCTCTTTCCTGATTGAACCAACTTCCACATAAAGTGTGTCAGAAACAGTCACCAAGAGGCAATTGCAGCTCCTGCAGGGCAGGGATCATTTCTGGTGCATTGCAGTGTCCTCAGTGCCCAGCATGGAGCCGAGGCATTGTAGACACCAACCAAAAATGTGTGTAGTGGATACACAACTAGAACGGAGAGGCTGCTGGAACAGAAATCCCAGTGAGTAAGCCAAGTGTGTGCTGAGAACATTAATATGGCTGGCTCGGCCTTCAGACCAGGGGTGTCCTAGAGGTTGGGATGACCTGGAGATCTAAAGATAACCCTCTGAAAAACCAGACCAAAGAGAGGGTCAGTCTGTGAGTCACCTGTCCCTCAAACCCAGGCCTGCGGAGGGAGCTAAGGAATTTATAACTGAGTCAGCGGTTATCTACGTGGCTGCATTCTGAGTCACCGCCTGGCCCCAGTGGGCCTGCTCTCCTGGGTGAGGGCTGTGGAGTGCGCTCGTGGGTGTCTTTATCTACACCGCACACTCAGTGGACTCCACCAAATGCAGTGACTCAGGGCTCCCCTCACGTTTCACTATGGTCTGTCACCACACTGTCCTGTCACGCTGCCCTGGCTCACTGCTTGCTGCCTTGCCCACAGAGGTGAAGCCCAGCCTGCCCCTGGTGTGTCAGGCCAAGAGCTCTGCTTCCTAGCCAGGCCTGTCAGCTATCAGCAACCGCACTTCCACCTCACCAGGAGCACCCAGGTGAGATGGGGCTCAGGACCAAGGCTGAGCAGTGCGCCCCACCCCAAGCCCTACCACAGGTCTTCCTCATGAAGCCTCTCTCCTCTGGCTTCTTTTCCCCTCACTGCCACCATGTTTTTGTCAACTCACAGGGGATAACTGCAAAAAAGGCAGTTCCCTCCCTACCTTTTGCAATTTATTATTAGAAAACTCTTGAAGGCCCCAAAGCCTTCCCAATTCTCCTCCCCCAATCCCATAAAATAATTCCTAGTAAATTGTTATTCACCTCTGAAATTGTTCCTTACATTATTACCAGATCAACTTTCCTCAGACGTAGCTCACTGCTCAAAAACCCCCATCTCATACTGAATTCAGTCCCTGTAAATGTCTTCAGGACCCCTAGAAATGTCTTGTCCCTGACACTGGACACTTTGTTGCCAGCTGAACGTAGGGTGGGAGGGACAAGCTTCCGGAAGCCATGTCTGTACAAAGTGGCCCTGGCCACAGCTCAGTGGTCCAGGGCTGAACCCCTGACCTGACCCAGGACAGCCTGAATCTCACCTGGGAAAACACTGAATAGAGGCTCAGCAATTCCAGTCTCGGTGTGGACCAAAGCCTTCAACAAGTAAGACATAAAAACTGTGGAGTTGTGGGAGCCATTTTTCCCTTGACATGACCAGGAAAGCTCAGAAGGCAAATCACAGTGAGGGAGGAAAGAAGCTGACATGTGCAGTGAAGTGGATACGGAAGAAAAAATATCCCCCAGTCCCTTACAGTCCCCAGGGACCTGTGCTACCCCAAAAGAACTTTCCCCAATTTTAATATATAGACATATAGGGCAGTAGATGAGATAGGTAAATGTCCACTTACAATAGAACATTTAATTAGAAAAATATTTGAAATCACACAGTATATAAAATGATATATTTTAAAATGTTATTTTCCACACCCACAGTTCATGAAACAGTTGTATTCAAACTTCTCATATTCATTTCCAATACCAGTGTCCTGACCTCCCTGAAGCCACCTTCTGAGTTATCAGACTTTGTTTTCTAGAGCATTTCAACTTCTTCCATGTATGTTTTTCAAGATCATACATAAGCCTGTCACTGGAAATTTTATCCCAAGCCACAGAAGGAGAAAAGGAAGGAAGGAAGGAAGGAAGGAGAAAAGCAATTCACAATTTATAACATCAGAACTGTTATATACATACTTTTTTCCTTTTTTTGTTTGTTTGCTTTCTTAGAGACAGGGTCTCACTCTGTCACCCAGGCTGGAGTGCAGTTGAGCGATCATAGCTCACTGCAGCCTTGAACCCCTGAGTGCAAGTGATCCCCCTGCCTGAGTAGCTGGGACTACAGGCATGCCCCACCATGCTCAGCTAATTTTTTTTTAAAGGCAGGGTCCGTAACTGGTCTTTAACTCCTAGCCTCAAACAATCCTTCCAAAATTCTGGGATTACAGGCATGAGCTACCATACCTGGCCTTGTTTTCTCATAGGTAGGTATTTATGATCTAAGAATGATCTTCAAAGGGCTTATTTACCATTACATCCATCACTTGCAAGTGAGAAGCCTCATTTCCAGTAATAATTACTGTCCTTTTTTTATCCCATAGATTCTATCTAAAAATCTCTAAAGCCCCTCAAATGGGCATTGAGATTGTTTCAGGCTGGGCCTTACCCAAACACTACCTTATTGTTCAAAATAACCTAATTGAGAGTGTTCCCCATTATATTCCAGCCTTTGTGCAGTCTCAAATATAAGGTTTCTTCCTCGGAATCGTTTGGATAAATTCTCACTTATGTTCAGGCATATACATTACTTTGTTCCATTTAAGCTTTATCAGCACCCTTGAGATATATATTACTATCTTTATTTTATAGATGGGGTAACCAAGGTTCTCAGGGTATGAGCCTGCCCAAGGCCACACAGTGCACAGTGGAGCTGGTTTTGGAAGCCAGGATGTGGACTCTAAAGCTCATACACCATCTATTCTAGCTGGCAGGTGAAGGTGGGCTCTATATATAAGTGGGGGGCCTTTACTTGCACCTCTAAACCACCCCACCTGGGCAATCACGCACTAACTTTACAGATAGTCATGAGCACATCCTTCCTGTCATGAAGAAAGAAGCTTGCTAACAAAACTCATAGGCTGCCTTGAAAACAAGCTAAACTATTTAACCTAATTTCACTGAGCACCTACTATGAACAAGGGATTCTGCTTCATTAGGATTTCCAAAATCAGATAGGCATGACCCACATGTGAAGAATAAGTTTGACGTATCAGAAAAACTGGAAACCTGAGCCTCAGGAAGGAGATAGGGTAAGATAAAGGTGGAGAGTGAAGAGAATATGCAGCAGCTTGATCCAAAGATCTGGCACCACGACTTTTTGTAGGAAAGACATATTAACACACCAGTTGGATTTAACTCTACCTGGGAACCATAATGGTGGTTCATATTTTTTTCTTTAGTTGGAATTTAGAAATTTCTAAAAATAATTAATTGCCTCAGAGCATGGGTGACCCAAAACTGCTTTACAAATAAGCTTCCAGCCAGGGTGAGAGGGCCCCTGGAAGAATCTGTGGTGTCATGGTGTCTCTCTCTCTCTCTCTCTCTCTCTCTCTTTCTCTCCCTCTAATTTTTGGTTCCTAGATGTAGAATCCTAGAAGGAAGGCAAGTGGAGGGAAGCACAAAAAAGAGGAAAAAATGGGCTTTCTCTGAGAAGTACTTTTACAATCAATAAAAATAGCATTTATTGAGCATCATATTTATAGTCCAGCCACAGAGCTAGTGCTTTACAAAATTTATCTCATGTAGTCCTCCCAAATAGTTTAACAGGTGGGCATTATCATCACACATTTCAGAGGAAGAAGCCAAGGTCCAAGGTCACACAGCTAGTAAATGGCAGAGCCACTAAGTTCAGAGCTTATCTCTTAATACCCAGTTACACTGATGCCAGTGGCCCATCTGGATGTTAGCTTTGGCTGAGCTATTACCAAGTTGACATGGCCTGCATATGCTAGCCAATCTAACATCCAAGCTAGCGACTGTGGGCAGGGAGGGGGGGGTAATAGAAGTTGCTGTCATTTGAGACAAGGAGAAATCACACCATCATCCCAGAAAAAAAAGGCCTGGAGGCTCAGACCCAAACAACTTCTCTGCCCTCCTTTGGTCAAGCACACTCTGACCAGGAGCCTGGAATCTTGAGCTCTCAGAAAGTCCCCAAAGAGAAAATGGGCTGTCAACCAGGTGACTGTTCAAAAAGACCTGGCCTAAATATGAATTGGCTAAATTGCTCTCAAAAGGCCAGAAACCAAGGAGACCGAGTTCCCCCACCCCATTCTCCTATTCCCAAAGGCCCCCAGTTGTCCCCAGGGAAGCAGAGAGGAGCCACTGCACTGAAGCATCTTGTTTTGATTGCACTGAAAATCTTCCCTGCCACATCCCTGACCCTGTGAAGACTAAAAGGAGCTTTCTTGACTCAGTAGGTAGAACAGAGTGCTGAGCAAAGAGCCTGCTCATGGCACTCGAGGGTATGACAGCCAAGAATGCTTTCGTAGCTGTGCTTTGCTGCCTGATTCCATCTGGAATGCACAGGCTTTGTCCCTTTGATCTTTAATATGGCTGCTCAGAGGGGCCAGGAGCTCACATTTGCAGCTAGTTCTGTCTTCATTCTCCACAGAGTCCACCTCCACTCCAAGTTCCTGGACACAATTCAGAAGTTTCACCTTCTTCCCTTTCATCTCACCCACTGCTGAAGGTGGGCCTTCAACTCCAGACCACCAACAACCCTGCCCCCCCCCCCAGAAGACTGGCCCCATCATCTCCCTCAGTCCTGTCCCATCTGGGTGAAGGGAAACTTGCCTCTTCTTTACTCAGGACTGCCTGTGAAGTTTCCCGCATCCCAAATACAAGAGCCAAACATCTAGATGCTTGGAAAGAAGCATCTGGTTAATTGGCTGGGGTTTTTCTGTTTGTTTGTTTTTTGCTTTTCATCCAGATGTTGGTGTAATGTAGACCCTGCATGGAAGTCCTGCGGTCACAGCTAAAAGTTGTGTGTTCTATTATAATTTAGAATAAGTTGCAACAACTGGAAGAAGTGAGAGGCCACTTGTCCTTTAGCAAGGCATTTCTAGCACCATACCCAAGAACAAAACCTGGGGGCTTAGCCTGTTCAAAGAAATTTAGTTGTGGACATGCTGCTCTCTTTATATAAGGGCATTTATACAGAAAAAGAAGTGAAAGCAAAATTCTAGAGTCTTCTTGTAGTGGGCTGAATAGGGGGCCCCAAAGTTAGCAGGTCCTGGTCCCTAGAACCTATAAATATTACCTTATTTGGAAAAAGAATCTTTGAAGATGTGACTAAGTCAAAGATCTTGAAATGGAGAGATCATCCTGGATGATCTAGGTGGGCCCTAATTGTCATCACTATATATATTTGAGAGGGAGGCAGAAAGATATTTGACACCCACTGGAGAGGGGATGGCATGTGAAGATAGAGGCAAAGATTGGAGTGATGTGAACACAAGCCAAGGAATGCTGGCAGCCACCAGAATCTCAGGAGGCATGGAGGGATGCTCCCCTCAGAGCCTCTGGAGGGAGCACAGCCCTGCCAATACCTTGATTTTGGACTTCCAGGTTCCAGAACTGTGAAATAAAAACTGTTTTTAAGCCACCAAGTTTGTGGCAATTTCCTACAGGAGCCACAGGAAACTAATAGACTGCTTATTTCCAGAAGCTACAGCAGACAAGCCTGGAGATGGGAGGAAAAGGAGAGAATAAGTGGACGAATATTCTGTGAGATCTTCTACACACAGAGGTGTTCATTGGTGACTGATGTTTGTATCAGGTTAAAGCGACACTACAGAGCAGTGGGAGAATAGCACCTCCAATAGTGATTCCATTAGAAACCTGGGTGAGGTTGAGAGCTCTTAGTTGGGAGGGGAGTCCTGCCCAAGGAGTATCCAAGACCTGCTTTGACTCAGCCACCCCTCCTTTTTGTGAGTTTCCAGGAAAGATGTGAACATGAGGAAAAATGGCAAAGAGAAAACCAACATACCACTACATAACCATTTAAATGGGTTTGGGCCTGAAACTCCACTGCAGAGCTTCCTGGTTCAGTCCGATGGCTTAAGGGTCTTACCACCTTCTGGCCAGTCATGGAAAACCACAAGATGAGCCCCCACAAACATGTGTGGGTTGGCAAACACACCAGTTTGTTGTCCTTCAAATCTGGTCCACTGGTAAATGTGGCTCTATGTCTAGGATTGTGGCTAATCTAATTAACAACTCATCACCTTGTCAACATAAGAAGGGATGTGGGAATGGAGCCAAGCCCATCCCTCTCCTACAGATAGAAGCAATTTGGGAACAACAATTTCCCCAAGACTGCTGACCAAAGCCTATATTTTGGGACGTGGATGATGAGAGTAAACTACACCTTCTGCCCATTTTAGCTTCCTGCTCTCACCTCCAACAAGAATAAGAGATGTGCCAACTTTCTCTGGGTGCATACTTGCTGCCATGCACTGTTCTGGGTACCAGGATAGAGCATTAAAAGGGCAGATGCAGTCCCTGCTTCCATGAAGGGTCATAAATTCCTTCCTGGGCCTTATAGTTAGCCTTCATCACTCTGAAACACAGTCCAAGGAAGCCCACTCCAAGCTTAGTTCTCTCCCAACAGCCAGTATGCTACAGTGACACTTTCCACCCAGTACCATGCTGGATTGAAAACCTGAGAACTAGGATTCCTGCAAGAATGATGTCTAAAGACTGTGAGACTGAGATACAGTTCTTGAAGACCATAAAGCACTATAAAAATACAAGCATTTTAAAATTGTAATCTATAACCAGTTAAGTCAGAGGATCAGAAAATAGTGTGGTCAAAGTCAAAACCTTGTGGTCTAATTAACTGCATTTGTTCTCATGTAACAGACTGGACTTAAACCCTGGACAGCCGATTAAAGCCACTAGAAACCAGCTGACCCCCATCCATCCTTTTGAGCATTAGCCAATAGCACTAGCTTCCTTTACAGAGGATGGTATGTTTTGTTTGTTTGTTTGACTCATGAAGAAAGAAACAGAAAGAGGACACTTAGCAAGGTCCAGGAAAACCCAAGTCCATGAATAAGCAAGCCATTTATCTAGAGGTGAAGAAACAGGAGGAGGAGGAGGAGAGGATGGAAGAGAAGGAGAAGAGAATGTGCTTGGAGAAAGAGGAGAAGGAGAAAGAAGCAGAAAAATGTGGCCAATCATCCAGATATTTCTAAATACACAAATGTTTGGTATCATGTGGAGATGGGAGCTCCATGAGTGATCATTAAAGAAGAGACTTTCCTCTCTATTTGACAACCATATCCATGAGCAAACACTAAAACTGTAGCTAATGGAAATCAAAACAATTGTTCCAAAAAGATGAAATTTGGGGATTAAGTCTAATTGTCTAATGCTAGTAAAGACAAGTCAATTTTGAGTAGTTCCATGGGAAGTGCCACAGAGCTGGATCCAGGATCTTGATTACCTGGGTGGCATGCATCCACAGCCAAATGTCTTTTTCTCCATGTCCTTCAATCTGAGCTCATCACTGACGCTCAAGAAGCTTTCCACTAGACCACAACACATTAAGAAGGATAACTATTGTTTGGGTCAAAATGAGTGGAAAGTGCACCACAGTAAAAGAAACAATAATAGAGAGAAAAAAAGGAAAGAAAGAAAAGGAAGTGACAGAGATAAAAACAGAGCAGGAACATGTAATTTGAAGAAGAAAGTGGAAACAGGCCACTTTAGAGGTTTGGTTGAACCGAATGAACTGAAGACAAAGGCCAGTAAATCATTCCCATTATCCTTGGCTTCAATCAGGTTAATTATGTCCTTACAGAACGTCCTGTCCAAGAGTTCACTCTGGTATTTCACAATCATTCACTCATTCACTCATTCATTCAACAATTACTTGCAGACCATGCAATGCCCTGGGCTTAGTTCTAAGGATTACAAAGGTGATCACAAACCTGAAGGGAGGATCTTGTAGAGACATGAGACAAATATGTAAATGCCCATAATACTAGAGTGACCTTTCCACACAAAGAGTGGAACTTGTTAAGACACATTTTAAAAAATAAACTTTTAATTTTATAACAGCTTTAGATTAACAGAAAAACTATGAACAGAGTACAGAGTTCTTATATACCTCACACTCAAGTTCTCCAATTTTTAACATCTTACATGAGTATGGTACATTTGTTATTAATGAAACAATATTGATTACTTATTGTTAAGTAAAGTGCCTACTTTGTTCATATTTCATTAGTTTTTACCTAGCGTCTTTTTCCTCTTCCAGAATCCCATCCAGAGTACCACACTGAATTTGATCAAGTCTCCTTGACAGGTGATAATGTGCATTTTTAAAGCAATCTTATTTCTCTCTTACTGTCTTTCCAAACAGGCCTAGTAGACCTGTCATTTCTCTGTCCCCATGAAATATTGAGCTGTTCCCAAAACTTTTTGGATCTCCCTCAGATAATATGTCCTATTCACATACAAATAATATGTACAGAATAGTGTAATAACTGGTCAAAATTGTGGGGCAGGAGTCAGTAGAAGAGTAGACAAAGGTGAATATCATGGAGGCCAAAGAGGAGAGAATCTTAAGAAAAAAGGGGCAATCCAATGCTGAAAGAGACCAGATAGAGGAGGAGGAAAGAAGAACTTGGCAGTCAGGAGTTCACTTAGAATCAAGAAAATCGTGATGCAAAGTGGTGAGAGTGGAAGCCGCAATGGGATAGGTTCAGGAGAGAGTATGTGGTTAGGAGTGAAGGCTACCAGTTCATATTCTTCTCCAGAGAAAGCTGAGTGCTAAATATAAGGAGAAAACTAGGTTGACGACTTAAATGGGCAGCATTTAAAGAAAAGATTTTGGGGTTGAGGTATATGACAGTCAGCATCTAAAACGATCCCAATAATCCTCCTCCCAATGCTCACATCTTTGTTTAATCTCCTCCCCTTGTGTATGGGCCAGACCTAGTGATTCACTTCTAATAAATAGAACATGGCAAAATGAATGAGATGACATGTCTGAGACTGGGTTATGAAAGACCATGACTTTTGTCTGATTGCGCTCTCCTTCTTTCCCCATTTCTCTAATTTTTCTCAGTTTTACTCACTCAGATGAAGCAAGCTGCCATGTTATGAGCTCCCCTAAGGAGAGGCCCATATGGTAAGGAATTGAGAATGACCTTCAGCCAACAACCATCAAAGAAATAAGGCCCTCAGACCAGCAGCCCACAAGGAACTGAGAGCTGCCAGACCACATGAATGTGCTTGGAAGCGGATCCTTCCCTCATTGAGCCTTGACAAGGACAGCCACCACAGCCAGCACTCTGCTGCTGTGAGACACCTGGAAGCAGAGAACTTGGCTTAGCCACATGCTGTCTCCTGACCTATAGAAAACTGAGATAATTAGTGTTGTTTTAAGCCACCAAATTGTAGGATAATTCATTATACAGCAATAGGTAGCTAATACAGAATGATTATTTTTTGTAAGAGAAGTCTGCACATGATTCTAGGCTCACATTTATTGTGCTTAAGAATTACCTTGGAACCTGAAACCTATAATCCAAATCTTTGAATCTGGATAAAGGAACAAGATCCAAAGAATTTTATTTAGCCACTGGGGATAGAGCACTAGCTGTACAGCACTCTTTTGGAAGAGACTAAAGATACTGCATTTTGAAATACCTTAGATAATTCCGTTGCACATGGGGGAGGAAAGTTTGAATGCAGTGAAAAGAAAATACCAAGATATGCAATTCAGAGATGTGGGTCTTGATGTCCAAGAGAAAGAAGGGGCAAGAATCCAGGAACCATGGGGAAGTTGGCCTTAAAGTTTTGGCTTTTTTCTCTGAAACAGGAGGAAAGACTTTTTTAAAGGGTGAAAATACATCAAAACTTTGAAATAGAAGGAAAAGCCTCAGTGTTCTCCAAAAGAAAGACTGAGGCTATCTACAAAGCCTGAGGAAGTGGAGGTATTTGTTCAAGGTTTAAAGAGACAGGAAAAAATAGACTCCTAGAGAAGGCTTAGTGAGCCACTGATAAACTTCAAAATAAAAGTAAATGTATTGAGATTGCCTGAGGATGACTGATGGGCACAATTTGAAAGAAATGAAGAAACTCACTCTACCCACCCTCCTTATTCCACTGGGAATGGAAGAAGGAAAATCTCTGTGGAAGAAGATTGCAAGAACAGTATCCAGGGAAAAGGCAAGTCTGTTGTGGTAAGGAAGCAGAAAAAGGGCTTTAGGGAAAGGTTAAGGGGAATATGTCGTTAATAGAACTGGGGCTCCATGGGCTCAGGTGAAGCATCCCATTGAGGAGCAGCAAGGGTGGGAGTGGGCCTGAACTGGATAGAAAGAGAGGGAAGCAGGACTCACTCACAGGGGAGTAGAAAGCAGTTTTTAATGATTAAGGGATAAAGGAGGCTGAAAGTTGGAGATGCGCTAGAGATTCTTGTTTGTTATGGGAGGACAGAGCAAATACCAATTAAGTTCATTGAATTAACCTGCCCCTAAAATCTAAGTTAAATAAGTTAAATATTGATCCATTATCCACATCAACATCTCCAGGTCCTCTAAGATGATGTGCAAGACAAGGGCTGGCAGCAGAAGTCTCTTATAAGTCTCCCTTTGAGAGGTGGTCCTACAGTGAAGTTCAGGTCTCAGGAAAACAGTGGTACACATCCATACTCAAGGTGTTGAAAGGCCTGTATTTCTTTAAAATTTCTCTTCATCTTGTGTAGCAATTTGCCTTGTGTCTAACTTGGCATGGAGGAAAGATGATCCATTGGCTAGGGGTTAGAGGGCCTGAGAGTCCTAGTCCTAGCTCCACTCCTGATACACTAGATGACCTTAAAAAGCCATTAACTTTCCTGATACCATTTGTAAAGTGAGGGGCCTGAACCAGATGTTCCCTTAAGTCCCTTCCAGCACCAACATACTAAAAGCCTGAAAACACAAAACACTAAACCACGTCTAGGGATCATCTGGTCTAGTTCTTGGAAATTTAGTTTTTAAAAAAAAAAAAAAAAAAAAAAAAAAAAAAAAAAAAAGGAGAGAATTCCAGCTCCTATCTGTAACCTTCTGGAGACTTACTACCCATTGATAGAATTCCCTGTGGGAAATGTTTTGAAATAGTGGATAGTCTATAAAACGAAATTCTGGGGATTAATCTGCAATGAGGGCTGAAAATTTTCTGAGTGATTTTTCCCAAATGTATGAGAAATCTTTATCTAATTGAATGTGGAGCGTATTCTTTTCTGAAGCATCTTGTTTGCATTCTCAAAGCAGGGTTTGGTAGGAAAAAGAGCTTAGGCCAGATATTTTGCCACTTACTCATCAAGTTATTAGGGAAGATGCGCTGACAGCAACTAGTGAGTCACGTCGAGGTCATGTCATGTCTAAGTTTCAAACTATCTCCAAGTATTGCCACACACACATTCGCATATACCTCACCACCAGCACCATGAAACAGATTGTGAAAGAACTTCAGCCGCATCCATGAAGTGAAAGTGGGACTTTCTCCTGACCTCCACATCCCTGAGGAATCCGCTCTCACCACTGCGTACTTCTCTGATGGGAATCCTTGAGGTCATTTGGTCCCATCTTATACCTCGTAAACTCAGTATAACCTAACAGAAATGTCTCAACCTGTATCCCCAAACTTTACGTGAAAGAGACAGGGTAAAAAAAGACATGGAAACTTCCTTTGATTTCCAAATGCAGGAATTTTTATTACCCTGGAAAGGCACTTGGGGACTCTGAGTATTTTTATTTTTTCACAATGGCATTACCAGTAAAAATAAGAACACCTCCTACAGTGGTGCACTGTATATTTTCAATATTTTATATTTTTTAATCATTCAACATATATTGACAACTATGGTAGGTGGTAAGAGGGTATTCGGCGTCTATAAATTATCTATAATATAATGAAATAAATTATATAATTATGGTATATAAAAGGAGGATGTAATTAATTCTGCCTCGGGGTAGGGAAGTTGAGGAAGGTGAGTCTTAAATGATGAGTAAGAGTTGGAAGATGAGTAAGAACTAGCCAGAGGGTGAATGAGATTTGAAGGGCATTCAAGACTAAAGGGACAGGAAAATAAAAGGCAGATATGTGAGAGTTTATGAGGCATACTGGAGACCTACTAGCAGTCTATATGTGGCTAAAGCATAGTGTTCAATGCTAAAGGGGAGAGAATGGAGAGGTGGACGGGTAGATTTGGGCCTGCTTGTAAAGGCCTTAACCAACATACTGAGGACTACAGCTTTCATTCTTTAGGCAACAGGGAGGCAAAGATGACTGTGATCATGATCCAGTCTGTATTTTAGGAAGGTAATTCTGCTAGCAATGAAGAGAATGGATAAAGAGGGAGAGAAAGAAGGCAGAAAGAGGTCAAGATCTATTGCAATGGCTCAGGAGAAAAATGGCATATGTAAAAAAGATCATATTTTGCCATCATTATTTGTTTTTGTCTCCTTCTTTACCCCTCACACAGAGTTAAGTTTCTTGCACCCAAGTATCATGTCCTGTTCACCTTTGTATCCTAGCACAGAGCAGATTGCCTGTGCTACATAGTATAGGCATGCAATAAACACCATTCATAGGTGAATGCACAAAATGAGACATAAAAAGGGTAGTAGCAGTAGGGATATAAAGAAAGGGTAGATTCAAGAAATATTTTCTGAATTAGATTCTAAAGAATTTGGTCTAAGTAAAAGGGAAAATTCCAAAGTTCTGTATTGGGCAACTAAAATACAAGCATGGATCTTCAAAAACAGTTTTAATTTTCTTGGTTATTTTTTCGTTGAAAATAAAGTTTTCAACACTTTTTTCTTGCATTTAAAAATGCAAGAGTGGGAGCAGGTAAAGAAAGAAAGATAACAAGTTGAGTTAGGAAGATGTTGATTTTGAGGTGTCCATGAGCCAGGGTCCTAAAGTCCAGTGGGCAGCTGGAACTCTAAGTCAGGAGCTGCTAGGAGTTCACTGGCTGATTTTCACTTACGACCATTCATCGAGGCAGTTGAACCAAATTGTCCAGAATCCAGTTTTTTGTTGTTGTTGTTGTTAACATGGGCTGAAAAGTTTATTTCCAAAGAAAAAAGTAAACAAGAAAATTAAAACTGTTTTTAAAGATTCCTGCTTCATCACTGCTGAAACCAAAACAAAGACAAGAGAAGGAGCCAGGGATCAACCTCTGTATCTGAAGATGTCATAGTGAATTTCTCAGATCTTCAGACTCTCAATGGAAAGGTTCCCATGAGCACCATTAGTTGTCCAAGCATTAGTAAGCTGACTTACTTCAGAATGTAAAATATTCTAACAGGAAATTCTAACAGGAAACTCCAACATTCTTCCCTTTGTTTTCTTCCCATGCATTGCCACTGAGACCTCTCAGGCAGAGATGCTTTGTTGAAGGCATGCAACATGATGGGAGCCTGAGGCCATATGGTACCTGGAAAGAACACTGGAGAAAATTAAAAGAACTGGTTTTATTCCTGTCTCAACTATTAATTGGCCATGGTGACCTTGGACAAGTCACTTTACCCTTCTGAATCACAGCTTCCTCATCTGTAATATGAGATCAGTTTAGGTTTCTCTCTCTCTCTCTTTCTGTGTGTGTGTATGTGTGTGTGTGTGTGTGTGAGTGTGTTCTTAAACACTTAGCACTGACCTAGATTTTTCCTTATGTGTTTATCATCAACTCCTCCCAAGGCCACTAGAGTTTTGCAGGTCTGGTTCACACTACCTCAGGGACTCTAGATGGAACCAGATGACCATCCATTGAAAGAAGCAGTATATGCCAAGGCATCTCTCCTTTATATGTTTTTTCTTGGTGGGTCAAATGACTCACCATTTAATAATCTAAAAATGTCTACTTTCTACTATATCTACGGATACAAATTTTAGTGCCTGGAAATGGGGTGCTAGCACAACAAAAATCTAAAATGTAGGATTGGCATTTGAACCAGACAGTGAGCAGAAGATGGAATGGCTATACGGACTTTAAGGAAAACATTAATGAAATCCTAAATTGCCTCGAACACGCGGTTAGTAAAATTAGACTTTAAAGAGGTTGTTTGTGAGGTCTTAAAAAAAAAAAAAAAAGGAAAATCTTGGAAATTTGAAGACAGGAGCTCCTTGTTATGCCATGGCAGAAAGTTTAGCAGCACTGTCTCCTGCAGTAATGTGAAAGGTAGAAAATTTAGCTAAGATTTCCAGCCAGAGTGTTGAGGGTGCCATCTGGTTTCTTGTGGCTGCTTATATTAATATGTGAAAGGAGAGAGAGAAGCTAAGGAAAGCACTATTAAACCAAAAGAAGATGGGATCTGGCTGGTTGTGAAGATTCAAAGGCTCTCCAGATGGCAGACAATACTAAAATTAAGAAATTGCTCCCAAGCAAAGGTCAAATCCAGGACACCCTCTAGAAACAATGTTCTAAAGATGAAGCCAAGGGTGTAACTATAAAATCCTTTTTTAGAAGCTTTTTTAAGTTAAAAGGTGGTTTTTCAGAATATGTTAACTCAGACAAAATACCTGCTAAAGACTTTAAATTTTGCTTCACAGCACCTATATATAAAATAATAAGGGTTCTAAAAAGCTTAAGTTCCTCACCCTTCTCAAAAGAAGATTTACGTGGAGAGGATTTATCTCAAAGATATCTGTAGGTGTAAATTTGTCTAATGAAGCAAACCCCAGTGAGATTCACAGGAGGACCACAGAGATTTTGAGAGACTTATATCACCGGGTATACTCATGACACAGATTGAAAGTGACAGAGATGGTATAAAATGAAAAGAAACTTTTGAATCCTCCAACTTCCATAAGCGAGAAATAGGCTGAAAATAAAATCAGTCAGCTGCAAATACATTACACCTTTCATGAATAATGAAAGGAAGGATGATTCAAAAGGGAACCAAGAATCTAGAGAACAATACCAAGAACTATAGAGTAATTTTCAGGCAGAAGTAGGATTGAGTTCTAATAGAACTTACAACATTTATCTGGATTTCAGAACTGATATGAACCAGTGATTCTTTTGTGCCTCAGTTTCTCCCTTTTTAAACAGGAGTGTCTATGTTGGCTGTCCTCTACCTATGGCACCATTGTATGTTGGGTGTGCAGGGGACAGATAACTTGTTTCCTAAGTTCATTGGTCTACAAACTGAGAAGAACTGTACTCATGGAGTTGTGCTGAGGGAACTATGTCTGAGGACCTGGACCTGATTTAGAAGACGAAATTCTGAACTCTGAGCTGATTTTGTAACGGGATAAATTTTTTTTGGGTCTGGGGATGGGACGAGTACATTTTGCATGTGGGAGAGATATGAGTTATTGGGGGCTGGAGAACAGACTATGGTAGCTGGACTCCAGGATATTCCAGGATGGTTCCCACTTCCAGGCATTCACATCCTTTTGTGGCCCTCTTCCATATTGTACCAAAGTTTGTCTGGCTAAGTATAGGGTAGGTATGATAGCATATCATTTCTGAGATTAGGTTATGCAACTTCTGCCTTGGGTACTCTATCTTCCTCTCTCTTTCTCAGATCATTTACTCCAGGGAAGTCCAGCTGCCATGTCACGTGTAGTCTTATGCAGATGACTACATGATAAGGAACTACAGCCTCCTGCCAACAGCCATGTGAGTGACCTTGAAAGAATATTCTGTAGCCCCTGTTGAATCTGTGATTCAACTGCAGCCTTGGCCAACAGTTGACTGCCACTCATGAGAGAGTTTGAGCCAGCTAAGTCATTCCTGGATTTCTGACCCACAGAAACTGTGAGATTATAAATAGTTGTATTTTTTTAAGCTGCTAAGTTTTGAGGTAATTTGTTACACAGCAGTAGATAACAAATTAATAAATAAGCTCAAAATATTTTTAAAATATGTTGTATTTTTAGTTCTAGCAAAACAAATGGAAAATGAAATCATAAGTATTATTGATAATGGCATCAAAAACATAACACATTCAAAGATAAATTTGAAGCCACATGTGGAAGAGTCCCATATAAAAAACTATTGTACATTACTGAAAGAAAGTAATGAAGTTTTAAATAAATACAGAAGTATACCATGTTCATGGTTTAAAAGACTCAATATTTTGTCAGTTTCCTTAGATTGACCTGTATATTTAACACAATCTCAATGAAAATCCTCAAAGACATTTTTTTTTTAGAAATTGACAAGCTGATTCTAAAATCTATATGGAAACATTAATAATCAAAACAATCTTCGAAAAAACAAACTCTGAGAACTTACTCTACATGACTTCAAGACTTATTATAAACCCACTGTGATTAAGACAGTGTTGTAGCATAAAGATAAACAGATAGTCAACTAGATCAATAGAATAAGCAGAGTCCAAAAATAGACCCATGTTATATGGTCAATTAATATTTTACCAATGTGCCAAAACAGATGAATGAGGAAAGGGAAATCTTTTTAACAAATGGTGCTAGAAAGATCGCCTACTATAGCTGAAAAAAAGAACCTCAACCCATACATAAAATGGATTATAGATGGATTACATAACTAAATGCAAAAGCTAAAACTATAAAGCTTTTGGAAGACAACATAGGAGAAAAGCTTTGCAATCTTTGGTTAGATAACTAAAAAAAGATAGGACTCAGAAAGTAGTAATTATAAAAGACAAAACTTGATAAATTAATTATAGCAAAATTTAAAAACTTCTGCTCATCAAAAGGCACTATGAAAAAAATGAAAAGCAAGACAGACTGAAAGGAAATATTCACAACTTCTGACAAAGGACATGTTAAGAATATATTTTTGATACACTTGCAACTCAACAATAAAAATATAAACAATCCATTTTTCTTTAAATGGGCAAAAGATTTGAATATATACTTGACAAATGATGATCTGTAAATGATTAGTAAGTACATGAAAAGATACTCAAGATCATTAGCCATCAGAGAAACAAAATTAAAACCATGATAAGATATCAACACGTCCACTGGAATGACTAAAATTAAAAACAATTACAATACCAAATATTGGTGAGGATATGTAACAAATAAACTTCAAATATTGCTGGTGGGAATGTCAAATGGTATATTCACTTTGGAAATACATATGGTAGTTTCTGATAAAGTTAAATATACACCTACCTATGACCCAGCTATTCCATCTCTAGGTGTTTTCCCACAAGAAGTGAAAACATATGTCCACACAAAGACTTATACGAGAATGTTCAGTGAAGCTTTATTTCTAATAGCCAAAAACTAGAAACAATCCATATTTTCATCAATAGGAGAATGTAAAAACAAATTGTAGGACATCTATGCAACTGAACACTACTAAGCAAAATACAAGATAGAACTACTGATACATACAATAATATAGGTGAACCTCAAGATTTATGCTGAATTGAAGAAGCCAGACACAACAGAGTCCATACTGCATGATTTCACTTCTATGACATTTTGAATGGCAAAACTAATCTATAGTGAAAGAAATAAGAACATAGAACAGTGGTTACCTCTGAGGAGGGAGGGAGGAGGGATTGACTCAAAGAAAGAGAAGAAATCTTTCAGGGGTCATGAAAATTTATATATCTTACACATATCTAGTATACATAAATGTACACTATTGTCAAAATCCCATCAAACTGCATACTTAAGATCTATGCATTTTACTGTTTACAAATTAAACCTCAATTTAAAAGGGGGTGCCATTTATGAAACCATTAAAAATATTAGATACCCCGAAATTATTCTAATAAAAAATGGGCAAGCCTTTCACAGAGAAAGATATAAATCATCATTGCGATCAATTGAAGAAGACCTAAATAAATGGAATAATAATCCATGTTCGATGGCTTGGAAAAACAAATATTGTAAAGTTATCAGTCTCTGCAACTGATCTGTAAATTCGACATAGTTCCAATAAAAATTTCAGTAGAATTTTTTTTTTTTTCTGGAGACAGAGTCTTGCTCTTGTTGCCCAGGCTGGAGTGCAATGGCACAATCTTGGCTCACTGCAACCTCTGCCTCCTGAGTCCTGTCTCAGCCTCCTGAGTAACTGGGATTACAGGCACCTGCCACCAAACCCAGCTAATTTTTGTATTTTTAGTAGAGACAGGGTTTCGCCATGTTGGCCAGGCTGGTCTCGAACTCCTGACCACCTGATCCGCCCACCTCAGCCTCCCAAAGTGCTGGGATTACAGGCGTGAGCCACTGCGCCCAGCCTCAGTAGGAATTTTTTTGGTGGAACTTAACAAGCTAATTTTAAAACATGTATGGAAATACAAAAACCAAGGATAACAAAGACGCTTGACAAAGACAAACAAATGGGGAAAATTTTTCCTCAAATATCAAATGCACTATAAAACCACAAAAATTAAGAGTAGTATTTGTGCAAGCATAAACAAACAAGACAAATGGAATAAAATAGCACTTCCAAAACCCCCACATCTAGGAACACTTGATTTGTGACAAAGATGGCAGTGCAATGTACTGGAAAAAATATGATATTTTTAATAACTGGTACTGAGTTGACTGGATATCCACATGGAAAAAAATAAACTTAACTCTTATCTCACACCATATAAAGAAATCAATTCCAAGAAGAATATAACTTTAAACACGAAAAGCAAAATAAAGATTCTAAATATTAATATAATAATATTTTCATGACTGTGAGGAAGAATGTACTTCTTAAACAGGAGGAAAACAAGCATCAACCATAAAGAAAAAGATTGATAAAATCCACTAAAATCTAAAACTTAAAGTGGAAGAAAGTATTAGCAATTTATGTAACTGACTAAGGGTTTACATTCAGAATTTAAAAAATAGCCCAATAGATAAGTGCGCATGAAATTTGAACAGGCACTTTACAAACTTCTATGGTTTGAGGGTATGTCCCCCACTTAAAATTCATATATCGGAACCTAAGATGAAATGTGATAGTATTAAGAGACGGGATCTTAGAAGGTGATTAAATCATGAGGGCTCTGCCTTCATGGATGGGATTAGTACCCTCATAAAAGATTCAAGGGAACTAGTTAGACTCTTTTGCCCATCTCTCCCTTCCACCATATGAGGACACAGCAACAAGGCACCATTTTTGGAAGCAAAGAATGAGCCTTTACCAGACGTGAAATCTGCCAGTGTCTTGATCTTGGAATTTCCAGCCTCCAGAATTATGAGGAATAAATTCCTATTATTTATAAATCATTCAATCTAAGGTATTCCTGTTATAGCAGCAAGAATGAACTAAGACACAAAGGATAATACCCAAATGACTAATAAATAGGAAAAGTTGTTCAACCTCATTAGTCATTATGGAAATGTAAAATAAAACCACAATGAGATAGTAGCTCTACATTTCTACCAGCATGGCCAAAATTTAAAAGACTACAAATAATTAGCAATGACAAGCATTTGGAGAAACAGAATTTCTCATACACTGTTGCATAAATTGGTACAGCCACTTTGGAAAATACTTTGGCATTAAGTATTATAGATGAAAGTGCTCATATCCTGTAACCAAGCCACATACTCAACAGAAATGCATGCATAGGAGTATCAAGAGACATGGTCAAGAATATTCAATAGTGGCTTTATTTATAATACCTAAAACTGAAAACAACCTAAGTGCCCATCAAGAGTAAAATGTATAAAGTATGATGTATATGTACGATGGGATATTATACAACAATGAAAATGTGTAAACTACAAGTATTTTTAACAACACAAATGAGTGACTTGAAAACAGACACAAAAGAAAAAAATACTGTATGGTTCTAGTCAGATAAAGTTCAAAACCAGGCAAAACTAAACTGTAGCATTAAAAGTCAAGTAATGGTTGACACTGAGGAAAGTTCTAGTGTGAAGATAGAGGACTGGGCATGAGAGAGGTTTCTGGGGTGGTGACTGTTCTCTTTCTTCACCTTGGTGGAGGTTGTGCAGATACTTGTTTTAATTTATTGAGCACATTTAATTCTTGTGATATATATTTTTTCTATATGTGTATTATAGTTCTTTTTAAAAGTTACAAATAAATTAACTTATTAAATAGTGCCTGGCATGCCACAAGTACTCAGAATAAAGTTCCAACTGTTATTTTCTCAGCACTCCTCTCACCCCTGAGCACACAGAACAGACTTTCTTCTCCCAGAGGGCTCTCCAAGGAAAATACAAGCTATCACAGGCAAATGGGTTGACCCTCCCTCTCCCTCTCCCTCTCCCCCTTCCCCTGCCCTCCCCTCCCCCTCCCTTTCCCCCTCCCCTACCCCTCCCCCTCCATCTCCCTCTCCCTTTCCCTCCAAAGTTACAGGTAATAGAAGGGAGCCAGAAGCAGTTCTTCATTGCTACACCAGACCCAGAATAAGGGTAGACTCTTGTGATCATCCTCCCTTTCTCAAGAGCTGGAGACCAGATCCTACTGAAGAGTCCAGGCTCTACCATGTATGAACAAGGGTAACTTTGGAAAAATTATTAAAACTTTCCAGGCCTCAGAATAATTATATTACTTCCTAGGGTCATTGCATGGATTCAATGAGGAAACTAAATGAGATGATTTTATGAAAGTGCCCATCCCAGGGTAGCTTCTTTATAAACCTAGCATCTTCTGTCCCTCTCCAATGTTCTCCAAGGAAGCTCAGGCATCCAAAAGTATTTTCCTGGGACCAGAATGCACCTGGAAAATTAGGGTTTCAAATATTCTGTTCCTTCACTGTACTATGTTCCTCACTTTTGGTTTAGAAAATATGACCCGCCTTTACTCAAAGTTGCATACTTTCTAGAGAAAGAAAACCTTTGGCGCATGTCCACACCATCTCCTCCCCTGCACTGAGGATTTCCACAAAGACCCGACCCTTTCCCTTCCTGGCACCCACAGACTAGTTTATGGATTTAGGTTTCTTTCCTTGGGGAAGAGAGGCAGTCCTTGCTCCCCCTGACACTTTATAAGAAATGTTGTCTGTATATTGCCATGTACATCTCTTTAGTGCAAATACCTAGTTTTTCAAGACTGTCCACAAACCACAGAGATAAGTGAACCATTGATGAGAACCAAAATGGTGTCTCGTTCCAGCCATTGTAGACTTTATTCTCCCATACGCAAAGGGTGTCAGAGAGTGGGTCCTTATCTCCTTTGTATTTCATCTCTGCACTTTGCTATACCATTGGCCTGTCTTTGTATACCACTGGTCATATTGGTTCTATGTAGTAGCAGAGCCAATGAGTGGATATCACAGGATACTCACAGGTGCCAGCATCCCTCCTTCTTTCATCTCACATAGGAGTTTGCCTTTAATGTTTAATTTTTTCTCATCATTTATACCACTCTCTGCCAGATTTTCCTCCACCGTCCTTTCTCTCTCTTGTGCATACACACACACGTGCCCTCCCAATATGTCACCTCCTAAGCTTTGTGCAGGCCGGATGTGTGCCTAATAACTGCTTCTTCACCTCTGTCCTCCATCTTCCTCACTGCCTGGTGCCTTAGCAATACCTTCACAGATACCCCTTCCCCTCCTTCTCCCTCACAACATCACCAAAGGAGAGGTAGTTTTACCAAGACCTTAATTTTATATTGGCAATTTTGTATTTTTTCCTAAAACATACCCCCCAAACTGTATAAGCGTCAGGCTCTTAAAAACAACCTGCACCTTCCTCCACTTAATAGTAAAACAAACTGAAGGGTTTGGGCACACAGAGAAAATATACAGAATAATGTAGAGCATAATTGGCTACTGCTGAGTTTGTGCCTCTTTTCAAGACTCAGAAACCATAAAGTGACCTTTCTTACTTTGTTTACAAGAATCTACATGACCCTCACTGACTTCTGCAAGGATTGTTTTTATCTGAAGGAGCTCTAAGCACACTAAATTACATGATCAGTCACTGCTGCTTCTCATCCCAGGAACTGGCTCAAGCTTCTCCAGGTCAAGCCACTTGGCACACAGCAGTTATGCTCCCTTGACTCAGCCGTGGGACTACAGGGAGCCATGCCAGGCAAGTCTCTTCACGTCTCTGAGCAGCAGTGCCAGATTTAGCATAAATATAGTGATCCCATAGGAGGTAGCCTTCACTATGACTGTCCTAAACTCTCTAGAAACAACATCTTGGGGAATTACACCCTAGGGCAACCATGAAGAGGCCTTAACATGCCTCTGATCCACAACTTTATAAATTGGTGCAACTGATTTGAAGGATAGCTTAGCAGTAACACTAACAGTAAAGTTGAAGATGCATATTTCCTGTCAGCCATCAATTCCTCTTCTAGAAGTGCTCTTGCACAGTACACAGGTACAACTGTGTTTAATGCAGCATTATCTGTAACACCAAAAAGAAAGGAAAAAAATCTGGAAGAACCTAAATATCCATCAATATAAGCATAGATGAATAAATTATGATATAGTCACACAAAGAGCAGTTGTTATGATGAATGAACCAGATCTAATTTATTAGCATAGATAAATCTCAAAAATACAGTTAAGTAAAACAAAAAGTGGCAAAGGGTATATTTTACACCATAAAATGCTATTCATACACATTTCAGCATACAAGACAATGCATATCATTTATAAATGTGAAACAAAATTATGGAAAAGTGACCTACTACAAGGAAATGGTTACCTCTAAGAAGGAAGGAGGATGGGATTTAGAGGAGACAGCTATAGCTGAATCTCTCACATTTTGTTTCTCTAAATAAGTATCTGAAATAAATATGGTAAAATATTAACAATTGCTTGAACCTAGTGGTGGGAACATTGAGTGTCCATTACATTATTGTTTCCTTTTCTATGTCCAAAATATTTCCTAACTTTAAAAAAATGAATGTGAATTATCTCTCTTGAAACATGCTCCAAGCTCCTGTTTCCCTCACAAAGGATAAATTGTCTAATTCTGCTAGATGTGCCTTCTTCTTCAAGATGCAAATGGAAATTTATGATAAACAAAAGTTGGCAGTAAGGTCACCAACTCATCTTGGCCAGTTGCTGACACAGAAGCATCTCTGACTTTCAGCAGATCCCCTTCCATCCTGCTCTAGCCCTGGGAAGCTGACCTGTGAGGACAACAGGATTCTTGCCTCTGGCTAAACTGGGTCTGGCAAGTTGGAAGCAGAGGCAGAGATGACATGACAAGAAGAGAGGAAAAAACAGGGTGTTTCTTTGCTGATTTCCTCCCTGCTGGATTGCAGGTTACAAATGGAAGCATTTCTCTACTGAGGGCCGCAACTCCTAAGTGTAGGCCTCTCTTCGGTTCTCCTATGGCTCTCTCCAGGAAGCAGTAATTTCTCTTTCATCTTGCTTCTTCAGGCCCTGGGGTGAGCAATATCTCCCTGCTGTTGAAACAGGTGTTTCAACATCGCTTGCTAGTTTCCCTTCATTATGACCACATATTTATAAATGATGCCCTCATTAAACTCTCCTTTATTTCCCCAACTTGAGTATGCCATGTGTTTCCTACTGGTACCCTGACATCACAAATGAAGTATGTGAAGTACTACGAATACAAGTACTCCAAGAAATCAGAGAAAGTTGCAGAGATGAAGTTCATACCTGAGCAAAACCTGGGAAGATGAGTAGAAGTTTGTCAGCTGGTCAAAGGGATATGGTGGGAGAGAGGGCATAACAATAGTGGCAAGACTGAGGGAAGAGTTTCAATAAAGGCTTGTGTACTAGGTTGACCAGATGAAACTGCTAGTATCAGACCATTTTTGTCCTGCAAAATAAAGGCAATTTAATATGGTTCAACCTAATACTACAGTTCACACCATGGTGACCTTAAATGGGAAGGGAGCCTATAGGAATGGAAATAATCAAAATGACCCTGACCTTACAGGATGGATATCAGGAAGAATAGAGATAGCATTAATTTGAAGAAGAGGGTAATCCACTTTGCAGAGAGAGATCGAAATGTGTCTTCTATGTTTTATTTCTATTCAAACAGAGCTGCAGATCTGTTTCTGTTCCCCTTATATCTGAATCTTCAATCTAGTTCCTACAAAGAAGGAAAATGCATACAAATTTCCACATCTTGAACCATAGCTCTTAGAGTTAGACAGGTCCTTCATAGTCTACACTCTCATTTCAAAGATTAAACATAATGAGACACAGGGGTTAAGAGTCTTGTCCACTATCACACAACTGTGTGATCTTCCAATTGGATATCTTGATAATGAAAAACTTCAAAGGGAATGAGTTTGGGAGAGCACCAATAACAGAGTTCTATGAAGAGTGGGCGAAGTTCAAGTCCTGATAGAGAAGAGTCAAACCCTGCGAGGCAAAAGCTGATAGAGGTGAAGGAAAGAAAAAGTTGCATGGAGAGAGAGAATGCTGAGAGAAAATTAACTTGGCTGGAAGAGCAAAGAATGCATATGAATGATTTCCTTCTATTAATCTTATCCCGGGACCAAAATTAACTTTTCCTAGACTTGTTAGTGATAAAATTTATTATCCTTGATGACAATAACTCTTCCCAGGTTTGGGAAGAATTAAAAGACATATGATTTATTTTTCCTGAGATGATTTCCAGACCCCTAGTGCTGCTCCTCAAAAGTAATATTTTGGCATTTAATGAGCCAGGGAAGTTAGGCCATGTACTCAACATTAGCCAATTTAAAATAAGACTCTAAGTAATATTTAAAGTTGGAGTTGTTTTGATCTCATGATTTCTCTTACGACAGTTGAGTTAATACATACTCTGGAGCCAGATTTCCAGAAGTCTGTGTTCAGAATGACAGTAGCCTCTCTGTGTCTCAGTTTGGTGACCTTAACTAACCATGTCCCAGGATGTATCTGATAGACTTGCATAGTGTATTGCCTGGGCCTTTCAAAGCACTGTTTAGAGCATTATAAACAAGGATTATAGTAGAACTTTAGGAGTTGAAAGTCAAGAATAAGGTGAACTCTTACAGGAGCACAGGGGTGGTGACTAAGTACTGCTCCAGGTTAGGGACCTTACATACACACCTTTCTTGGTGGCTAGCCATAATCATCAACATCACTCCCAAGAATAGTGATGCAGATTAAAGTCTTGCAGGAGCATATCACTTGTGCATCTGTCTGTTAGCTCAATATGAACTGGCATGCCTATTGTCATGTTTACTAACTCAAGGACTCAAATTTTCAGGCAAGTTATTGACTTGCTTATTTCAGAACTAAATTTTTGATCATCACCCCAATTCTAAGCCTATAGGCAGAACTGGAAAATGACAAAAAGTCAGCAAAATGATCAAAGAATTGTCCCTCTAGGAAGGACCTTGGTGATGATCTAGTGTTTAATTATCGCTCTACAAATGAGAACACTGTTGTCCAGAGATAGTGAATAACTTGCCCACGGTCTGGTACCTAAAATGCACAGGGTTGCACTTGGCTGCAATTCTACCACTGATGAGCAATGACTCCCAGATCCTCCTTCAGCACATAGCCCACTATCCCATACTGGCTGGAAAGTTCTTTTCTGTCCTCTTCTTTTGTACTAATCTCTCCCTTCCCTTTGTTCAGTTCTTTCTATTTTGTGACTTTGTATTTGTCATCCTGAAAGAGATCATATGCATCTCAGTTGGTGTAATATAGGACACACTTATCAAAAGCCTACAAGTGCCAGACCTTGTGCACATGCTAAGCACTTAGTTAACATTTATTAAACTGGACTATATATGAGGAGCTATTCAGAATATGAGAGAAGTGAGAATGTGGGGCAGGGCAATGGGAAATATGGCCATGGTAGTACACTGTTATGAAGTAAGCTGGTCTCAAAAGAGAATTGTGGTAGTGGTGACAGGAATGAAAATCATAAGAAGGTTGTGAAATGCATTTCAGAGTAAAATTGGATGTCAGGAAAGAAAAAAGAGGAGAAATGATAAGAACATTTTATTTTGCACATTTCAAATGTGAGATACCAAATGGATGTGCAATTGGAAAAGTTCAACAAACAGTGAAATGCACAGCGGGGACTCAGGCAGGAGGTCGAGGTCCGAAGTCCGTAGAGAGAGGGTGGCTTAAACTGTGAAGGTAGGGTTTACCCTGCTGGAAGTTAGCATAACTTTCTGCTAAAACTCTTCTACTGCTTTGGAATATTTTAACTAGACCAAAGACTGACAAAGATAGTGAAGTTTTTTTTAAGTAAATAGGACAAGAACAGCCCACACCGGAGGAAGTCCAGCCTCCTTGCCCTCTTGCTCAGACAGCATTCTTCCCATCCACCATTCCAAATGCTTCATCTCCTCCAGGAAGCCCTTTTGTTTTGATAAGATAAGAAACACTAGCTTACCTGACTCTTTTCCTAGATTTGGCCATATCAGTCATCCCCATGTTTCTATTAGTGGCATACAGAAGCACTTCATGATGATTTTATTTTCTTCTTCTGTCTTTTTTTTATTTGTATAAATTTATGGGGTATGAGTATAATTTTGTTTACATCCATAGACTGCATATGGTGAAGTCAGGGCTTTTAGGGTATCCATCACCCAAATAATGTACCCTGTCCCCATAAGTAATTTTTTTTTATTAACTTTAAGTTTTAGGGTACATGTGCACATTGTGCAGGTTAGTTACATATGTATACATGTGCCATGCTGGTGCGCTGCACCCACTAACTCGTCATCTAGCATTAGGTATATCTCCCGATGCTATCCCTCCCCCCTCCCCCCACCCCACAACAGTCCCCAGAGTGTGATATTCCCCTTCCTGTGTCCATGTGATCTCATTGTTCAATTCCCACCTATGAGTGAGAATATGCGGTGTTTGGTTTTTTGTTCTTGCGATAGTTTACTGAGAATGATGATTTCCAATTTCATCCATGTCCCTACAAAGGACATGAACTCATCATTTTTTATGGCTGCATAGTATTCCATGGTGTATATGTGCCACATTTTCTTGATCCAGTCTATCATTGTTGGACATTTGGGTTGGTTCCAAATCTTTGCTATTGTGAATAATGCCACAATAAACATACGTGTGCATGTGTCTTTATAGCAGCATGATTTATAGTCCTTTGGGTATATACCCAGTAATGGGATGGCTGGGTCAAATGGTATTTCTAGTTCTAGATCCCTGAGGAATCGCCACACTGACTTCCACAATGGTTGAACTAGTTTACAGTCCCACCAACAGTGTAAAAGTGTTCCTATTTCTCCACATCCTCTCCAGCACCTGTTGTTTCCTGACTTTTTAATGATCGCCATTCTAACTGGTGTGAGATGGTATCTCATTGTGGTTTTGATTTGCATTTCTCTGATGGCCAGTGATGATGAGCATTTTTTCATGTGTTTTTTGGCTGCATAAATGTCTTCTTTTGAGAAGTGTCTGTTCATGTCCTTCGCCCACTTTTTGATGGGGTTGTTTGTTTTTTTCTTGTAAATTTGTTTGAGTTAATTGTAGATTCTGGATATTAGCCCTTTGTCAGATGAGTAGGTTGCGAAAATTTTCTCCCATTTTGTAGGTTGCCTGTTCACTCTGATGGTAGTTTCTTTTGCTGTGCAGAAGCTCTTTAGTTTAATTAGATCCCATTTGTCAATTTTGGCTTTTGTTGCCATTGCTTTTGGTGTTTTAGACATGAAGTCCTTGCCCATGCCTATGTCCTGAATGGTAATGCCTAGGTTTTCTTCTAGGGTTTTTATGGTTTTAGGTCTAACGTTTAAGTCTTTAATCCATCTTGAATTGATTTTTGTATAAGGTGTAAGGAAGGGATCCAGTTTCAGCTTTCTACATATGGCTAGCCAGTTTTCCTAGCACCATTTATTAAATAGGGAATCCTTTCCCCATTGCTTGTTTTTCTCAGGTTTGTCAAAGATCAGATAGTTGTAGATATGCGGCGTTATTTCTGAGGGCTCTGTTCTGTTCCATTGATCTATATCTCTGTTTTGGTACCAGTACCATGCTGTTTTGGTTACTGTAGCCTTGTAGTATAGTTTGAAGTCAGGTAGTGTGATGCCTCCAGCTTTGTTCTTTTGGCTTAGGATTGACTTGGCAATGCGGGCTCTTTTTTGGTTCCATATGAACTTTAAAGTAGTTTTTTCCAATTCTGTGAAGAAAGTCATTGGTAGCTTGATGGGGATGGCATTGAATCTGTAAATTACCTTGGGCAGTCTGGCCATTTTCACGATATTGATTCTTCCTACCCATGAGCATGGAATGTTCTTCCATTTGTTTGTCTCCTCTTTTATTTCCTTGAGCAGTGTTTTGTAGTTCTCCTTGAAGAGGTCCTTTGCATCCCTTGTAAGTTGGATTCCTAGGTATTTTATTCTCTTTGAAGCAATTGTGAATGGGAGTTCACTCATGATTTGGCTCTCTGTTTGTCTGTTGTTGGTGTATAAGAATGCTTGTGATTTTTGTACATTGATTTTGTATCCTGAGACTTTGCTGAAGTTGCTTATCAGCTTAAGGAGATTTTGGGCTGAGACAATGGGGTTTTCTAGATATACAATCATGTCGTCTGCAAACAGGGACAATTTGACTTCCTCTTTTCCTAATTGAATATCCTTTATTTCCTTCTCCTGCCTAATTGCCCTGGCCAGAACTTCCAACACTATGTTGAATAGGAGTGGTGAGAGAGGGCATCCCTGTCTTGTGCCAGTTTTCAAAGGGAATGCTTCCAGTTTTTGCCCATTCAGTATGATATTGGCTGTGGGTTTGTCATAGATACCTCTTATTATTTTGAAATATGTCCCATCAATACCTAATTTATTGTGAGTTTTTAGCACGAAGGGTTGTTGAATTTTGTCAAAGGCTTTTTCTGCATCTATTGAGATAATCATGTGGTTTTTGTCTTTGGCTCTGTTTATATGCTGGATTACATTTATTGATTTGCGTATATTGAACCAGCCTTGCATCCCAGGGATGAAGCCCACTTGATCATGGTGGATAAGCTTTTTAATGTGCTGCTGGATTCGTTTTGCCAGTATTTTATTGAGGATTTTTGCATCCATGTTCATCAAGGATATTGGTCTAAAATTCTCTTTTTTTGTTGTGTCTCTTCCTGGCTTTGGTATCAGAATGATGCTGGCCTCATAAAATGAGTTAGGGAGGATCCCCTCTTTTTCTATTGATTGGAATAGTTTCAGAAGGAATGGTACCAGTTCCTCCTTGTACCTCTGGTAGAATTCGGCTGTGAATCCATCTGGTCCTGGACTCTTTTTGGTTGGTAAGCTATTGATTATTGCCACAATTTCAGATCCTGTTATTGGTCTATTCAGAGATTCAACTTCTTCCTGGTTTAGTCTTGGGAGAGTGTATGTGTCGAGGAATTTATCCATTTCTTCTAGATTTTCTAGTTTATTTGCGTAGAGGTGTTTGTAGTATTCTCTGATGGTAGTTTGTATTTCTGTGGGATCGGTGGTGATATCCCCTTTATCATTTTTTATTGCGTCTATTTGATTCTTCTCTCTTTTTTTCCTTATTAGTCTTGCTAGCGGTCTATCAATTTTGTTGATCCTTTCAAAAAACCAGCTCCAGGATTCATTAATTTTTGAAGGGTTTTTTGTGTCTCTATTTCCTTCAGTTCTCCTCTGATTTTAGTTATTTCTTGCCTTCTGCTAGCTTTTGAATGTGTTTGCTCTTGCTTTTCTAGTTCTTTTAATTGTGATGTTAGGGTGTCAATTTTGGATCTTTCCTGCTTTCTCTTGTGGGCATTTAATGCTATAAATTTCCCTCTACACACTGCTTTGAATACGTCCCAGAGATTCTGGTATGTTGTGTCTTTGTTCTCGTTGGTTTCAAAGAACATCTTTATTTCTGCCTTCATTTCATTATGTACCCAGTAGTCATTCAGGGGCAGGTTGTTCAGTTTCCATGTATTTGAGCGGTTTTGAGTGAGATTCTTAATCCTGAGTTCTAGTTTGATTGCACTGTGGTCTGAGAGATAGTTTGTTATAATTTCTGTTCTTTTACATTTGCTGGGAAGCTTTACTTCCCAGTTTGTGGTCAATTTTGGAATAGGTGTGGTGTGGTGCTGAAAAAAATGTATATTCTGTTGATTTGGGGTGGAGAGTTCTGTAGATGTCTATTAGGTCCGCTTGGTGCAGAGCTGAGTTCAATTCCTGGGTATCCTTGTTGACTTTCTGTCTCATTGATCTGTCTAATGTTGACAGTGGGGTGTTAAAGTCTCCCATTATTAATGTGTGGGAATCTAAGTCTCTTTGTAGGTCACTCAGGACTTGCTTTATGAATCTTGGTGCTCCTGTATTGGGTGCATATATATTTAGGATAGTTAGCTCTTCTTGTTGAATTGATCCCTTTACCATTATGTAATGGCCTTCTTTGTCTCTTTTGATCTTTGTTGGTTTAAAGTCTGTTTTATCAGAGACTAGGATTGCAACCCCTGCCTTTTTTTGTTTTCCATTGGCTTGGTAGATCTTCCTCCATCCTTTTATTTTGAGCCTATGTGTGTCTCTGCACATGAGATGGGTCTCCTGAATACAGCACACTGATGGGTCTTGACTCTTTATCCAATTTGCCAGTCTGTGTCTTTTAATTGGAGCATTTAGTCCATTTACATTTAAAGTTAATATTGTTATGTGTGAATTTGATCCTGTCATTATGATATTAGCTGGTTATTTTGCTCGTTAGTTGATGCAGTTTCTTCCTAGTCTCAATGGTCTTTACATTTTGGCATGATTTTGCAGTGGCTGGTACTGGTTGTTCCTTTCCATGTTTAGTGCTTCCTTCAGGAGCTCTTTTAGGGCAGGCCTGGTGGTGACAAAATCTCTCAGCATTTGCTTGTCTGTAAAGGATTTTATTTCTCCTTCACTTATGAAGCTTAGTTTGGCTGGATATGAAATTCTGGGTTGAAAATTCTTTTCTTTAAGAATGTTGAATATTGGCCCCCACTCTCTTCTGGCTTGTAGGGTTTCTGCTGAGAGATCCGCTGTTAGTCTGATGGGCTTCCCTTTGAGGGTAACCCGACCTTTCTCTCTGGCTGCCCTTAATATTTTTTCCTTCATTTCAACTTTGGTGAATCTGACAATTATGTGTCTTGGAGTTGCTCTTCTCGAGGAGTATCTTTGTGGCGTTCTCTGTATTTCCTGAATCTGAACGTTAGCCTGCCTTGCTAGATTGGGGAAGTTCTCCTGGATAATATCCTGCAGAGTGTTTTCCAACTTGGTTCCATTCTCCCCATCACTTTCAGGTATACCAATCAGATGTAGATTTGGTCTTTTCACATAGTCCCATATTTCTTGGAGGCTTTGCTCATTTCTTTTTATTCTTTTTTCTCTAAACTTCCCTTCTCGCTTCATTTCATTCATTTCATCTTCCATCCCTGACACCCTTTCTTCCAGTTGATCGCATCGGCTCCTGAGGCTTCTGCATTCTTCACGTAGTTCTCGAGCCTTGGTTTTCAGCTCCATCAGCTCCTTTAAGCACTTCTCTGTATTGGTTATTCTAGTTATACATTCTTCTAAATTTTTTTCAAAGTTTTCAACTTCTTTGCCTTTGGTTTGAATGTCCTCCCATAGCTCAGAGTAATTTGATCGTCTGAAGCCTCCTTCTCTCAGCTCATCAAAGTCATTCTCCATCCAGCTTTGTTCCGTTGCTGGTGAGGAACTGCGTTCCTTTGGAGGAGGAGAGGCACTCTGCTTTTTAGAGTTTCCAGTTTTTCTGTTCTGTTTTTTCCCCATCTTTGTGGTTTTATCTACTTTTGGTCTTTGATGATGGTGATGTACAGATGGGTTTTTGGTGTGGATGTCCTTTCTGTTTGTTAGTTTTCCTTCTAACAGAGAGGACCCTCAGCTGCAGGTCTGTTGGAATACCCTGCCGTGCGAGGTGTCAGCAGTGTGCCCCTGGTGGGGGGTGCCTCCCAGTTAGGCTGCCCGGGGGTCAGGGGTCAGGGACCCACTTGAGGAGGCAGTCTGCCCGTTCTCAGATCTCCAGCTGCGTGCTGGGAGAACCACTGCTCTCTTCAAAGCTGTCAGACAGGGACATTTAAGTCTGCAGAGGTTACTGCTGTCTTTTTGTTTGTCTGTGCCCTGCCCCCAGAGGTGGAGCCTACAGAGGCAGGCAGGCCTCCTTGAGCTGTGGTGGGCTCCACCCAGTTCGAGCTTCCCAGCTGCTTTGTTTACCTAATCAAGCCTGGGCAATGGTGGGCGCCCCTCCCCCAGCCTCGCTGCCGCCTTGCAGTTTGATCTCAGACTGCTGTGCTAGCAATCAGCGAGACTCCGTGGGCGTAGCACCCTCCGAGCCAGGTGCCGGATATAATCTCGTGGTGCGCCGTTTTTTAAGCCCGTCGGAGAAGCGCAGTATTCGGGTGGGAGTGACCCGATTTTCCAGGTGCCTGTCCATCACCCCTTTCTTTGACTCAGAAAGGGAACTCCCTGACCCCTTGCACTTCCCAAGTGAGGCAATGTCTCACCCTGCTTCGGCTCGTGCACGGTGCACGCACCCACTGACCTGCGCCCACTGTCTGGCACTCCCTAGTGAGATGAACCCTGTACCTCAGATGGAAATGCATAAATCACCCGTCTTCTGCGTCGCTCACGCTGGGAGCTGTAGATTGGAGCTGTTCCTATTCAGCCATCTTCCATAAGTAATTTCTCATCCTCCTTTCCCACCCCCTTACCCTCTGAGTCTCCATTGTTTATCGTTCCACACTCTATGTACAGATATACACATTATTTAGCTCCCACTTATAAGCAAGAACATGTAATATTTGTCTTTCTGTGTATGACTTGTTTCACTTAAGATAATGGCCTCCAGGTCTATCCATGCTGCTGCAAAAGACATAATTTCATTCTTTTTTATGGCTGAGTAGTATTTTACTGCATATATATATATATATATATATATGTATATATATATATATATGTATATATATATACCACATTTTCTTTAATCATCTGCTGACAGAAACTTAGGTTGATTTCACATCTTTGCTATTATGAATAGTGCTGTGATAAACATATGGGTGCAGGTATATTTTCATATAATAATTTCTTCCCTTTGAGTAGATAGACAGAAGTGGGATTACTGGATCCAAAGGTAGCTCTATTTTTAGTGCTTTCAAAAATCTCCATACTATTTCCCATATAGGTTGTACTAATTTACATTCCCATGAACAATGTATAAGAGCTCCCTTTTCTCCACATCCTTGCCATCATCTGTTATTTTTTTGTCTGTTCGATAATAGCCATTCTAACCGGTCTAATATGATATCTCATTGGGGTATTAATTGGCATTTCTCTGATGATTTATGATGTTGAGCATTTTTTCATATGTCTGTTGGCCATTTATATGTCTTCTTTTGAAAAATGTCCACTGATGTTCTTTGATCACTTTTTAACGGGATTATTGGGGGTTCTGTTGTCACTGAGTTGTTTGAGTTCCTTGTCAATTCTGGATATTAGTCTCCTGTCAGATGTATAGAATGCATAGTTTGCAAATATTTTATCCTGCTCCACAGGTTGTCGACTCTGTTGATTATTTCTTTTGCTGTGTAGAAGCTTTTTAGTTTAATTAAGTCTAATTTGTCTATTTTTGTTTTTATTGCCTGTGTTTTTGAGGTTTTAGTCATGAATTCTTTGCCTAGACCAATGTCCAGAAGAGTTTTCCTCAGGTTTTCTTCTTTTACTTTTATGATTTCAGGTTTCACATTTAAGTCTTTTATCCATCTTGAGTTGATTTTTGTACATGGCGAGAGATAGAGATCCAGTTTCATTCTTTTGTATATGGCAAGTCCACCTTCCCAGCACATTAGTTGAAAAGGGTGTCCTTTCTCCAGTGTATGTTCATATCAACTTAGTCAAAGATCAGTTGGCTGTAAATATGCAAATTTATTTCTGGGTATTCTAGTCTTTTCTATTGATTGATTTGTCTATTTTTATACCAGCACCATGCTGTTTTGGTTACTATAGCCTTGTAGTACAATTTGAAGTCAGAAAATGTGATGCCTCCAGCTTTGTTCTTTTTGCTTAAAGATTGCTGTGGCTATTTGAGCTGTTTTTTTTGTTGTTGTTGTTGTTCCATATGAATTTTAGGATTCTTTTTACTAATTCTGTGAAAAATGGCATGGTATTTTGATAGGGAATGCATTGAATCTGTTTATTGCTTTGGGTAGTATGGTCATTTTAACAATATTAATTCTTCTGATCCATAAGCATGGGATGTTTTTCCATTTGTTTATGTCAACATAATTTCAGGGTTTTGTAGTTTTCCTTGTAGAGATCTTTTCACCTCCTTGGTTAAATATATTCTTAGGGTTTCTGTGTATGTGTAGCTTCTGTAATTGCCTTCTTGATTTGGTTCTCAACCAAATCACTGTTGGTGTATAAAAACACCACTGATTTTTATACATTGATTTTGTATACTGAAACTTTACTGAATTCATTTACCAAATGTAAGAGTTTTTTGGTGGAGTACTTAGGTTTTTCTAGATAAAAGATCATATCAATGATGATTTTTTTTTACAATAATGGTGGTTGTTACATCATCCATCTGAATGTCTAACGTCTGTTAATTGTCCATTTTCCCATTGTTGACTTCTTCCTCAACAGCACCCCACTGGCTCCAGCTCCCAGCACCCTTCTCCTCCAGACTCTTTGAAGGTCTCTTATCTACCCATACCCCCGAGAAGTTCTGCAAAAGCTGAGTTTTATAAAACAAAACTTGAAAACCCAATTCATGTCACAAAGGATAAACCTGCTTAAAATAGACTTTGACTTTGTAATTTTATGCGTATGTTAAAATACTCCCTAACTGTAGCAAACATCTCTATTTGATAAACCTCTAACTCAATTTCATTTTCAAATATTTGTAAAATTTCCACTGGAACATACAACAATGACTGGTAGTGATGATGATTAAAATAGAAGCAAGGAAACTGGATAAAAACAGCAGATCACTAAGACCACCCAAGTGGGGAAGCCAAACCACAGAGGACCGGGAAACTCCAGGGACAGAGCCCTCTGGGGAAACCTTCAACTTTCTCTTTCCCAGAGCAAACATGTAGTCACATGGTGGTTTACCTTATCATGAAAGTGGTGCCCAGCCCAGACACTAGAATGACAGAGGCTTTGTTATTATGTATACTGCACCCAAACACCACCACAATTTACCACAACCAACCATCAGTATGTTGGAACTCATCACATATGGTCTTTTAGATTACCCAAACCTGCAATAACTTCACCAAAGTCAATATCCCATTACTGGCAAGAGAATAGCGGGGGCCTTATGGGGTTGAACTTGAAATCTAAAATTCTCATTACCTATATGCAACTTGAGCAGATCTCCTACTAAGAATTTCCTATTTGATCCATCACACCTTCTGTATAGCAGACTGAAACAAACCACTTCAACAATTCCTTGGCTTAGAACATATGTGAAGATAAAGAGAATTGCCTGCAGTACATTTCCCACTGTCACAGCTAACAATAGCATCTTGTCTCCTAAGGCAGCCCCTCCAGTAAAAGCCCAAATCAGACCCCACCCCAACCAGTAATGGGAACTTCGCTGACAAATGTTTCTCATCTGAACCCAATCAGTTTGTAGAGTATTATACAGAGCTATGAATGTATTCCATATGCATTCCATCTCTGAAATTCTGAGGCCTCAGCTCCAAACCAAAATCATATTACTATTATTATTGTTGTTATTTAACATCTGTTCTTTTACACAAGTGCAAAGTACAGCACAATCATTTCATTAGTGCCTTATCATCTGGGGCCCAGTCCCTGTTCACTCCAGAGACTTAATAGAGATGATTTGGAGAAATGCACTGGCATTGCTGTAGCTTTGGTATCATTCCTCCACCCAACGCATGCACCCACCCTTACCATCCAAAGGAAGGGAGTAACAGGAGGTCCACATGAGATTTTGTCAACAGAGCTGATCTTGTGCATAATAACAGCAGTAAAGCAGAGAGAGCCCTATCCTTCCGAACACTGTGGGAATCTGCAGTGCTCACACCTTCAAAGCCCTTGTGAGGAATGATGACAGGAAGACACACCAGAGTGCTCTTGTTCTCCCCCAGGGAGAATGTTTGCAAGTTAGAGAAAATGATGGTCTGTGAGTCTTCCTGTTGGAGAACTTCCCAAGAAGAAGATGATTAACTAGGTAATTTCTGGGAGTGCAGTGGTCCACTTAAGGCATTATCCCAAACCGTTTCTAAAATTCCAGGGAAATAGCACCTTTCCACCTCCACCCCTATTCTAGCACACTCAGGCCACATTCATAGGCCCAAGAGTGTCCTTGAGCATTTCAAATTTGGTAATAACCTCAAGCAAAAGGACACAGGAGATAAATTATCTGCCCATAAAATGGTGTGCAGCATCGTCAGACCTCAGAAGAAAGATCATTCTTTGGAACAAGCCTTCCCCCGCAAACACCTGCTTTCAACATTCACGCTCAGTATTGCTCAGAATCAATAACGGTGGAGTTCTGGAAGCACGCCTGGGGGGTACACTGCTTAAATATTATCAGCTTTCCTGATGCACTAAAAAAAAATTGAACATATAGACTTTTTTCAATTTTTGTTCCACCCTCAGTGCCTGTTACCACTCGCCTGTTAGCCAGAACTAGCATAAGACAAAACAATGAATGAGTAGAAACTATTAATGAAAAAAACTCAGAAACCAATGTGCATTTGTCCTTCAACACCTGGCTTTTTTGTGGCCCCAGGCTGCTTGTGGTTTAATAATGTGTGCACAGAATATAATCATTTGTTTGCTAGGGAAATTGTTCTTTGCTCATTTGAGGAAAATCAATAGGTCATATTTTATGGTATTCTGAAAATCCCTCTTGACTTTCAAGACCTCAGCCCCCTGCCTGGGTAGACTTGGTGGAGGGCACAGGATGTTGAGCTTAGTCTGGTTCCCACCCTTGGGCAAGTTCTTTAAACCCAGTTTCTCCAAGCTTCAGTTTCCAATTCTGTAAAATGGAAATAATATCAGGTCCTCCCTGGGGAACATTTTGAGGACAGAATGTAATCATGTGTGTAATTTGCCTGGTGTAAGCTAAGTGCTCAGCAAATGGTAGTGATCATTATCACAAGGACTAAATGAAAATACGTTTTGAACATGTCCAGCCCAATTCCTCAAGCTTGCAAGGTGATCCAAAAATACCACTCCTTTCCATTCCCTGCAATCACTTTCTGAATTCAGCTTCCCAGATGGCTGTTACTCCACATAAACCGTCCTCAGACTTCCCTGAGCTCTAGGAAGACACCTCTGTTCCCACTTGATACCACTGGGCTCCAGGGCTTCAGTGCCATGTGTAACCTCCTGCCCACAACCACCAGCTGACAGGAAGCTGAGGCTCGGGCAAAAATGAAGCTGGCGAGGGAGGGAGGTGTCCACATATCTACAACCCAAGCAGGTCTTCTGCTCACACATGGCATCCACCTAGGCCCCACGGTCATCCTCTCTCAGCTTTGCCTGCACCAGGCCCAGGAGTTTCAATCCAATGAAAAAAAAAAATTGTAAATGGCTCTCCCTTAAACAAAGAACAAGTCATCTCCATCCAGAAACAGCTAACTCTTGGAAAGACGCGGCCTGGGTGCTGCTCATGAGGTGTTTATCAGTTGGCAAAAGGACTCAGATTAAAAAGGCTCTTCTGGAGAGGAAAAGATGGCTGGCTGGGCAGGAGTGCTGCCCCATAGTGGCTCTAATTTTAGCTTTCTTAAAGTGAATCTAATTGTTTAAACAAGACTAAGCAAGCATGGAATTTGAGAAGGATAAGGAAGAAATTTAAAAAAAAAAAAAAGCAAGAGAATTTTTCCCCTAAAGACCCAAAACAAATCTAAACTGTAAGAATAGCTTTAAGTTAGTCATGAGAAAAAACAAATTCTACAGTGCCGAAAGTATTCAGGGAAAATTAACTTCCTCAGTTCAGTATAATACAGAGGAATTACAAAGGAGCAATGAGCCCAGAGTCCCCACCTTCACTTTGCTTTAGAGAAAAGAAATGCATAGAAAGTTTTCCAGCTCTAACATGTTTCTACTGAGAACACCAGCATCGGCCACTTCATGATTTTTAAAATAAGAAAATCATGGACTCAGTTAGAGCCCCAAGGACCTCACAATAGACCCATATGAAGGGATTTGAGGTGAGACTTTTAATTGATACATTCATTAATTTAGTCATTCAACAAACATTTTGTGGACATCTAGTATGTGCCAGGTACCATGCTAGGCACTGGAGCTACAACCAGGAAGCAGATAGAAATGATGCCTTTCTTCAAGGAGCCTGCAGACTCATGGAGCAGGAAGCTAATAAACCTGCCATATTGGGTGCTTTACAAACACGGAGGATACATGATTTGTTTTGCCCAGAGGAGTCACTGAGCTAAGGGACTGCTTCAGATGAGCGGTGACATTTGCCCTGGACCTTAAAGAGGAAGTAGGAGTTCTTCAGGAAGAGTAGAATCAGGAGATTTTTAAAGTGAGGCATAGAGATGTCCCCAGGCATACTATGTGCTGGGGACCTAATGGGGAAGAAAGACAGTTGTGCCCAGATTGCCAAAGCCTTATCAGCCATTCTCCAGAGCTAGAACATTGTCCTATGGGTATCAGAGAATTTCAGAAAACAGAATGACATCATAAAGAAAGCACTGGATCAAGAGCCAACAATCCATGGGATCTGCCAATCCCTAGCTATGTAGCCTTGGGCAAGGAACTGTCCCTCTTGGGGCCTCAATTTCCAACTCTGTCAAATGAGATAATTGAGCTAAATGACTTTTTTTATTATTCCACAAGAATAAAGTGAAACAATTTGGGGATAGAAGCTTGGTTTAGAAACAGATTGTGAAGCTCTCTGCTTGGGAAGTTTCCCCATGCCCCTGAGCCCTTATCTGGACCATGCACAACCATAAATGTGCGTTTACATGTGTACACACTCATTCACACCCCTCCAATCCATCCTCTATTTGCTCGCCACAAAGGGGTAGGATTAAAATGCTTCAGGAATCCAAAACCTCTGTAGGATAAAGCTGACACTCCTTAGCATGGAAGACAAAGCCCTTCACAGCTCTGCAGTCTCATGTCATACAACTTCATAACTAGACCTTCAGGATCCAGCCAGACCACCCCTCCCTGGCCTCAACTCCCCTAATACATTATTTGGCCTCACATATCTGCTCCTAAGCCCATGGTGCTTTGTCTGCCTGGAATGCCTTTTCCATAGCCTTGCTCTTGGTAAGCCTCATTGGTAGACCACATTTACTCTTTCAAACTTGCTCAAGAACAGCCTCTGCAGCAAAGCTGTCCTCCCCTCCCATGTCCCCCTCCTTATGCATATTTCTATCTATGCTGGGACACTGGATTGTAATCACTGGTTTCCATGGCTCTCTCTTCCACAGATGATGAATGCCTCAAGAATAAGAGCTATGTCTCAGTGACACTTGTATCCCCAGCTCCTAGGGCTGGAGACATAGAATGCCTAGACTTCTATGTAGCTGGCCATGGAATGTCCCCAGCAGATGTAAAACTAACCACTTGCATTTTTATTTAACTGTTCTGATTGTGTGCCCCAAACTACAGGATGATCTCTCAATGTTTTGGTGGGAACTGGAAACTTCTAGAGCTAAATTAGCTGCCAGAAAAGAACTGTTCACCGTAGGCTGGAGACCCATTGTCTCCTTCTGTGTTCCCAGCTTTTCATAAATGCCACTTCAGACTGTGGGATAGGCAGGTAGGAAGGTGGGCCACTCAAACTTGTCCAGCAATGTCTTGTTTTCATGAAGTCATAGAACCTCAGAATTGAAAGGGATCCTAGAAGCCATCACAGCCTTCCACCCAGGGCAGAACACCCCTACATTCCTTACAGGTGCTCATCCAAACTCAGTAGGTCTCAACTCATCCTGGTGAGGAAGCCTGGCCTGCTCTTGACTGGTTATTAGAAAAATGCTTCCTCATTTAACCGAGGTAATCCCAGCATTCCATGTATTCCTGTCTCAATAAAATCTCATTCAAATAAGAGTCTAACAACCTAGAGTAGGTGAAAATGCAATTCAAAACATGCTGGGAGTTCTCAAAAATTACTAAAAAACAATCATCCTCTTACAATCCTTTTTCCTCATATTTCTCTTTGGATCTCCTACTCGGTGTAGAGGCTCCCAAAACTCTCCCTCTTCTGACTATTCCCAACCAAGCCCGCAAGCAGGCTGCAGCCTTTCTCCACGAGGCCCCCACCCCCATCCTGCACAACTAATGATGGTGGATACTCTCAGCCTCTCTTGCTTTTTAATTTTCTGTTGTTTCCTGTCTTACCCCACTCCCCAGATTCTGCTCTACAAAAGGGATCCCAGGAGCTTCTTGAATATTGACAACACTTATTTTTTTAATTCTTTATAACATGTTGATGGAAATAGAAGCATCTGCATGTCAGGAAGCTGTCATACTTCTCTAACGTCTTTTCTTCTCCAGTCTACACCATCCCCATTTCTTCAACTGACCCTCCAATGGCACAGCTCCCAGAGCCCCAGCACTCCGATGTGCCATTCCTTTTGATATCACCCTTGAGTAATTCCCACAGTATTTAAAAAGAGATGCACAATTATTGTGGATAATAGTAATTATCCACAATAATTCAAGTGTGGTTTCACAACACATAAGACTGTGGAACTCCATGAAAAAGAAGCTTTATGAATGAAGCTGAATAATGCATTACTTTTACCACATTTTCTTAAAAAATAAAAATAAAAAGTACAACTCTGTTCAAAACTGGACACTAACTTCCCGAGGGCCCACCACACTCCCATAGGTAGGCATGTTGTGAGTGGAACGCCGATGGACGCGGGCCCTTGGCACGACAGGCGGGGCCGAGCACTCCTAGGAAGGCCACTGTGTGGGGTGGCTTGAGGGGCTCTAGGGAAACCCCATCCTTCCCATCAAAAATATCCCCACCACCAGGACACATCACTGTCCCATGTCACTCAAAGGCATTAAAAGCAATTGGTAAGTCGCAACTAACCCAACAGGAGGAAGACACCCTCAGGAATGGGCATTAATTAGGGTCTTAGCTGAAGTTATTTCAGATATTATTGGCTACCGCTAAAGGAAGTAGGGAAAGTTCTGAATGTGCCATAGGTGAAGGTTGTGTACCTCCAGGGGGAGCATGAGGTGAGGTGAGGTGAGGGGAAGGCAATGAGAGAAACAAAGGGTCCATGTGAAGAGAATGATGGCGCCTGGTAAGGAGACTGGCCTGAGCCGTAAGTGCGTCTGTGCTGCTTGGCTCAAGCTGCCAGCAACGGGAGCGTAACTGGTTTCACAAGGCTCCCAAGTGGAGCCACACTGCTCGCGGCCTCCAGTGAAGCACACGACCAGAGTGCCCTCTAGCGGGGGGAACGAGCGCTCACCACCCCTCAGGTCCAGGTATTAATAGATCAGCATGGACTTGAATTTTCCGTTACCCTGCTTCAGTCATTTGGTCAACAAGCATTGGTTGAATTCCCACTATGTGCTAACACTATGATAAACACCAGGGGAACATGTGAGTAGGCATGATCACCACTCCCAAGAAGTTTATGGCCAGACTGAGGGGGTAGGACGAGTCGGGGAGGCGTGGGTGCCAAGGATGCAGGCTTGCAAAGGCAGAAGGGGTGGATGGGCCAGGAAGGTCTTCCCAAGAGAGCAGACCCTCATGCTGAGGAGATGTTTGCTGGACAGACAAGTGGGGGATGGGCATTAGCACAAATTGGAGATGTTCTGTCCCCACCTGGAGAAAGAGAAGGTGGGGGTCATGGCCAGAAAGGAAGCTGGAGAGGGGCGGATAGGGGGAGATCATGGAGAGCTTGGCCTTCATTATAAAGATGACAGGAAGCCACAGAGGCATCAATCAATTTTGCAGATTTATAAAAGGATCACTCTGGTAAAGGGAGCAGCAGCTGAACTGCAGGGAAGCAAAACAGATGCCAAGTTTAAAAACGAGGGCCAAAATTAGGATCAAGATGAGGGAACCGCAAAGGGGAACAGATGCGAAGGAAAGAAGGTCAGCAGGACTTGGTGCAGATTGGGTGTGGAGGATAAAGGAAATAGAGGGGTCTCCACTGTTAGTGGAGAGGGGACTCGACTAACTCTCAGCTCCAGCTTGGGAGGCTAGCTTGATGGTGATGTCATTCGTCAAGCCAGGAGTAAAGGAGAAGGAGCAGGTTAAGAAGAGAGATGGTGAGTTCAATTCTGAACATGCAGAATTGGATGTGCCTGCCAGGGACACCAAGAGGAAATTCTGGGAGGTAACTGGTAATTGACTGTTTAGTCTGAAGCACTGGGAACTGATCTGGGAGTTGGCAGTGACCTATGGCATTGGAAGGGAAAAGCTCTCTCAAGGTAAGCACTCAACATGAAGAGAGAAAAGAGCTGAGGACAAACCCTAAGGGAAAGCTAATGCTTAAGAGGCAGTCAGAGAAACAGCAGCCCCGTGGAGACTACGGAGATTGAGGTGGAAAGAGAACAAGAAAAGAGCTGAAGCCAGAAAAGAGGGAGCTGCAAGAAGAAGGGTGTGACCAACTTCATGAAATGGCTACCAAGACAATGTCTTGTAATGAGTTGAAGAGTCAGTGGGCATGAGAGAGGGAGTTTGGTCTTGCCGGCATTCAGCTTTGTGATCTCTTCAATTTGGATTCTTAAAATGTCAGTTTTGTTTCACTCTACCGCTCTGTGTTCAGGACACTCAGGTAACTATTTCTTAGGGGATGCAAATCCTTGCTTTGGTAATACCTGTCACAAGACTATGAGAAGGATTCAATAGGATCATTTACATAGAGCACCTAGAAAATTGCCCAGCACATAGTAGGCACTCAAAGCTTCCTCCCCCACTGAAATAACATACTTAGGAAAGTAAATTTAATAGAATACAGATGCACATTAGATTAGCTGGTCTCTAGGCTGACCAGGTCATGGCTTCCACCACTGAACCAGGTAACCAAGAATGGTGTCAGGTCAGTACATAAACTCCACCAAGTGGGCACTGTGATCCGGTGGCTCATATGTTTGCTGGGGATCAGAAATTGGATCCTGATATTTAGATTCCTTACTAACCTTAATGACTCATTACAACAATACTGTAAAGATGGATACCATTATTCCCTATTTACAGGTGAGGACACTGGACTTACAGAGGTTCTATAACTAGCTCATTGTCACACATTCTGTCTTGCAAAATGGGGTCCCTTTTTAAACTGTGTCATCTTCAGGATGTCCCTTTGGAAGATTTAGGATGAGAGGGAATGTACAGGTGTGCTCGCAGGCACACACACAGACACACACACACACACACACACACACACACATTGTACTGAATGGTAGCCACTCTGAGCCAAAGCCCAGTTTGTTCTCAGCCCTGCAGCTAGCTCATTATCTCATCCTTACTAAGCTTCTCTCATTGCTCAGTGCCTCAGTTTCTCTATTTGGAAAATGAGACAGAATAGTCCTGTGCTTCCCCACTTCCTTCTAGGGAGTGGCCCTGATGAGATCATGTCTGGGTTGCAGGATCCATGGAAATAGGTGAAGCCAGGATGTGACACTGAGCTGTTTGGCTTGGACAGGGGGAAGGCCCATCCTCTGTCTCACTTTGAGTGGATGTGCACATTCAGAAGCCCCAGACCAATGTTACAATGCCTAATGATCAATTATTCACTTCTGGGGCCTAGAACAAATAGGAACCTGGGGGTTTTAACAGTTTTACACAATGAGAAGCAAGTAAATAAAAGCTATTTAATGATAAACCTTCAAACCCAAAGGTGCTAGGCCAAGTTTAACTAAAATGGCATAAGGTCTGTAAGTTGTTATATGGATTTGGGGACCTGGTTTCTTTACCCTGCCCACATTCTTAGCTTTATCCCTCCCTCTGATTTTAAACTAGCCCCATTTCCAAGTGCCGAATCCAAACAAAGAAGCTGAGGACAACTTTATTGGATACAGTGTAAAGAAATCTCAACAGGGCTCCTCCAAAACATCTCACACCTGAAGGTTATCAGTCTTACATTGTCTTCATCACCCCCAGCAGGTCTCCCTTACCTCTTTCCCACCCTTCTTATCTGTCCCTTGCCCTCCGCTTCCCTATGTCTATACACACATACACACACACCCCTCTAGCCATTCCAACTGTCAAGAGGGGCAAACCACCCTGAAGGTATCTTGCCCCACAGCCTTCGGAGGATACTCATGTGTCTGGAATGTTCTCTGGCCACCTCTTCACCAAGCCCATTCTGCCCTCTCGTCTACCTGCTCCTGAAAATCCACTTCCTCTTGAAGGTCTTCTTAATTAGATAAAAGCAGCTTCCCCAATCCCACCTACCTCAATCTATATCTTATAGCTGTTCCCACAAACCACTTTCCTATCGCAATTATTCACTCATCACTTTTTCTAACCTCTAAAATGCACTTAACCTTTATGTGTAACTGATGTTTATTCTCTACTGGTCAGTTATGTAACTTTCTGATGTCTTCCCATGTTCATGTGTGTCCCAGACTTATATAATGTCAGCATGGGAAGACAATGAGTTATCTGGCAGCAACAAAACGGCATTAATAAGGAATTTGTAAAGATGAGAACAACGATGATCACATTCTACAATTATTTATTGAGCTCCTCCTATTTGCTCAGCAGTGTGTTATCTTGGGGTTGCGATGTGAGACAGCCATTAAAAATCTATGAAGTACAGTCCTTACAAGAAGAAAATGTTATCAATTTCTCACTGAACACTACAATTCGGAATTTACAAAGCATTCTCCAATATTGGCATTGGACCTTCATTTCTGTTAGATAAGTTGGCCATGGTTGCTTATCATCAGATGTCATCATTCCCATTTTACAGGTGAGGAAATAGAAGTGTGGGGACGTTCGTGGCTTGTCGAAGTTCACATAGCACAAAGTGTCAGAGCAGGGACTCCTGAATATGGATCCAGGGTCTGGGGAAGCAAAGAAAGTAACACACCCCCAGACACAAACACAAGCCTCTAAGGGAAGTAACCAAAACTGTAGGTGATGGGTGCCAAAAGAATACGTGTAGATGACACATGTTACAGGCATGCAAAGAATCACGATGAAGAGTGAGCCACACAGAGAGTCTCAGGCAGACAAAAGATAAACACTGCCCAGAAACGGCCTTTGGGGACAGCACAGAGTTACAGCCCTTCAGGCCAATATCCTCTGCTCTGAAACAGCATCACACTGCTTCATGTCGGGCACAGAAAACAACATCAGCATTCTCCAATGAATCATTTTCTGGGCACCAGTATTAGGAAATAGTTTGACTTTAAATGGCATCTACATCCTGAAGGAAACTAAAAGTAGCACTTTCTACTGCCATGACCCATGAGTTCTTCCAACTGGACTCTCCAGGAAGGGGAGGCAGTGCTTTCCTCCCTGATCCCTCGGTCTCCCCACACTCGGCGCTCTCCCCACCACCCCCTACCCGCCATGCTTGCCCCACACTCACAGGACTTCTGGGTTGTGGTGGAGTCTGCAGATACGTTTACACTGAGATACTCACATGTGTGTGTGCCTAGGGACGTTCCACTGACTTTCATTCTCCAGATCTCTAAGAAATGACTTAGGCTAGCATAGATTCTGTTTCCATAAGACTGAGACTAACCAAGCTTTCCTCTTGTCATGGGGGTTTCTTGAAGGATGCAAGGACCCGGGCACCCAGAGAAAGCCAAACGGCCTGGCATAGTGGGGTGGGAGCAGCACGCAGAGGCTGGCTCTGGATCTGCAGCAGCCCTCAGGCCCTCGATAGTGGGACTTTGTACATTTCCACCTAATGTTCTGTCATTGACATGATAACGATTTTTTCTGTCCCTTCCTTACCACTGAACGGCTCTCTGATTCCCCATACTCTCTGTCACTTTCCCCCACTTCATAGCTCCTGCTTCTCAGAGCACCTGCTCTTCCATGTGCCCATCCTGGCTGCACTCCCCGCAACATCGTGATCCTGCAGCGTCAGTCCCAATGCTGTCCTTTCTCTCAGTGTCTTCTGGTTCAGAGCCCTTAGTGGGGAATGTGGCTTGGCCAGGCTCCTCTTTTCAAACGAGCCATGCCACTGGCAAGCCTCTGGATTAGTGGCACTTGGGTCAGATGCCCTGACCAATCCAGGGCCAGTCTTGGGCAAAAATAAAAGCTTTGGGCTATTTTCCAGAGCTAGGAGCTGTGAGTGAAAAGTTGAGCAGATCAGACAATGACTGCCATGTCCCTGAGCTCAGATTGTATCTCTCCTTTTCCCTTCCACGATGACTTTAGGTTAGGCCTTTTTACTTCATACCTGGGATTCCAAAATAGCCTTCAGCTGAATCCCTGCTTCCCACTCTGAGCCAGGATTTAAACCCTAATTTTGCTAAAGTACTGTTTCTCTCTATGTGTCTTTAGATTATTCTCTGGTGCTTCCATTTGTCTATTTCCATTGTCCAGTTGACCCATTAACTAGACTACAAAATTCTCAGGGCCAGGGGGGATCTCACAATTCCTGTATATGACAAAGCACTGAGGATAATATTTCATGCAGGCCAGAAGCATGAATGAACAAATACATTAATTCAGGGAGGAAAAAAAAGACTGACCAACTGACTCTCACTCTCTAAAGCAAGACAGCCCTGCAGATTCCTGGGCAAATGGTCACCTGCCCACTCTGGCCATGCTCCTCTGCCCTGGTCTTCCCTCAGGGATGCAGGAGTCTGCATCAGGGCCCACTGCTCTAATTCCCCAGGGCATTCACACACTGGGTGTCTGAGCCCTCAGCTACCCCAGACGCCCAGGCCAGGCAGGTCCTGGGAAAAGCCTTCTAGATAATGCTACCACATGGAAAGTTGAGTCATCTGGGCTCAAGCCAAGCCCAGAACAAAGGGGCTCAGGAGCACATGATGAAAGAATGCTTAGGAAGGGGTGGGAGGGAGGGTCAGCCAGGAAAGTCTTCCACTAAATCCACAAACTGATCCCCTGTTCTAGGTCTGGTCTTGTTACTACTCCCAGCTGTGTGTCCTTGGGCAGTCTCTCATCAACTGCGGTCACTTACTTCATTAGTCCTTCCTACCTCCCAGAGGTACTTCAAAAGTCAAATGCAATCATAAATGTAAAACGGTGTTGTTATCATCATCCTCAACATTACGAGGCAGATAATTGTGCTTTGTGCCACTCAGAATGCCTCAGGGCTTGCCATCTAGGACAGACACACCCAGACACACATGATGGAAACACAGACAGTGGGGAGAAATTCAAACAAGACAAAACACTCATGTGGGTGTATATATCATGTATCAAATGAAGCTAAGTGGCTGTTTATTTTTAAATGCAGGGTTGGTTCCAGTGTGGAGTCCATACCCTGAGCACACAACTGACTTGAAATGAAGAGGGGGGAATAATAAGAGAGTCATCGTAGCTCCAGGTGCTGTGTCATGGATTCCTCACGGGAGTCCTGCAAAGTTGATATTATTTTCCTCTCTCTTCTTTGCAGAGAAGAAAACCAGGTATGCGGGGAAATTGAGACTTGAACTCAGGTCTGGCGGACTGCAAAGCTGACACCTGTCTGCTACAAGCAGTTTCCCCTTCGCATCTCAGGTCAGGAAACTTAGAGATTATCCAGGCCAACCATCCTTCAGAGCAATCAGTGAAAATTCCAGCTGGCGTCTCCAGTGATGGGCAGCTTACTGTCTCCCACGGCAGCACAGAACACATTTGGACACCTGAGACCATTAGAAAGATGGCTGTTCACTATCACTGAGGAGGGGCAACATCACTTCCCATGAAAATGCTGCTGCTAAGATCCTCCTCAACACCCCTGTCAAAAGGGGCACACCTGGGCACCTGAAGAAACCTTAACAACTCAATGATTTCACAATTGTCATTCATATACCAAGCAGGATGTTCTATTCTGTGAATGTACCTGTGTTTTAAAGAATAAGAACACCAGCGATATAAATGCTTAAATGAAAAGTACATGGGGGAGGATGGGTGGCCCAGAGCCACAAGATCCAATAGTCCTACTAATAGCTAAAGGGAGGCTGGTAATGTGCAAATCAGTCTCCATTTCAGGGCCTCAACATGACGAAGTCATCACATTCACAAACTAGACTCTGGGCCTTTTCGAAGATCTAGAGCCAAAACCTCTGCTCTACTCCTTAACGAAGTCAGGCATCCTGCAGTGACTATGTGAGCCTAGTTTTGGAGGACAGTGCAAAGTGGAAAGTGGGTGATACAATTTAGATCTGTGTCCCCACCCAAATCTCATGTCCAATTGTAATTCCCAGTGTTGGAGGTGGGGCCTAGCGGAAGGTGATTGGATTATGAGGGTGGGTTTCTCATAAATGGCTTAGCACCATCCTCTTGGTGCTGTTCTCATAATACTGAGTGAGTTCTCACGAGATCTGGTTGTTTAGAAATCTGTGACACCTCCCCACACCCCGCTCCTGCTTCCACGATGTGACATGCCTTCTCCCATTTTACCTTCTGCCATGATTGTAAGTTTCCTGAGGCCTCCGCAGAAGCTGAGCAAATGCCAGCATCATGCTTCCTATATAGCCTGCAGAACCATGATCCAATTAAACCTCTCTTCTTTATCAATTACCCAGTCTCAGGTATTTATTTACAGCAATGCAAGAATGAACTAGTATAGTGGGAGTCCAAGAGGATGTTGGAAATGCTGGAGAAACGAACTTCTAAGGAACAGCAAGGGGGCAGCTGTTGGGACCTCACACCAAGGCTCAAGGATACTCAATTCAGATGTGGTCCGGTGAGTTGTGTGTTCCTGCTGTTTATAATCAACAAATCCATTTTTGTGGAGTTGGTTTGTTTTTGCTCAGTGGACCAGCATCTCGTGCTTTTCAAACGTGGAAAATAATGAAAATAGCTTTAATAACGGGGTGACTTTTTCACCGTGGCTTCCCCTGAAGAACAGATGTCCAGAACCCACAGAGGATGCTCAGAGAGAAAACAAAAGGGGTCCCACTCAGGACCAAACTGCAGGACAGCCTACCCTCTCCAAGAATCTGGCAGGCCCACTCAGGCCCCCAGCCTGCTCCCCTCAAGTGACCCAGGCAGAGGAACTTTCCATCAAGACAGAGCCTGACTCAACCTCTCCCAAGCAAACCAGACACCAGCCACCAAACTGCCAGCACAAGAGTTTCCATAATGGGAAGCTTCCAGGAAAGCCCCATAAAACCTTTACTGTAAATTCAATAAACTGATTTCCAACATGGTGGCTGGGCTGAGAAGTCTGGAGCCACACCACCCCCACCCCTCTCCACCATCTCCACACAACAGAAGTAGGCCATTCCAGCCCAGAGATGTGACCCCACCCTCATCCCAGTGCCAGGTTCTCCTTGTTCCCCAAGTCAGCCTCTACATTCTCTCCCCAAACCACTGGCACCACCAGACCAACCCTGGTTAGCCATGCGTGGCCATGTTGATGGAACCTCCAGACAATGTTCAGCCATCCACAGAGTGGAAAGCCAAGCCCTCAGACCCCCTCAAGCTCACCCAGCTCTCATAGACTCAGGTCCCTGACCTTGTCAGAGCACTCCCTGCCTTTTCTATCCCCCGTACCATTAGTCCAATCATGGAACACCCAGCCATCTAAGACCAGAAAAAGGAAATGCACCCTCTGAATCATCCATTCCAGATCCAGAAGACAGCCTAGGATGACAGAGTCACAGCATTTTCCCCTCTTCCAGTTAAAAAGCCTCACCCCCACCACCTACCATTTCTCAGCCTCTCACCATGATCCACATCCTAAATACCTCACCCCTGACCCCAACACTGAGATCCTCATGTTTCTATACCCATGATTTTCATCCACACATTTCAGTCTCCACCCAAATACCAGCCTCACTTCATCCTTCCATGGCTGGACTATGTAAGGGATCAAAGACTCTGCAAAGTGTTTTGTTTGGGCAACCCAGCCTGGGCACTATGTGGAGATGCAAGGCAAAGCAGGCCTTGGGCTGGCACACCCTGCACTCCACTCACTCCACTAAGGCAAGGTAGGTATCAGGAAAGGTCATGTCAGAGAGTCTGTGCTGGGAAACCAGGATGAGTGAACTGGGAAGAAAGGAACAGCTTCTTTGGCAGGTCCTAGGAAGTTTGGATTTAATCAGAAAATATAGATACTTAAAACTGGAACTGGATGGGGCTTAGATGTCAGAGGTTATCCAACTCAACACTTGCATTGTGCAGATGAGGAAACCAAAGCACAGAAAGGTAAAGTCACTTGCCCAAGGTCACTCGTTTACTCACACAATCAGTAACCAACCATAGGCCAAGCATAGTGCCACAGAAAGTCAGGCCTACTGACTGAAGACCAGTGCTCACTCCCTGTACTTCTTGCTTCTGAGACAACAGCTGCAGGTATAAGACTATGGGACATGCCATGGTCTAGCAGCAAGGAACCAGGATTCAGAGGAGACCCAGGTCTATAAGACCCTAAGCAGACAACTTCCCTCCCTGTACCCTAGGCTCCCCTTTTGTACAATAAACCCAATAATACCCATCTATTATACCTCACTTCCTCATTTGCTGCCAAGTGTCAAATAAGATCATAAGTAAACCTGTGAATTACTACATGAGGTGGGAAGAGAAGGCGGGATAATAAAGAGTAGGTTAGAACTGGAAGGCCTGAGAGACCTTAGCGTCCATGAGGAAATAGTTGTGTGTTCCAGGTCTCCATTGAGCTCCCCAGGGGATCAGACAGGTATCCTGACTCATGCATGTGCTGAACTTCCAGTATGTGGAGCTGACTCTCAGGAGGCTGCGATTCTCCAGCATGATCTGTAGCCCTGACCCATTCCCAGAGTGGCCAGAAAGTGAAAGCCATACTGTGCATTGCCCCCCAAGTGATAGGGTTTCACATTCCTTCCCTGCCTCTTCGCAGGAGGACCGCAGAATCTTCAGCTGCAAGCCTGTCTAGGAGGAGACTTCCCACCCCACTCTGTGCAGACACTTGGATTGTGGATATTTTCCACATTTTTTAACTGCTTTTTTGGGAAACTATTTTCCTTCAGCCTTGGACCAAGGACAAAAGCGTCATTACTTGCAGTTGGTGAGTCTAGAGGGCAGCCAGACATTTGCCTGAAGGCTTGAGGGGCACCAGCGCTGCCTGTACTTTTCCATCAATGGAAGGGAGGGGCAGCAGCAGGGTCAGCTTCCCTGGGAGTGCTGCCTGGTGGCCTGGCATCCTGGGGATTTTCCCAGCCAGCTTTAGGGAAGTTATTCCAGCCTGATCCAGCTGTGGCAGAGGCCATGATGGATGTGGGAGGATTCAGACCTTCGCCCTGACCTTAGAGCACAAAGTGGTCCAGCTTCCTCTCTTCAGGGGGTCTGCACGGTAGTTCAAGCCTGGGTTTCCAGCACTTGGCTATCTACCCTCCAAGCACCTGCCCATTATTCATGTGTCTTTAATATCCCAATCTTTGGGGCTGGTCAGCTTCACCTATAATTTGTGGCCATCCTTCAGTCCAGTGCAATCCTAGGGTCAGATGGAAAGTAATGAACATTTGCCTCCAACAAAGCAGAAAAATGTGAAAGGGTTTCAAGGGACATATTCTGTATGAAGAAGCAGTTAAACACATGGAATTTGGGTCTGACATGCTCAAGTTCCACTGGTTCTGCCACTTACATTTGATCTTAACCAAAAAGCCCAGAAGCGATGGCTCTGCCACTTTCCAGCTGTTGTTCTTTCTCTGGCTTCAGTTTCCTCACCAGTGAAGGTGAGGAGTAATACCACTTACTCAGAGGCTGTAGGAGGATTCACTGAAATAACGCGTGTAAAAAGTGCTTGTGGCCGTGCCTGAGACAAAGCTGGTGATTTATTGTATGTATGAACAGGTGGAGCTATCTGAGGCCTGTAACCTACCCATCCCCTCATCTCAGATTTATGACTTCCTGAAGGCAGAAGGAAGATGGGTACAAGAGAGGCACAGCAGGACAATCTCTCCTCAGCCTGAGTGGCACAGGACAGCTGCTTTGTGTGGGTACGTCCTACAGGGGAAGGAGAGGTGTTGGCGCTAGTCTCTGCCTTGGAGAACTCAGAGAAAATGGAATCTTCAGAGAGCTCACATGTGGCTCAAAAGCAGATTTCCAAAGTGACAACCTAAACCCATGTCCCAGACACGACCTGTCTTCCTGCTGGACTAATTCTTCTGAAACAAGAGCTTCTTTCTGTCCTCCCATCCCACACCCCACATCACTAATGTACATTTCTTCCTGAAAAATCTTGGATCAAAACTACCATATGATACTGTATATCTCTTAGATGGCAGTTGACAAAACAATAGGTGCAGCATAATTCTAACTATGCTATAATGCAAATACTTATCAATGATTGGAAGACTATATTCTGAGGTTAACAGTGACTATCTGTTGTTTGCAGGGTGTGGCATTAGAGGTGATTTTTATTTTCCGCTTGGTGCTTTTCTGTGTTTTCCAAATGAGCATACGGAAGTTTCATAATCACAAAATAGAATTTTTAAAATGCCATCACTGGCTTTTCAAAATATACATATCATGCACTTTTCTGATTAAATATGTTTTATTGTTTTTCATGGTTATATAGAATAAAATTCAAACTCTCTTCCATGGCCTACAAGGCTGGACATGACGCAGACCTTCCACACAGCTCCAGCCTGATCTGCCATTCTTGCCATCACCCACCAGCTCCAGCCACAATGGCCTCCTCCTAGATGTGAGCCACAGCTCTACTACTTAGCTGTGTGACCTTGGGCACATTACTTAACCTCTCTGTGCCCTAGATTCCAATTCTGAAAGAAAAAAAGAGACTTAATGATGGTATTTACTTCACAGGATTGTTGTGAGGATTCATTCTAAGAATGCCTGGCTTATAGCAAGCACTGTGTTTTTATTATTATCATTTTCTCCTTCACAGCTTTGCACATGCTGTTCCCTGTGCCGAGCATGAACTTAATAACATTTCTCACCTGGCTGACTTTTTCCCCATCTTGGTTTTGGCTTAAGTATCCCTTGCTCAGAGAGTCCTTCCTGACTGCCCACTCTTAACTCTGCCCATCCCATTATTTTCCCATAGCATCATATTCTTTTCCTTCCAAGCACTTATCAGAATTTATAATTACACATTTACATGTTGGATAATTTGGTTTAATGTTTGCCTCTGCACTAGACTATAAGCTTCATGAGTACCATGGAGGTTTGCCCAACTATGAATAGCCTGGACTCAGAAGAACCTAGCACACAAAAGGTGCTTAATAGGTGTTGGTTTAAAGACTGAATAAAGTAAATAAATGAATGAATGCATTTGGGCTACTCAGATGGATTTCAAATGCTCACTTTTCTTTTTAGAAACTCTTGAGCACTTAGGTGTTCACTTTTAAATCTGCATGTTGAACCATGGCTATGTAGAGCTATTCTGCAGACAGGGTGTGTATGCATTCTTCTTAACCTTGTGATGGGAAGCAACAGAAACCCAGCTTTCTCTTTAGGCCAGGACAAAAGAGAAAGCAACCAAAGGGAGTACAAGAATGTAGCTGAATTCAACTGGACCAGCTCACCATTGTCTTCCTGCCCTGGCTTTTCTCTGCCTGCTGCCTCATTCCCTTCTGCTGACTGACCATCTCCTTGGGAAGTTACCTGGTGGCCAAGGACTGCAGAGCCTCACGGCTTTTGGCTTCCAGTGCCAGAGAGAGGCTGAATCCCTTTTCTCAATTCCAGCTTGGACAAATTTTGAGAAATAATTAATATGCCTAACTTGGTCAGATGGCCATCCCTATGACCATGAGGTCAGGGCATTCTCTGAAAGCACAGACCATGAAGCACAGACAGGGTCACCTGGAACCCACCTCTGCTGGTCCCAGAAGAGAAAGAATGGTTACGAGCCAAGCAGCACTCCAGTGCAATCTACTGTGGTAAGGCATTAATCTCTCTGAAGACAGCCCTTGTATCTCTGGAACACTCCCAGGAAGTGGCTCCAGGGTGCCCCCAAAATGCCATTGACTATTTCATTGATTAAAACTATTATTTGTCCTCTTTTAATTTCTGTATTTATTTTTCCTTTTGTGTATTTATTTTCTATTACTTGTTACTTTCAGATAATATATTAAATTATATTATAATAAGCATCTGTGAACCACCGGCAGTGTGGCCATATTGCACAGTTCTAGGAGTCCCACTCACATTGTAATTCATAATGGTTCCTGGAGTTATTCGAATCCCAGCCTGTACAGTGATACTAGATGACCTTGCTCACCACCCATTCCAGAACTAGACCGCTAATCAAAACACACATGTACTCCTTCCCATCCTCTCCTTCTGCCTCTTCTCTCCTAAAGAGCTAACCACAACCTTCTTTTTAAATATAGTTTACATATATATGCCTGCTGTGGCAGACGGTATTTTCCAAAGATGACCTCAACAATATTTCCCACTTATAAGCTCATCTTGCCAAATGACTTTAATACTTCTCACATTAAAGTAAAGGGTCTATGTCTTCTCCTTGAATCTGTGCAGGCCTTTGTGACTGCCTCTATCAGTATGAAGGAGCTTATGTTGTGTCATCTCCAAGGCTAAGTCAAAAAATGCTGTGCACTTTTATCTTGCTTTCCTGGGGTGCTCCCTCTAAGGGAAGGAGGCAGACATTTAAGCAGTCTACCTACTTATTCAATCTCCTTACTTGCTATCTTTAGTTAGCTTGGGCTGCTATAACAAAAATGCCATAGGTGGTATGGCTTAAATAACAAACATTTCTCACACTTCTGGGGACTGGGAAGTCTAAGATCAAGTGCCAGCTGATTTGGTTCCTGGTGAAGACCCTCTTTCTAGTTGGCAGATAGATCCCTTCTTGTATATTCACATGATGTGGCAGAAAGTGAGTGTTGGTCCCTTCATCTCCTTATAAGAGTACTAATATCATCTTAGGGGCTCCATGCTCATGACCTCACCCAAACCTAATACCTCCCAAAGGTCCTACCTCCAAATGTCAACACACTGGGGTTTAGGGCTTCAACATACAAATTTGGGGAGAATACAAACATTCAGTCCTTAACACTTGCTATAGGTTTATTTAGATTCTGTATTTATTGTTGAGTCATTTCAGTAGTTTGTGTCTTTCTAGGAATTTTCCCATTTCATTTAGTTATCTGATTTGTTGGCATATAATTGTTTAAAGTATTCCCTTAAAATCCTTTTTATTTGTGTAAGGTCAGTGGTGATGTCCCCTCTTTCATTCCTGAGTTTAGAAACTTGGCTCTTCCCTTTTTTTCTTGGTCAGTGTAGCTAAAAATTTACCTATGTAGTAACCTTCAACAATGCTCTTCATTTCTTTACATGGAGTCAAGCTATTGCAAGAGTTCTTTCATTTCAACCTGAAAGAACTCCTGAAAGAACTCCTGTTAGTATTTCTCATAGAGAAGTTATTCTAGTTATTTTTCATTAATTTTTTTGTTTATCTTGAAATGTTTACATTTCTCCCTTTTTTTTTTTTTTTTTTTTGTTGTTGTTGTTGAGACAGAGTCTTGCTCTGTGACCAGGCTGGAGTGTAGTGGCACTATCTCAGCTCACTGCAACCTCCACCTCCTGTGTTCAAGCAATTCTCCTGCCTCAGCCTCCTGGGTAGCTGGGACTACAGGTGCACACCACCACATCTGGCTAATTTTTTTGTTTTTAGTACAGACGGGGTTTCACCATGTTGGCCAGGATGGTCTCAATCTCTTGACCTCATGATCCACCCACCTCTGCCTCCCAAAGTGCTGGGATTACAGGCGTGAGCCACTGTGCCCAACCTCTCCTTCATTTTTGAAGGATAGTTTTGCTTAATATAAAATTCATGATTGACAGCCTCATTCTTTCAGGATTTTCAATTTGTCATCTCACTGCCTTCCGATATGAAGCTAGCTATTAGTCTCATTAATGAGCCCTTGCATGATTAGTTGTTTTTCTGTTACAACTTTTAATCTCTCTTTGTCTTTGACTTTTAGCAATTTGATGATAATGCATGTAGATGTCTTTGAGTTTATCCTACTTCAAGCTTATTGAGTTTCTTGGATGGGAAGATTATTTTTCATCAGCTTTTGGAAGTCTTTATCTATTATTTCTTTAAATATTCTTTCTGTTCCTTTCTCTCTCCTCTCTCTCTGTGAGTCCCATTATGCACATGTTGGTGTGTTTGATGGAAACCCACACATCTCTGAGGTACAGTTCTTTTTTCTTTCTATTACTTAGATTGAATAATCTCAACCTACCTTCAAGTTTGCTGATTTTTTTCTTTTGCTGGCTCATATTTGCTGGTGAGACTCTCTAGTGATTTTTAATTTCAGTTTTTGTACTTTTCAACTTCAGAATTTCTATTTGTTTATTTTTATAATTTGTGACTCATTGATAGTTTCTATTTGTGAGACATCATTGCAATATTTTTAAACAATTAATTTTTAGACATAATTTTTAGATATAATTTTCTTTAATTATGTTCTTTGAATATATTTATAATAGTTGATTTAAATTCTCTGTCTGATAAATTCAACATATGGGCTTCCTCTGGGAGAGTTTCTGTCAACTGTGTTTCCTTGTGTAGGGGCCATACTGACATGTTTCTTTGCATAGCTTTTAATTTTTTATTTAAAACTGGACATTTTAAGTAATAAAATGTGGCAACTCTGAAAATGAGATACTCCTTCCCTCCCACCCATCCTTCTTAAGTTTGTTATTTTTGCTGTTGTTTACTTAGTGAACTAAGTGCTGCTGTTTGTTTCCTAGAATAATTCTGTCAAGTCTATCATCTTTGTCATGTGCAGCCTGTATTCAACTAGCTTGGTGATTGGCTAGTAATTGGAGAGTGGTTTATTTAAATGCCTTGAAGCAATTAATCTCCCATCCTATGCCATGGGTTCTATATTTGTTGGGACATATCTTCAGTTCCCGGCAGTTTACAACTCTGCTAACCCTTCACTTCTTGCTGTGCAGAGCCTCAATGTCAGCCAGAGATGAGAGATGTGGACTTTCTCACGTCTTTCCTGGGCATATGCATATCGCCTTATATATGCTCATGTCCTAGATCCACAGGAATATGTTAAACTTTTACAAAGATCCCTGTGGATATTTCATTCCTTAGATTTTTTTTAAGTTTCTTGGCCAGCCCTTTGCCCCAGGTGGTATCACTGACTCAAGCAGCTTACTGTGAAACCGTTGCAGCTGTTTTTTGAAAAATACCCTAGGAGTAGGGCTTTTCTGAGTGAACTCTGAGTCAGGCAAATAAAGATAAGTCCTGTGAATGAGGCTTTTCCAGGGAGGTCAGAGAGTGACAATTCTCTGGAGATGGAGCTTTTAGGGGGCACTCCAAGCCCATCCTGCCCCTCTCCAGTTAGTTGTGGCAAGACTGCTAATTTTCACAGGTATCAGGGCTCCAAGGCTGTTGATTTTGAAGGTTACCACAGAGCTGGGGCAAGGGGAATGAGAATTGAGCACACAAAAATATCACAAATCTTGCTTTTTCTTGCCAAGATTAACCCAATTTTTTTTAATAAACACTTCTTGAATTTTTACAAGCTTTTGATTAATTTCCAGAGTTATGGAAATAATTGAGAAATGCAACTTTTGCCAATGTTCCAGTTGCTTTTACAAAGGAGTAGATATTCAGAGATCTTTACTCTGTCAGTCTGAAGGGCTTTCTCCCTTATAAGGATATGAAGGGCATGGCTTGCAGATCCTCTCTATTAAAATATAGAACTTCGGGCCAGGTGCAGTGGCTCACGCCTGTAATTCCAGCACTTCTGGAGGCTGAGGTAGGTGGATCACTTGAGGTCAGGAGTTCAAGACCAGCCTGGCCAACACGGTGAAACCTCATTTCTACTAAAAATACAAAAATTAGCTGGGTGTGGTGGCATGCACTTGTAATCCTAGCTACGCAGGAGGCTGAGACAGGAGAATTGCTTGAACCCAGGAGGCAGAGGTTGCAGTGAGCTGAGCTCGCACCACTGCACTCCAGCCTGGGCAACAGAGCAAGACTCCATCTCAAAAAAAAACATAGAACTTCTTAAAATCTTAGGGCATTGTCCCACAGAGCCTCATTGGGTGCCCAAGGTAGAGAAGGACTTATCTCTAAGATAATCATGAATGTGGCTTTGGATTAATGAAGTAGATATAAATTGAGACATAAAAAGCACACAAAGTTTTAAAATGATTTTTCCAGTTTAGATTGAAGGGGACAGCACAAATTGAAGAGGATTTTAGACTCCAAACCCTCTACAGGAAGAGAACAGGCTTGGAAAATCACTCAGCTATAAACATGAGCTGTTTTATATATGAAAAGAAGAATAACTTAGAAGGCAATACCAAGAGCTCAAGAGCCCAAGAGCCCAGAGGGGAAAGTGAAGAGACACTCAGAACAACTTCCAAAGAGTAGAATTAAACCTAATTATAATTGGCAATAGGAACCCAGATAGATTTCAGAATTGCTATGGACCAGTGACTGCTATATGCCTCTTTATGAACTGAAGTGTCTGTAACTTATGTATGCCTAACCCACCACTGTATGTTGGATGTGTGGGGGGAAGAAATCTTACCTCTTTAATTCACAGTTCTTCAGATCAAGAGGAACATATTAAAGTTTATCCTTGAAGACCACACCTGAGTATCCTCATTTACACCTGGGCCTGATTTAAGTTATGATACCTACTCTTCAAGCTGATACCATAATAGGCTAAGACTTAGGAGTCTTGAAGACAAGTACATTTTGCATATGAGAGGGATGCGAATTGTTGTGGCCAGAGGGTGGACTGTGGCAAGTTGTATTTTTCAAAAATAATCAACACAATATATTTTATCCTACATACTTTTCTTACAACATTATCTTGTGACATGGTTTAGATCTGTGTCCGCACCCAAATCTCATGTCAAATTGTAATCCCCAATGTTGGAGGTGGGGCCTGATGGGAGGTGATTGGATCACCTCCCACCAGGGGGTGAATTCTGGTGGGGGTGGGTCCTTCATGAAGGGTTTAGCATCATCCCCTTGGTGCTGTCTTGTGATAGCATTCTCATGATATCTGGTTGTTTAAAAGTATGTAGCACCTCCCCGCCCCCACTTGGTCCTGCCTTTGCCATGTAAGACACCTGCTCCTGCTTTGCCTTCCACTATGAGTAAAAGCTCCCTGAGGCCTCCCCAGAAGCAGCTGCTGCCATGCTTGTGTATAGCCTATGGAACCATGAGCCAATTAAACCTCTTTTCTTTATAAATTACCCAGTCTCAGGTAGTTTTTTATAGCAGTACAAGAATGAACTAATACAGAAAATTGGTACCAAGGAGTGGGGCATTGCTATAAACATACCCAAAAATGTGGAAGTAGCTTTGGAACTGGGTAACAGGCAGAGGTTGGAACAGCTCAAAGGGCTTAGAAGAAGACAGGAAGATTAAGGAAAATTTGGAACTTCCTAGAGACTTGTTAATTTGTTGTGACCAAAATGCTGATAATTATATGGACAGTGAAGTCCAGGCTGAGGAGGTCTCAGATGGAAATTAGAAACTTATCGGGACCTGGAGTAAAGGTCACTTTTGCTATGCTTTAGCAAAGAACTTGGAGGCATTGTGCCCCTGCTGTAGGGATCTGTGAAACTTTGAACTTGAGAGTGATGATTTAGGATATCTGGCAGAATAAACGTCTAAGCAGCAAAGCATTCAAGATATGACCTGGCTGTTTCTAACAACCTCATATGCATGAGCATAATTCTTTGTTGATGCTCATATGCATGAGCAAAGAAATAACCTAAAACTAAAGCTTACATTCAAAAGGGAAGCAGAGCATAAAAGTTTGAAAATTTTGCAGGCTGGCCATGTGGTAGAAAAGAAAAAAAACATTTTCTGGGGAGAAATTCAAACTGGCTGCAGAAATTTGCATAAGTAAAGAGGCACCAAATGTTAATAGTCGAGATGATGGGAGAAATGCCTCAAAGGCATTTCAGAGACCTTCAAGGCAACCCCTCCCATCACAGGCCCAGATGCCTACGAGGAAAGAATGATTTTGTAGGCAAGACCCAGAGCCCTGCTGCCCATTGCAATCTTGGGACACTGCTGCCTGCATCCCAGCTGCTCCAACTCCAGCTGTGGCTCAAAGGGGCCCAGGTACTGCTCAGACCACTGCTCTGGAGGGTACAAGCCATAAGTTTTGGCAGTTTCCACATGGTATTAAAGACTGTGAGTATGCAGAGTACAAGACTTGAGGCTTGGGAGCCTCCACCTAGATTTCAGAGGATGTACGGAAAAGCCTGGATATCCAGGCAAAAGCCTAATGCAGGGATGGAGCCCTCATGGAGAACCTCTATTAGGGCATTGCAGAGGGAAAATGTGGGGTTAAAACCCCCACACAGAATCCCCACTGGGGCAGTGCCTAGTGGAGCTGTGAGAAGAGGGCCATTGTCCTCCAGACCCCAGAACGGTAGATATGGCAACAGCTTGCACCCATCACCTGGAAAAGCTGAAGGTACTCAGCACCAGCCCATGAGAGCAGTCACAGGTCCTGGAAAGCCACAGAGCTGCCCAAGGCTTTGGGAGACCACCCCTTGTACCAGTGTGCCCTGGATATGAGATGTGTGGTCCAAGGAGATTATTTTGAAGGCTTAAGATTTAATAACTGCCCTCTGGGTTTCAGATTTGCACAGGGCCCATAGCCCCTTTCTTTTAACTTATTTCTCCCTTTTGGAAAGTGACTATTTACCCAATGCCTATACCCCCATTTTGTCTTGAAACAACTAACTTGTTTTTGATTTTATAGGCTCATAGGAGGAAGAGACCTGTCTTGTAGACTTTGAAATTTGAACTTTTGAGTAATGCTGAAAGGAGTTAAGACTTTAGGGGACTATTGGGAAGGCATGATTGTATTTTGCAATGTGAGAAGGACATGAGATTTGGGAGAGGCTGGGGCAGAATGATATGGTTTGGATTTGTGTCCTGCCCAAATCTCATATCAAATCATAATCCACAGTGTTGGAGGTGGGACCTGGTGGGAGGTAACTGGATCATTGGGATGGATATTTCATGAATGGTTTAGCATCATCCCATTGGCGCTGTCTCATGGTAGAGTTCTCATGGGATCTGGTTGTTTAAAAGTATGTAGCACCTCCCCCAACCCCTTGGTCCTGCTCCTGCCATGTAAGACTCCTGCTCTTGCTTTGCCTTCCACAATGAGTAAAACCTCCCTGAGACCTCCCCAGAAGCAGATGCTGCCATGCTTCCTGTACAGCCTGTGGAACCATGAGCCAATTAAACCTCTTTTCTTTATAAATTACCCAGTCTTGGGTATCTCTTTATAGCAGTGTAAGAACAGACCGATACACCTTGACATTCTTCCCATTGAGTGCTGGTGTCTATGTCCCCTCCCCTTGAACATAGGCAGGCCTTGTGTCTGCCTCTACCAATAAAATAAGAAAAAAATGACACTGTAATTTCCAAAAATAAATTATAAAAATTTCATGTACTGCTGCCTTGTTCTTCAGGGGCACATGCTCTTGGAACCCAGCCACTATGCTCTGAGAAAATCCAAAATATTCCATATAAAGAGACCACATGGAGAGGCTACATGTAGGTTTTCTTGCCAACAGCTGAGTTGAGATCATAGCCAATAGGCAGCATCAACCACAAAACATGTGACTCCTTACATCTCCAGATGACTATAAACCGTAGCTGTTGAGTCACCCCGGCAGTCTTCAAGTCTTCCCAGATGAGCCCCCAGGTGTCGTAATGGAGACAAGCCATCTCTTCTATGCCCTATCCAAATTTCTGGTTTCCCACAGAAACTATAAAGGATTATTAATGATTGTTGTTGTTTTCGGCCACTAAACTTTGGGATTATTTGTTATGCAGCAATGGACAATTGAAACATATGCCTAAACAATATGGTTTAAAACTCTTATGCCTGGACCTTTGAGGAGCTTCATTTTTTTAATGCTGCTGCTATGAATATTCTTGCACATTTCCCCTGGTACACATGTTAAGAGTGTCCTTTGGCTATGTACTTAAGAGTAGAACTGCTGTTTATGAGATATTCAATTTACAAAATAATGCCAATTGATTTTCAAAGAGGTTGTACTAAGTTACATTCCCTTCAACAAGGTGTAAGAAATCCTGTTGATCTCTCACCTTAGGGCTCTCACACTGGCTGTCCCTTCTGTCTGGAATGTTCTTCCCCTAGGCATTTGCACAAGCCACTTCCTCATGCTCTTCAAGTCTTTCTCAAGTGTCACACTCTAAATAAGGTACATCCTGAATGCTCCATTTAATTGGAAAATTATCCCATCACTCTCAGTTGTTCTTTTTCTCCTATATATTTCCCCTTCTAGCATAAGATATAACTTACTTAATTATTACATTTATTGTCTATTCTCTATCTCCTCCCAAAAGAATGTAAGCTACCACAAGAACTGGCATTTTTATCTTCTTTGTTTGTTGCCATATCCTGAGCACCTGAAAGAGAATCCAGCGTATCAACAAAAAGAGTCAAACTCTATAAAATCTTTGAAGAGATTTATTCTAAGCCAAATATGAGTGACCAATGGTCCATGACACAGCCCTCAGGAAATCCTGAAAACATGTGCCTGAGGTGGTCAGGGTACAGCTTGGTTTTTGTACATTTTAGGGAGACATGATACATCAGTCAATACATGTAAGATGTACATTGGTTTGTTCTAGAAAGGTGGGACAACTGGATGTAGGGGGCTTCCAAGTAACAGGCAAATTCAAAGATTTTCTGACTGGCAATTGGTTGAGTTACTATCAATGAAAAGGAACATCTGGATTATAATAAGGGGTTGTGGAGATCAAGGTTTTATCATGCAGATGATGCCTCCAGGTAGCAAGCTTCAGAGAGAATAAACTGTATCGGACTTAAAGAGTTTGTTCTATCAGTAATTCCAAAAGAGAGGACAGTGTAATGAGGCATGTCTGGCTCCCCCTTCCTACCATGGCCTAAAACTGGTTTTTCAGGCTAACTTTGGAATGTCCTTGGCCAAGAGAAGGAGTCCATTCAGATGGGTGGGTGGGGCCTTAGAATTTTATTTTTGGTTTACAAGTGCAAAGTAGGGCTCAATACATTTTTATCAAATATGTAAGTGACTGTCTAATTGTTTCCAATTCCCTATGTTAACAAGCTGTAATATTTGCTAATTGAATAGATATATGTTAATTCACTATTGTCTTTATTTTTCCTTGATAACTAATGAGGTTGAATATCTCTTCATGTATTTATTCACCATATATATTTCCTTTTCTGTGAAACCCTTGTTTATGTCATTTATCCATTTCCTTATTGAGTTGTTTGATCTCCTTTTATTGAATTATGGTAGTTCTTATATATAATATGAACTGAACCTTTGCAACTTACATGCATCCCAAATATTTTCTCCTAATATGCAACTTGTCTTTAAGATGTCAAATAAACAAATTATTTATTGTAATATAATCAATGTTATGGTAAATATTTTGTGTGTGCCTTGTTTAAGAATAAACTATTCTTCTTGTCAAAGCATCAAGGCTGGAGAGACAGTCCTTTCTAAAACTTTCATTTTAGTTAAAACATTTTAAAATGTAATTTATTGACCACAGAGGAATCTGTGCATGAAATCCCAGGTATTAAAAGGACATCCGGGCCCCTCCAGAGAGACAAGCCCATCCACCCAAACCCAGGGCCCTCTCTCTTTTATTCAGCCTCCTCACCTTCTCCCCTCTAGCAATGTAATGAGAGACTACTCCATTAATCACTTCTAAGAGCTGCCAGGTGGACAAGAGGTCGGGGGAAGAGTTTGCCCAAGGGAAAAGGGCTCCAGTTTAAAAATCCCAACTGCAGAAGTACCCCTCTCCCGTCAGAGACTGTGGGCAAGTTCCAACGGAGGATTCTAAGGGGCCCCTTGGGGGGTTGATATGCAGCAAAAAGGGTGATAACGATGTGGGTGGGGGAAAGGTAATATACTAAGGAGAGCTCAGGCAAAAGCAGAAAAGTCTGCCCTTTTTTTTTTTTTTTTGAGACGGAGTCTCGCTCTGTGGCCCAGGCGGGAGTGCAGTGGCGCAATCTCGGCTCACTGCAAGCTCCGCCTCCAGGGTTCACGCCATTCTCCTGCCTCAGCCTCCCGAGTAGCTGGGACTACAGGCGCCCACCACCACGCCCAGCTGATTTTTTTTGTATTTTTAGTAGAGACGGGGTTTCACCGTGTTAGCCAGGATGGTCTCGATCTCCTGACCTCGTGATCCGCCCGCCTCGGCCTCCCAAAGTGCTGGGATTACAAGCGTGAGCCACCGCGCCCGGCCAAGTCTGCCCTTTTGATAAAGAGACACCCTTGCAGGTAGGACCCAGTAACCTCTATGCCTCTAACACAGTAACATCTGGAATGGCCCGTGCACATTGCAAGGGTTTCTAGAAATGAGTGGAGAGCTAAGGACGGGAGGGGAAGGCGAAGGATCCTGTGAGCCCAGGGGCAATCTACAGGAGTGTTCATACTTTGGCATTGTCACTAACTGAGCACAGCTTCCAGAGGCCTCCTCGGCTTCACCACCCAAGGACAAAGTTTATTTTTCCTTTATGGAGAAAAAAAAAAAGGGAAATTTCAAAACATAAACACCAGAAGCTCTCCCTGTCTATCTCCCTAAAATTAGCTAGGCTATCAGTGTATAACCTGCAGGGATTTCCCTTCAACCATATGATTCACCACATCTTATGTGAAGTGTTCAGACTCTGCCTCCAGTGAATATTCGGTTTTGACACTCTCTGTCATCACTGCTGAGAACAGAAGCAATAACCAGTTGCTGCTGCCAGGGCTCAGGGCTCCAGTAAACGTCCTGCCTCAAGTCCTTGCTGCCCACAGAAAGACAGACTTGTGCTGAGCACTGGACTGAGAACCAAAAGAACTTATCCTGGTCCCAATTCTTCCCTTAATTTGATTGGTGTCTGGGCAAATCATTTCCCCTCATCTATATAAGGAGTTAGCCCTTTGTTCTGAGATGAGGCAAGAAATTGATAGGCCATCGGGCAGAGAAAACAGGGTCCAGGCCTGCCCATTATCTCATACCATATGTGGCAGAAAGGGTAAAATGCACCTCTGTATCTGGTAAAATGACATGAGGCCCCCACAGGAAGCCCACCTAGCTCAGAGCACATTCCCCAGCCCAGCAGCTGTCACAGGACATGTGATCCCAGGGAATCTCCTCTCAAGGCTCCCTGCCGCTCACCAGCCCTGTGCCATTTCAGGAAATATGGTCCCTTGAGCAGGCAAACAGCACCAAGGTCCCTGTGGTTTTAGCCCCGAGGGGACCTACCTCGTTCACAAGGTGCTGAGCCCCTTGGCCCTAGTTCGAGCATCTAAGGTGTGGCAGTGGGAGGGGGACACAAGTCCTACCTTCAAGGATCTCCCAGTCTGAGGAAGAAATCATCCATTATGATTCTTCTAAACAGTGGGGTTAAGTCCCTGCAGTCAGGCTGGAAGCCTCCCCGAGAAAGTTCAGAAAGTTCCTGAGTTCAGGAAGTCCCCCTCTGATGGGGGAGATGAGAACAGGGTTGCCAAGTTTACTGAATAAAAATATAGGATGCCCAGTTAACTGTGAATAGAAATTTAGTGAATAAAAATATAGGACAGTCAGTTAAATTTGAACTTCAGATAAACAAGGAATCACTTTTTAGGATGAGGATAACTCATGCAATATTTGGGACATACTTAAAAAAAAAATGATTCCTTATCTATCTGAAATTCAAATTTAACTGGACATCTTGCATTTTTTCTGGCAACCCTAGGACAAAACGAAGTCACAAGGCCCAAACCTAAGGTAACATAGGTGAGCAGGTAAAAAAGTCACAAACTGAGTCATAGTGCTGATGGGGACAGGAAATAAAGGCTCACTCAATGTCTGCAGACTGCTGCTGGGGCCTGGCAGGCTGCCCAGGAAAGCACAGGTCGCCTGGAAGGCCTCAGACTCGGCCCCAGCCTCACACTGCTGCTGGCTCCATCTCTGTGTGGGTAGCAGACTCTGGGACCCTGGGAGGGCATTCCAGGGGCTTGGCAACCAGCTGCAACCTCTCCAGCCAGAGGTGAGGCAAGGCCCACTGTGGGACAGGATCACAGCAGGGCCCATGAGGGAGTGGGTGGCAAGACCTGGGAGTGCAGATGGGCACCCAAGGAATGGTGTGTGCTTTCAAAATAGAGGGATGAGAAGTTTTCTTTCTTGCCAGGAAATAAACCTCCGTGAGACTGCTGCTAAGGGTGCTGGTGACTGGGTGACCTGAGAGCTAGGGAAACTACAAACCAGGAAATGGGTGCAATCCAGAGCTGAAGCCCCGTATTCCAAAGGTCTTAGCTCCCCAGGAAACTGGAGGACCGAGGCCCCCATCCAGGCTGTCTCATCCCAGAAGTCTGGCACCAAAAAGTCCCCAGACAGCATTTCACCCCCACACCCATGGATTCCCTAGCAGCCAGCATGTGACGCCCACACAAAGCAGTCAGAAGAGCAGTTCTCCAAGTCAAGAACAATCTTGTGTCATCTAACCACTGCTCTCCATTAGCTCTGTCAACTCCTCCATTTAGGGCAGTCAGAGTTTCATCCTTGAATGTGAGACTGAGATGCAGCCTTCACAAAGACAGTTTTCCAGAGACAGTTTTAGCAATTTACTTAGGAAGACGACTCAGCTTCCACAGGCCTGAGGTTTGAGAACAGCTAATGCTAGCCAGTCACAGAAAGGAGGCTGAAGTCCAGGGAACTGTCTGGTGTCTCCTCTCCCAAGCCCAGGTCTTCCTCTTTCTCAGCCCTGAGTACCAGGATCCTACTCCTGCTGTCCCATTGTAAGGAAGGCTGAGGATGTCCGAACGGCCCAGAGCATTCAGGCCAGCTCTCACCACTTCTAAGAGGTGGCCAGTGCAGCTCCCTTCGAGGAGCTTGAGGAAGATGGAGCGGGGGCGGCCCTAACAACAAGAATTTCCACTGCTATTCTCACTAGTAACCCAGCTCTAACTCTATATCAGGCAATGCTAAGCCCTCCATACACACTGTCTCATTTAACGCACAAACAGCCCTGTGCAGTGGGCACCGTTGACTTCATTTTACAGACAGGGACTTGAAGCCACAGGTATCTACCAGTCTGGACAGTTAACACTCAGGACAAGTCAGGTAGAGTTAACACTCAGGACGAGTCTCACTGGTAGAAACCAGTGAGACTAGCCCATCTCAGACTTTGGAAGTCATCATCCATTGGGGTTAAACCCCTGATTCTTGGGAGCACGGTAAAAGGCTCCCAAGGTCCCAGACTCTGCCACCGACACCGGGAAGCAGCCAGCAGCAGCGTGGGGCTGGGGCAGTCTGAGGCGTTCCAGATGACCTGTGGTTTCCTGAGCAGCCCACCAGGCTCAGCAGTACCCTGCGGACATCGAGCGACCCTTTATTTTCTGTCCCCATCAGCATTACGATGGTTTGTGAGCCAGGCTCCAAGTCCCTGCAAAGCTGCTGTCTGACAGCAGGGGGCGCCAATGTCTGGGAAAAATCTACCTGCCGCAAAAAATCCAGACAATTGGTGCTGAGGAATGTAAAGGTTCCAGGGAAAAGGTGGGCAAATTTGATCTCTTGGGCTTGACAGGCCCCAGGAAAGAAATTCAAAACAAAACTGTCTTGTGGTGCGGGCACTCAGCCCCAGATTTAGTGAGTGTTAGATCCCATGTGTTTGAGCCTCCTTATCGGCATCCCAGAGTTTAGCAAATGTCCCTCGGGGAAAACCTGTCTTACCTTTAGGGCTCCTCTGGTTTCTAGTCTGTCATGCCTTTCCCGAGAAACTGCTACAACCTCTGTTTCCTCTCTCCCTCCTCAGAGTCTCGCTGGCTTAGGTCAAGCCCTCACCCAAGCTCTGAATAGGCAAATGCCCAGAGGGAAGAAAGTGAGGTGGGATGAGGGCCTAGGAAGGATGCTTCCTTCTCTAGTTCAGTTGTCCTGCTCGTTGCTTCCACTGCTCTCCATTGTCTTTAAATATGGGATTTTCACAATTGATCCACTTTTCTCTATTATTGCAATAGTAGCAGTGGCGGCCTGTTGCAGCTTTCTGTATCCTACCCGGGGGCAACAGTGCAGCTTTTCGCTCTAAGCTTCTGTTTCCTCATTTGTGAAATGATGATAATATGTAAACATTAAGTGAGGGGAAGTATGTGTATCAGCCTGCTTAGTGCCCAGAACATAGGACGCCCTCAGTAAAGTATAACTTTTGGCCCGCCCCGGAAAGGATGTGCAGGGTAAAGGCGGCCGTGTGGACCCTGGTGAACAGCACTGCCCTCGGAATCAGTGGCTTGTACGTGAATCCCAGCTCCCCAATTTGTAAGCTATGTGGCCTTGAATAAGTCGCTTAACCTCTTCTAGCCTCATTTTGTCCTCAGTCAAATGAGAAAAACTAACGTCAGTTTTATAATATTGCAAGGATCCACGGAAGCATCACATGCGAAGCCCTTAGCTCCGTGCCTGGCTCTTGGTACGTACTCAGCGTAACTAGTAGCACATCTTATTTCACTCACTATCTGAAGTAAGGGCAGCTACAATAAAGCACTATATAGCATTTGGAGAGTGCCTACCAGAAACCAAATCTTATGATGAATATCAGAAAGGTATCCTCTCAGTACACTCCGGCTCACAACAAAATACCGTAAACTGTATAGCTTTTAAACAACAGAAATTTATTTCTCGAAGTCCTGGAGGCTGGAAAGTGCGAGATCAAGGTGCTGGCAGATTCGATGTCTGGTGAGGGCCCGCTTTCTGGTTCATGGATAGTGCCTTCTGTGTCCTCACATGGTAGAAGGGGAAGGGGTTTTCTTTCAGACCTCTCTCATGTGGGCACTCATCCCATTCATGAGAGCCCCACCCCATAACCTAATAACCTCCCAAAGGCCCCATCTCCTAATACTATCAACTTTGAGGTTTCGATTTTAACATATGAATGGGGGGGACACAAACATTCAGGTGTAAAGTAATAATAAATACTTCTTACATTATGTATTAATTTAGCAACTTTCTGAAGTGCCTTGACATTGATTATCTCTTTGCATTCACAGGTTCAACGAACTGTGAATCTAAAATATTTTCTTTTAAAAAATGGATGTGTCTATACTGAACATTTTTCTTATTGTCATTTCCTAAACAATACAGCATAACAATTATTTACATAACATTTACATTGTATTAGGTATTTTAAGTAATCTAAAGAGTATTTGAAGCACACGGGAAGATGTGTGTAAGTTATATGCACATACTACACCATTTTACATAAGGGACTTGAGCATCCGTGGACTGGGGTATCTGCAGGCAGTCCTGTAGCTGCTCCACCATGGACATCAAGGGACAGCTATATTTAGTGGAACAGATATCATCCCCATTTTTAAAATGAGTAAATTAAGTTTCAGTGAAGTTAAATGAATTAGCCAATGTCCACCCAGCTACAAAGGGGCAGAACCAGGAAAAGAGTTAGCCTTTATCCCGCTAGTTCCTGCTTTCAAGAATGTAACCATTCTATCACAAAATAGGCCTCAGTAGGAGAATATAATCAAGTGGCAGGAGGTCAACATTAGACAGGAGTACAATAGAAAGCCAGAGAAAGAAGAACTGTAGGAAAGCATGTTAGCAAAAACCATGCTTATGTGTGCTGTTAAACTATTCCAGCCATCAAATGCTAGTGCAGACCAGAGCCCTAAAGGGAGCAGAGGAAGCTCAGAAATCGTATTGTGAGAAGAAGGCTAGGAACACAGGTTCATCTCTCAGGTGGTCTGACAAGGTCAGACTTCACTTTTTAAAACGTATTCATTCCACAAAAATTTTTTGGCATTGGGTACACATGGACACAAAGATGAGAACAACAGACACTGAGGACTTTAAAAATGAAGGAGGGAGGCAGGGGGCAAGGGTCTAAAAACTACCTATTGGGTCCTATGTTCACTATTTGGGTGACAAGTTCAATTGAAGCCCAAATCTCGCTATCACACAATATATCCATGTAACAAACCTGCATATGTACCCCTGAACCTATAATAAAGAAATTTAAGCTGGGCACAGTGGCTCACACCTGTAATCCCAGCACTTTGGGAGGCCGAGGTGGGCAGATCACGAGGTCAAGAGATCGAGACCATCCTGGCCAACATGGTGAAACCCCGTCTCTACAAAAAATACAAAACTTAGCTCAGCATGGTGGCATGCACCTGTAGCCCCAGCTACTCCGGAGGCTGAGGGAGGAGAATCGCTCAAACCCAGTAGGTGGAGCTTGAAGTGAGCAGAGATAGTGCCACTGCACTCCAGCCTGGTGACAGAGTGAGACTCCATCTTAAAAAGAAAAAAAAAAAAGAAATTTAAAAGATGTTTTGGGCTTTTCCTATGTACATCTAGGTCAATCACCAGAATATAATCATGGACAAAAACATGTCCTCATGAAGCTTATAGTCTATTGAGGGAGATAAGCAATAATCAAATAATCAACATGTAGATATCCAATTACAAATTGAGGTGAGTGCCATGATGCAGAAGTACCAGGTGCATTAAGAAAGCCCCTAACCTAATCAACCCTGCCAAGGGCATGTGGAGGGCATGGGAAGGCAGACTCAAGAGCACTGCAGGCAGAGGGGTGCGGCTGTGAAATCCCTGTGATGAGAGAGCAGGGAGCACCCAAAGAAATGAGAGAAGGTGAGTGGGGTGGAAGAGGGAGCAAAGGAAAAGTCAGGGTGGGAGGGTGGGCAGAGCGGTCCCCATGGGCCAGACAGCCGGATAGGGCTGGGCCTTACAGATTGTGGTTGAGACTTGGGTCTTATTCTCATAGAAATGTGAAGCCACTTTCTGTCATCCGAATGTTTGTGTCCCTCAAAATTCACATACTGAAACCTAATCTCAATGTGATGGTATTTGGAGGGAGGTTTTTGGGGGTTGATTAGGTCATGAGTGTTCTGGGTTGTGATGGGATTAGTGCCCTTTTAAAAAGAGGCCTGGAGGGCTCCTCTGCCCCTTCCTCCACATTTGGACACAGCAAAAAGACTGTCATCAATGAACCAGGAGGTGGGCCCTCACTATGCAATAAATCTGCCAGCACCTGGATTTTGGACTTTCCAGCCTCTAGAACCATGAGAAATAAATTTCTGTTTTTTATAAGGCACTGACTGTATGGTATTTTTTATAACAGCCCAAATGACTAAGACACCACTAAAGAGCTTTAGGTTGGGAAGAAGCCTAGAAAAGGACGAAGAAAATGAGTAGAGGATGGATTTTTCAAGTTTCTTTGATTATAAGCAACAGTAACAGAGTCCGGTTTACTTTAGAAAAAAAAAAAATAATTTACTTCAAGAAGATGTTGTAGCATCAAAAGAAAGGCTGAACAACTGGGCCTTGAGATGGATGGGAAGAAAAAAGTTGCTGCAGATCCAGGTGGTGGGGACTGAGACACACCACCTCAGGACAAATGTGCTCCAGGCACTCTTAAGCCCTGTGTCACTCTTCTCAAGATTCAAGTTCCACAGAGACAGACTCTAATGGGCCACACTTGGGTCACATGCTCATTTCTTGCCAGAAGACAACACACCTAAACTGACAGTTCCTTGATAAAACAGCTTCCAAGGGGGAGGGGTGTTCCCACAGGAAAATCACAAAGAAATTGGGGTGATGTTTCCAAAGAACTGAAAAGGGATCCTGGTAAAACAAACAAAATCCACCAGATATCTACTACAGATTCCAAAGGAAAGGTGGGAGGATCATCAAGGACAAACTGGATTTACCTGTGGTTTTGCCTAGGAAGCAACTCTTTCAGGCACCATCTTGTCAAGAGGCAAGCCATATGGAGGCTTGGGAGATGGGAAGTAGACAAAGAAGCTGCTAGATGGCACCTCAAATAAGGTCACATGTCATACAACCCTTCCCTAGGCCTCACTCTCTGACTCCTCTGTAGCTTTCAGAGAGATAAGGCATCATTCAATACATAAGCCACTAAAAGTAGTTAAGAGGTGGCAGAGGAAACTGAAGAGTGTATTTATTCCGTTGATAAGTATGTCTAAACCTATTCATCTAAGGATGAAGGTTGACCCTGAAGTGTTCCCCTCCTTGGGAGAATGAAGGAAGGGATAAGTGTGTTATCTATAGACAAGATTCTGGATGTTCAAAATGTCAAGAAAATGAGTCCATAGGATCTGCCAGCAGAAAGCTTCCAAGGCTTTAAGCAGAAAGCATCCAAGAGGGACCAGAGCCACTTCTCCTGCTGCAAGAGATCCATCCGTTGAAATAGCTATGTAGTCTCCTTCCCGAATAGGCAAGATTTGCTCAAAATGTGCTAATTTAATGCATAATTTCTCACAGGAAGAACATTGCAAATGTGGGTTACAGTATCTTAAGAAATCCACAATTCTTCAAAGAAAGCAGACATTGCAAAAGGACTGAAGTTAAACATTGCACAAGAGTTGGACATTGGGGTGGGAGGAGGAGCCTTTGCTGCCTCTGCACTGCTTAGTTTCACTGGGGTAGAGCTCAGGTTTCTTTGCAGTTTTGAGGCACTGGCCTGATAGTTTTTGAAAGTCTTATTTTTACCTTTTTTTGTGGAAGACTTCTGCCATTGCCTTCCGATGAAAACTTTTTGATGCAAAAAGAGTGGCATTGATTCCAAGGAAAGGAGTCCAGAAATGAAACTGTGATGTATAATGTGTCAAATCGTCAAAACACCACTGCCAAAATCAAGAAATGTCTATTTTTCAGCAAAGCAGCAGAAGAGATTGTGGGCACTTCTGATAGCAAGTGTCACTTCCATGTGAAGCAAGCTGATGCATTTACAGTGAGACCTTGAGCAAGTACAGGGACGTGTGAAGGAAAAGTAGCACAGATTCCTTATAAAGGAAACTCTTTCCACTGAAGCATTACCACAGTTTCCTTACTGGTGTCTCCAGCTCAGGCCTCTACTTTTTAAAATTTAATCCATTTTACACCAGCTCTCAGCTTGATCTTTCTAAAGAAGCACCACTCTTTAACACTTATGGTGCCTACCCTCCTAAATTTTCCTAAACTCCTTAGCCCAATTCCCCCAAATGTTCAGTTATTTGCATATTTCCTCAACAATTTTTGTCATATCTGTGCACCATCCATATTATTACTTCCAGTTATTGATTAAATTGCCTCATTTTCTTGTATAGTCAGAAGCAACATTATCATTTCTTGTTAAGTATTTTCAGTACATATTAATATAAACACCTAACTAATAGACTTTAGATGTCTATCATGTACCACCAAAAATCATCTAGGACATAGCCTAGGGGTACTGCACTTTGGGAATCTCGTTTCAGCTGGTCAATCAAGACCTGGCTTTACACACTGGCACTCTGGCCGATGTGGACACCACCTTTCCACACACTCACAACGGTCATTTCTATCACCTAGCTGTGCTAGAACGTGCGTCAAGGAGCAAGCCATATTGAAATCACAATAATCATTCAGGACCCAGCCTTCTGATGCCAGCCCCACTTCCTCCACCCCTCTGTGGCCTAAAGGAATCTTTCCTGTCTGAACTGTCACTGCACTTGGAGCATTCAGGACTTCTCACATAGGACTCAATGTTTGGCTCCTTGAAATATGAGGTTTTGATGGACATCTTTTTCAGAACATGTGTGGGCTTCTCAAGATCTGAGATAGTATCTAGTTATCTGCATAGGGTCTTGTGCAACTAAAATTTATTTATTAGATGAATGTGTCCTCCACTCTGTCCAGTACTCTATCTCATGAAACATCAATCTGAGAGGCCAGATGTGGTGGCACACACCTGTAATCCCAGCACTTTGGGAGGCCAAGAGGGGTGGATCACCTAAGCCCAAGAGTTGGAGATCAGCCTGGGCAATGTGGCAAAATCCTGTCTCTACAAAAAAAAAAAAAAAAAAAGCAAAAAATTAGCCCAGTGTGGTGGCGCACGCCTGTAGTCCCAGATACTCTGGAGGCTGAAGTGGGAGAATGGCTTGAGCCTGGGAGGCGGAGACTACAGCGAGCCATGATCGTGCCACAGCACCCGAGCCTGGGCGACAGAGAGATACCCTGTCTCGAAAACCAGAGCAAAACAAAGCACATAAATCTGATCATGTCATTATCTTATTCTTCACAAAATAAAGTTTTTACAACTTAGCAGCTGTGGAGACAAGATGCTTTAAATTTGGTCTCAAATGCCATTTTATCCACTACTCCCCACCTCTTCCCACCTGCCCCCAGCCACCTGCCCCTCCAAACGCACACTCCATGCTCTTGCCACACCCAGCTCCTTGGCATTCCCTGGATAAGACAGACCATCCCTTGAGTTAGTCTCCCTTCCAGCATCCCATTAAACACACTCCCTCACTGTCTATCAAATTCCAACTCAGTCCTCACACGTTAGCTAAAATGAGATGTCTTCCTGAAGCCTCACACAGCTCCCTAGGCCCCTCCTCTGTATTGCCACATCATGGTATACGTTCTTCTATTAAAGCTCTTGTTAATGATGTAACATTTTGTTTGTAACTGTCACTTCCATTAGCCCATAAGCTCCCCAGGAGCAGGTATTTACTCAATATTTTCAGTGCCTAGCACAGTGCCTGACACGTAACAATTATCCAATGTTTGGTGAATTATTAGTATGGGGTTAATAATGCAGGCTCTTGGAGCATTCAGGAGAATGTCTGCAGATCTGCAGTGATTAATATTTTTTAATTCCTGACCTGGGTTATTTGTACATTCTCTCTTTTCTCGATTAGTTTCAACAGAAGTTACTGATATGTTTGGGTATAGATTTATCATCTCGTTGTATATTTTCAATTTATCCCACTTGTTTTATATTTCTTCTGCTCCCTGTGATGGTTAATTTTATATGTCAACCTGACTGGGCTATGGAGAGCCCAGATATTTGGTCAAACATTATTGTAGCCAGACCTCTGGGATTCAAAGCCAACCACTGTCATTGTTATCTTGGGCAAGTTACTTAACTCCTCTGTGCTTAAGTTTCACAGTTTAAAAAATGGCAATAATGCATAGGGTTGTTTGGAGAGTTAATAACTATAATGAGATTAGAACAGAGCTCTGCACATTAAGTGCTCAGTAAATTCTATTATTTACATTATTCCCACAGAAAAGGTGCACATTTCTTCAGATCCTTTTGGTTTAGGGCCTTTAGTAACTATTGTAATGGTCCAGGCAAAAGATAATGAGGTGGGGATTGAAAGAGTGGTTTAAAGACAAGAAAGGTGGTAGACATCAGATAGAATCCCAGGGCTTGACAAAGCCATGTTGGGGGTAAAAAGAGAAAAGTCAAGGACTATCAAATTCTCAGGTAGGACCTGGAGAGATCATGGCAGAATCCACGACCACAGCCAGAGCCGGCTCCACCTGCACCAGGAATAAGGGAGTTGGTGCCACTGTGCTCAAAATCCAGGAGAGAGAACTGAACCCCAAGGAGAGTAGGAGCAAGAACCCAGGACAAGATGCCAAATCCAAGGGAAGCTTCAAACCACCAGGAGCTAAGGAGGCAATGAGCCTGTGACAGATGAATCTCACTCAGGGCTTACATAACTGATCTGGACATGGGGCACCCCAGGAATTCCCCACATCAGCAAGTGATGGTAAATTTGACTGACAGTTACCTATTTTCTGCTAAATTCCTAAAAGATCTTTAGAGCTGGGTGAGGAAGAAAAAATAGAGTCAATGAGATTCAATGTGAGTAGATGAAAATGAAAGTTTTTCATTATACACATCTAAGATGATGAGCTTTCATGAGTTGATAGAACCCTCATGAGAAATCTGGACACCCAGGACCTGGCCCCATCTTAAGTACTAACTAAAACATAACCTCTTTGGGCCTCAGTTTCCCCAGCTGTTTGATGAAATGATTGATCTTTGGGATCTTTTCAAGAGCTTATATTCTCTTCAAAGGAGTTTTAAAAGGCTTTCTAGTTGATTCTCTCAAGGAACCATCCCTAAACTTCACTAAGCTACTAGATATCATATGTGTCAGTCAAGTGGCATTTGCCAGAGTTCCTCAGTCAAACTTCCCCCTTAATATTATTTTTAAACCTATTAAGCCTCCATTCCATATTTGGTGGTATAACTTGTGCTTCTCCTCATCACCAGATCCTGCGGAAATTTCAGTACATCTTTCCTCATCACCTGTTGCTCTAATTTCTACAGATGCTTCTATTGCAACTAGCAGAAAGCCAACTCAAACTGGCTTGAAAAATAAAGGAAATTCATTGGTTCATATAACTGAAAGGTGTAGTAATTAGAAAATTTCAGGCATGATCTAATCAAACTGGATTTCATTCCATAATTCTCTTGGCTCTGCCCCTTCCCTTGTACACAATTTGTCTTCAGACTGGGTTCCTCGTAGTAGCAAAATGGCTGCAGCACTTCTAGGTCATACATGTGTTTAATACTGAGCAAGAGTCCAGAACCTCAGTCTGATTGAATCAATGTAGGTTATATAGCCATCCAAGGCCAGGGAAATGGGATTATGATGAATGGCTTAGGGCAATCAGGGCTTATCCCTGAAGGTGGTTGGGATCTACCCAACTCAAAACATATGGCTGCTACACCGTAAGACATGGTGGAGGTAACCAGCATTTTCACACTGCAGTTGAGGTTATAAACTCTGTTCTGCCCCTCACCTCCTGCAGTATTCTCTCTGCCCTGTAGCAACACAAGGAAGAAGGCAACTGTCCTTTCCTTTGAATCCTCCAGAGAAAACACCACTCTCACAGGCATTGTGGGTCAGATTCACAACAGGGCAGGTAGTTACAGAGCAGCACAGCTCAGCACATATTTTTCAATGTAACATCCAGCATCTTGTTTCTTAAAGGTTCCTGACTATCTCTGTAACTGGTATTTTCTCACTGACACTGTTTTAATCTTGGGGTCTAAGCTACCACTTTGTTGTTGACTTTAATCTACATTTCCCTGGTTTCTGGGATTCAGAACATTATCGTATGTTTATTGTCCAGGTGGATTTACTCTTTTGCAAAATACTCTTTCAAGTCTTTTTGCTCATTTTTATGTGCAACAGGTACATATAAAAGGTGGATGGACTTTTATATAAAATGTAAAATAATCTGTCTTTTCTTAATTCTGTGTAGGAATTTTTAAAATATTCTCGATACTGGTTTTTTGTTGAATGGTTGCAAATATCATCTTCCATTTTATGGCAAGCCTCTTTACTCTCTTAACAGTATTTTCTGATAAATGAGGATTCTTAATTTTAACATAAAAACTCTTTTTCTTTATGGTGAGCAGGTACTTTTGTGACTAGCTTAAAACACATTTGCCTATCTGGAAGTCATATAGATATTTTCCTATATTACCTTCTGATGTTAGTTTATTGCTGCCTAACAAATGTACCCAAAGCTCAATGATGGAAAACAAAAATTATTTTGTTCTCATTCAGGTGCCTGGGTCAGCTGGTCCAGGATGGGCTCACTTTATCTTGGCTGGGCTTGGCTCCAGGCTGGGTTTGGCTGGGGCAGCTTCACCAGAGAACTCTACCCATGTGTCTCTCATCTCCCTGTCAAGGTCAGTGGGCTGGATCAGGCATATCCTTCTCATGGGGATGGCATAAGTGGAAGAGGGCAAGCAGAGATGTTCAAGGTCCCTTGAGGCCTAGGCCCAGAATGGCACACTGTCACTTCCACCAAAGGACTTAAGCCAAACATAGAGTCCAGGGAGGAAAAACATAATCTGCCCCTTTTATGAGAGGAACTGCAAAGTCACCTGGGAAAGGGCATGGGCACAGGGAGGAGAGAAGAATCGGGGCCAAAAAAGCAATAAACAATATTCTCTATAAACTTTATATTAATAGTTTTACCTTCCATTTAAGTATATACCCCAAATGGAGTTGATTTTTGTGTGTGATGTGAGATTAGGGTTAATTGTTTTTACATGGGGATACCCAGTTGCCCTAGTGTCATTCTTTGAGGACATTTTCCCACAGTGCATAGCAGTGGTACTTTCATCATAAACAAACTGTCCACATACACAAAAGTCAGTCTCTGGGCTCTTTTTCCTTTTAGTTTTTTTTTTTTTTTTTCTCTCCCAGTGCCGATACTACACTGTCCTAAATACTGTAGTTGCTTATAAATCTTGATATCTAGTAGAGCGAGTTCAGCCCACTTTGTTCTTCTTCAGTGATGTTTCAGCTATTCTTGATCCTTTGAATTTCCATATAAATTTTTCAGCATCATCTTGTCACATGCTGCCATGAAAAACCTACAAAAAATATCTTTGTGAAGATTTTTTATTGTAAATGCTTTGAATCTATACATCAAATTGGAGAGAATTGACATTTTTTAAATGTCGGTTTTGCTAATTCAAACTTAGCATATCTCTCCATTCATTAACAGCTTCCTTAACATTACCCAACAAAGACTTTAATTTTTCCCTGTAAAGTTCTTACATGTCTTTTCTAGAGAATAGATACTTCTTATGCTATTTTAAGCTATGTTCTTTTAAATTTTAGTTTCTGATTCATTACTGATCTAATGAAAAGATATTCTCACATTTATTTTTATCATCAGAAAATTTAATAAGCGCTCTTATTAATTCTAGTAACCTATTATTTTATGTAGAAAATCAAAATAAACACACAATTAGATCATCTGCAAATAATGACAACTTTCTTTCTTTCTTTCTAAGCCTTATACATTTAATTTCTCTTATTGAGCTCTCTGGTACAGTGATGAGTAGAAGTAGTGATAGCAGGAATGTGTCTTGTCACCAAAATGTTATCTTGTAGCAATGAATTCCCATCTATACCTAGTTGCCTAGAATCTTTACAACAAATCGATGTTGAATTATCAAAAGATTTTTCTGTATCTACTGAGATGACCACAGATTTTTCTCCTTTATTAATGTGGTAGGTTATACTGATTGAAATGTAAATCAACATTGTATTCCTGCCCTATACAGTCATGATGTATTAGGCTTTCTATGTATTAATGCATACCTTTTTAAATTTGGGAGAGTATATAGTAGGTGTATATATTTATGGTGTACATGAGATGTTTTGATACAGGCATGCAATGTGAAATAAGCACATCATGGAGAAGGGGGTGTCCATCCCCTCAAGCATTTGTTCTTTGAGTTAGAAACGATCCAGTTACACTCTTTATTTTAAAATGTACAATTAAGTTATTATTGACTATAGTCACCCTATTGTACTATCAAATAGTAGGTCTTCTTCATTCTTTCTATATTTTTTTGTACTTATTAACTATTCCTACCTTCCCCTCCAACTCCCCACTCCCTTTCCCAGCCTCTGGTAACTATCCTCCTACTCTATAGGTCCATGAGTTCAATTGTTTTCATTTTTAGATCCCACAAATAAGTGAGATATTACTATTTTGTTGACTATTATTTTGCTGAAGATTTTTGCATCTATGTTCATAAGTGAAATTGACCTATAATTTTCCTTTTCATTACTGTCCTGTCTTTTTCAGGTTTAGGTTTCGAGATCTTGCTACAAGTCTCATAATTTTAGTATTTTTTAAATGCTCCCTCTTTTTCTACTCTCTGGTAGAGTTTGCATAAGATTGGAATTACTTCATACCTAAACGTTTGGCAGAACACACCACTGAAGGACAATCTGGGCTGGACTTTTTTGTTTTTGTGAAAAGATCATATACAATTTTTTAATGCTTACAAGGCTATTCAAACTTCTAATTTTCATTGAGTGCATTCTGATGTTACTTTTCAAAGGAATCAGTCCATTTTACCTACCTTTCAAATTTATTTGCAGTTGTTTATATTATCCTATTATTATCTAAATCTCTGCAGATCTGGAGTTATTAATCTTTTTTTTTTCCTGACATTGGTTATTTGTGCAATCTCTCTTTTTCTTGATTATTTTCAACAGAAGTTACTGATATATTTAGGTATAAATTTACCATCTCATTGTATGTTTTCAATTTAGTCTACCTGTTTTACATTTCTTTTGTTCTCTGTGATGGTTAATTTTACATGTCAACTTGACTAGGCCAGGGGGGCCCCAAATATTTGGTCAAACATTATTCTGGGTATGCCTGTGAGGGTGTAAATTGGTAGACCAAGTAAAATAGATTACCATTCTTAAAGGGCAGCTCTCATCTGCTCAGCTGAAGGCCTGAATAGGACAAAAGGGTTGACCCTTTTGCAAGTAAAAAGGAACTCCTTCCTGAGTGCTTGACCTGGGACATAGATCTTTTCCTGTTTTTGGACTTGAACTGAAACATCAGCTCTCCTTGGGTCTGGAGTCTGACAGCATTCAGACTAGAACCCCACTATTAGCTCTCCTGGGTCTCCAGCTTGCTGACTGCAGACCTCAGGACTGTCAGCCTCCATAATCACATGAGCCAACTCCTTATAATAAATCTCTTATATGAATATATAATGTCTGACTAATATAGACAATCTTGCACCTTGCTTTAGAATGTAAAGGTACTTAAGTACCTACAATTTTGCTCTCAGCCTTTGGGGCCTCTGTTAAACCTTAAAGTCAACAAGAGAAGTCACATTAAAATTCTGCCAGACTATTACTCAGTAATTTTTTAAACTCTTTCCTAATTTGGATGATTCAAATGGGGATCATCTGTGAGGCACAATAAATATTCAGACTTAGACCTCAGACCTGGATGAGTTATGTTCCTCTCCTTCCCCCAACTGGCTGCACGAGTGAAAACAAAAATGGGCTAGTTGTTCCCATAGGGTCCTATGAAAACAAACAGTTACCTTTTGAGTTTGCTCTCTTCTCTTGTTTCAAAGTCCCCTCTCTTTCTTCACTCATGTCCCCACAAGCAGGTATAAACTTTCTCTCACTAGCAAATAACAGAAACTGAAAAATGATCAAAGGAAGCTACTGCTGCCTGCATGCTGCTGGGAAAACATCGTAAAAGGAGCACCCAGCAACCTGTGACCATGGAGATGGTTTGTAATCAGCAAGCCAGGGCCCTCGCTTTCCTTCCTTCTCTGGGCATCCAATAGACGGTTGGTTTAGAAACTCTGAGCCCACAGACTATTTTCCAACAACAGCTGCATAGCAACAGGGTTCCTATGCTGTAAACCCAGCAGTCAAAAACTGCTCGTGTTTGCTTATCAAAACCAAAGTTACGATAGCAGGCACACCGGGCTTCCTTTTCTAGCAGTAGGGCAGATTTGATATCCTGAACTACCTTCTCGACTGAAACTAAGACCCTGGATAAAATATGTAAGAATGTAAAAATAAAACCACATCGTTGAGCTAGCACAAAAGGAAGAGAATCTACAAAGGCCAAAATGAAGTGAAAGCAAGAACTCGAAGTAAGCAGGCACCAAAGCCACCTTTTGCCCTGGGTTTCGGTTTCGACAGCTGCAACCGCTTGGGGTTTGTGAAGTAAAGCCTAAAATGCCATTAATATAGACAGTGTATTAGGAGACCTCACCCAAACCTGGTACCTCCTCCCAAAGGATACACCCTCAAGGGAAGAGTAGACAAGAAATAAACCCATCATGCAAAAGACGACAAAGAAATGTATACGTTTTGGACTTGGTGTTGGAGTGGGGAAAATCTCCCCTGAGACCTTGTCACCACAAGCCAGCCTTCAAATGGATTTGTTGTCTGAATTAACACTATGGTACTGCCTTGAGATGATTTGCAGAAGGCAAAGAAAATCCTCTCTGGAGGAATAAAATCTCAACTAAGGACTCAAAGAATTCCCACAAATTTCCAAGGAAAGTAAGCAGTTTACAGCTTTAAAAAAATCACATAATACACAAGGAACAAGACACTAAAATCAATACGTAGAAAAGTCCACAGGCAGCAAAGTCTGATCACAGAGAGTTCAGATACTAGGGTTATGAGACATATAATACAAAATGGTACTACAACTCCACCCTTGCTTATTTTCCTTGTTTCCAAATGCAAGCCCCCATCAGTGTCTGGTTCTCAGTCCCATTCTATTTCTGCAGAAACACTGCTCTCGCTTTTCTTCTCCTTCAACCTCTCTCTCCCCAGGCACCTTCCCCCAGGACTATGAACACATTTAAATCTTCCCCATTAAGAAAGGAAGGAAGAAAAGGAAAAAGAAAAGAAGCTTGCTTCCACTCATCTTGCTGCACCACTCACAACTAAGCCTCTTGAAAGAGCAATTGTTCAGAATGGTATTGCCTAGGTTGTCTTCCAGGGTTTCTATACTTTGGGGTTTTACATTTAAGTATTTAATCCATCTTGAGTTGATTTTTGTGTATGTTGTAAGGAAGGGGTCCAGTTTTAATCTTCTGCATATGGCTAGCCAGTTCTCCCAGCACCATTTATTGAATAGGGAGTCTTTTCCCTATTGCTTGTTTTTGTCAGGTTTGTCAAAGATCAGATAGTTGCAGGTGTGCAGCCTCTATTCTCTATTCTGTTCCATTTGTCTATGTGTCTACTGTTGTACCAATACTGTGCTGTTTTGGTTACTGTAGCCCTATAGTATAGTTGGAAGTCCGGTAATGTGATGCCTCCAGCTTAGTTATTTTTGGTTAGGGCTGTCTTGACTATTTGGGCTCTTTTTTGGTTCCATATGAATTTTAAAATAATTTTCATAGTCCTGTGGAGAATGTCAATGGTAGTTTAATAGGAATAGCATTGAATCTATAAATTGTTTTGGGCAGTATGGCCATTTTAACAATGTTGACTCTTCCCGTCCATGAACATGGAAAGTTTTCTATTTGTTTGTGTCATCTCTGCTTTCTTTGAGCAGTGTTTTATAGTTCTCCTTGTAGAGCTCTTTCACCTCCTTTGTTAGCTGTATTCCTAGGTATTTTATTTTTTGTGTGTGGCAATTGTGAACAGGATTGCATTTCTGATTTGGCTCTCGGCTTGACTGTTGTCAGTTTATAGAAAAGTTAGTGATTTTTGCCCGGGTGTGGTGGCTTATGCCTGTAGTCTCAGCACTTTGGGAAGCCAAGGCGGGTGGATCATGAGGTCAGGAGTTTGAGAGCAGCCTGACCAACATGGTGAAACCCCATCTCTACTAAAAATACAAAAAAAAAAAATTAGCCATGCGTGGTGGCGCGTGCCTGTAATCCCAGCTGCTTGGGAGCCTGAGGGAGGAGAATTGCTTGAATCTGGGAGGTGGAGTTTGCAGTGAGCCGAGGTCGTGCCATTGCACTCCAGCCTGGGTGACAGAGCAAGACTCCATCTAAAAAATAATAATAATAAAGAAAAGAAAAGTTAGTGATTTCTGCATATTGATTTTGTATCCTGACACTTGGCTGAAGTTGTTTATCAGCTTAAGGAGCTTTTGGGCTGAGACAATGGGATTTTGTATATATAGGATAATGTTGTCTGCAAACAGGAATAGTTTGACTTCCTCTGTTCCTATCTAGATGCCCTTTATTTTTTTCCTCTTGCCTGATTGCTCTGGCCAGGCCTTCCAATATTATGTTGAATAGAAGTGGTGAGAGAAGGCATCCTTGTCTTGTGCCGGTTTTCAACAGGAATGCTTCCAGCTTTTTCCCATTCAGTATGATTTTGGCTGTGGGTTTGTCATGGATGGCTCTTATTATTTGGAGGTATGTTCCTTCAATACCCAGTTTCAATACCTACAGAGTGGGAGAAAATGTTTGCAATCTATGTGTCTGACAAAGGTCTCATATCCAGCATCTATAAAGAAGTTAAACAAATTTACAAGAAAAAAACAAACAACCCCATTAAAAAGTGAGTAAAGGACACGAACAGACAGTTTTCAAAAGAAGACATACATGCAGCCGACAAGCATATGAAAAAATACTTAACATCACTGATCATGAGAGAAGTGCAAATCAAAACCACAATGACATACCATCTCACACCAGTCAGAATGGTTATTATTAAGAAGTCAAAAAATAACACATGCTGGCAAGGTTGCAGAGAAAAAAGAACATTTATATACTGTCGGTGGGAGTGTAAATTAGTTCAACCATCATGGAAGGCAATGTGGTGATTCTTCAAAGAACTAAAAACAGGAATATCATTTGACCCAGCAATCTCACTACTGGGTATATCCCGAGGGAATATAAATCATTCTATTATAAAGACACAAGCAAGCGTATGTTCATTGTAGCACTCTTCACAATAGCAAAGACATACAATCAACCTAAATGTCCATCAATGGTGGACTGGATAAAGAAAATGTGGTACATACACACCATGGAATACTATGCAGCCATAAAAAGAACAAGATTATGTCCCTTGCAGGGACATGGATGGAGCTGGAGGGCATTATCCTTAGCAAACTAATGCAGGAAGAGGAAACCAAATACCACATGTTCTCAATTATAAGCTAAATGATGAGAACACATGGACACACAGGGGAGAACAACACACTCTGGGGCCTATAGGAAGGTGGAAGGTGGGAGGAGGGAGAGGATCAGGAAAAATAACTAATGGATACTGGGCTTAATACCTGGGTGACAAAACAATCTGTACAAATAAACCCAAGGCACAAGTTTACCTATATCACAAATCTGCACGTGTACCCATGAACTTAAAATAAAAGTTAAAAAAAAAGCACATTTCTCACTTAAAAAAGAGAACAATTGTTATGACTTCCTCACTGCTCATTCCCTCCTAAGTTGTGGCCCAGCTTACCCAGTCCACCCCTACTCTTCTGCAGTGGCTGTTACTGAGGTTGTCAGTGTCCTAAGGTACTAGGTCACCACATGCAATGCTCTCTTCTCTCACCTCCTGCTGCTGAGGCATTTTGCACTGTGGACACTGCCTCCATCGAGAAACTCCTCACTCAGCTTCTGTGACGCCACTTTTTTCTGATTTTTCTCCTATGTCTCTGGTCATTTCTTACCAGTCTCCTTTAAGTGTCACATCTCTTCTGCCCACATCTTAAAATGTTGTTGCTCTAAAGTTTCTGTTCTCAACCCTTTTCACACTCTTCCTGGGCATATCATCCATTCTCATGGCTTAAGACAGCCATATATCTCTGAGGCATGCATGTCCTGGGGATACAAGAACTCTTTCCAGAGGTGCTCCAACATGAACAGTTTTAAGAGAATCAGTTTCCCACTCATTAACTTCCAGGTGTATTCCTTCCTAGAATCAATCTGCCTGGGAATATGCCTACAATCAAGATATCTTCCACAAGCTACCGCTCACCCACTCTGAATTGGGTATATTTCCCCAGGTTGTAGAAATCTCTTGGTCACCAATTTGCAAACTTGCTGTAGGTGCTGAGAAAGTAGATAACTATAATATGGGTAATAAATGCCTTTGTAAGTTAGAAGGGTTCCAACTCTATGCTTTCAATAAAATTGAAGAAAGGGCCAGATGAGGTGGCTCACATCTGTAATCCCAGCACTTTGGGAGGCTGAGGCAGGGGGATCACTTGAAACCAGCCTAGGCAACATGGTGAAACCCCATTTCTACCAAAAAAAAATACAAAAATTAGCCAGGTGTGGTGGTACATGGCTCCCAGCTACTTGGGAGGCTGAGGTGGGAGGATCACTTAAGCCTGGGAGGCAGAGAGGTTGCAGTGAGTTTTGTCATGCCACTGCACTCCAGCCTGGGTAACAGAGTGAGACTCTTTCTCAAAAAAAAAAAATTATAATAAAAAAATAAAATTGAAGAAAGGCCAAATGGAATTTTCAGCTGATTTAATCATTAAAAATAGTTTAATAGCAAGAGTGGGAGCAAGGGCGGGAGGTGCCATGTTCTTTTAAACAACCAGATCTCACAGTGAACTCAGAGCAAGAACTCACTCATTATAGGGAGAATGCCATCCAGCCATTTATGAGGGATCCACTCCCATGATCCATACCTCCCACTAGGTCCCCCCTCCAACACTGGGAATTACCATATCAGCATGTATCAGTGTGTGAATTGGGGCACATAATTCAGAGGGGCTTTAAAGAATTGATTGTCATTGCTATAAAAACATCTTCCATCTTTATCTACTTATTTGTCTAAACAGAGTTTTTCAACATTAATATCAAAACAATGAAAAATATTAAGGGAATTTATGGTCAGCTTTGTGGTTCTAGCAATAATATTCGTTCATGGATATATGAACTAGTAGAAAAAAAAATACCAACCCCATCAATATCATTAAGAGATGCATTTCCAGCAATATTTTACCTTTAAGTTTAGTGACTGTTTATTTAAAACTATATTTTAAATTTAGTATACAATTTTAACCACTTGGATACCAAAAATAATTTTAACAGTAACTTAATCTAGAAGAAGTTTGTCCAACCCGTGGCGGATGGTTTTGAATGCTGCCCAACAAAAATGCATAAACTTTCTTAAAACATTATGAGTATTTTGTGATTTTTTATCTCATCAGCTATCATTAATGCTAGTGTATTTTATGTGTGTCCCAAGACAATTATTCTTCTAATGTGGCCCAAGTAAGCCAAAAGATTGGACACCTCCGATCTAGAAGAACTTAGTTAACATTTACAGCCTTATGGTCTCAGGGGAAAAGTTTAATTTCTTTTAATAAACATAGTAAATTTTGTTCAGACAAGTATAAAAGGACATTCAAGAAAAATCATTCAAGCATAAACATGCATTAATTTAGGATGACATTTTGTAAAACGGAAATACAAGTTCAAGGAGCAAAAGGAAAGATTAAAATTTTCACCCTATTAAAGAGGAGCTTGCTCATGTATTTTTAATTATTTATTTATTTATTTATTTTTGAGACATGGTCTCATTCTGCCACCTAGGATGGAGTGCAATGGTGCAATCTCAGCTCACAACAGCCTAGACCTCCCACGCTCAAGTGACCCTCCCACTTCAGCCTCTGGAGTAGCTGGGACTACAGCGAGCACCACCACACCCTGCTAATTTTTTTCATTTGTTTTGTAGAGATAGAGCCTCACTATGTTGCTCAGGTGGTCTCAAACTCCTGGACTCAAGTGATCCTCCTGCCTTGGCCTCTCAAAGTGCTGAGATTACAGGCGTGAGCCATCATTCCTGGCCTTGTTTATGTATTTTTTAATCGATGATAATAGGTAGCAGATCATACTGGCATTCAGTTTCTACTGGATGTATTAAAATGAGTAATGTGGCCATTTGATTTTAAAAGTCAATATTTAAGACACACCAGAAATGACATCTCTGAAAATATTCAAACTTATAATAAATAATTTTACCTGCAACTTAAAAATGTGTGAGGGTAATACTATACAATGCCATTTATATGAAGGTTTAAAACAGGCAAGTGTAATCTATAGTGAAAGAAAATCAGAACAGTGTTTGCCTTTAGGAGGGATGTGGGCATAGATTGACTGGGAAGGGTTATATGAAAGCCTGAAAGCTTCCTGGGGTGACAGTAATATTCTATATCTTAATAGGATTCGGGGTTAGAAAGGCAAAAGCATTGTCAAGAATTATTAAATAATATACTTAAAATGTGTACATTTCATTGGGGTAAATTTTAGAAAAATAGTAAATAGATATTTGAACTCTAGGTAATGTTATGCATGCTCAAGAGTTTAGGAGTGAAACATACTGCCTACAATTTATTTGGAAATAAATAAAAAAAAATAGATTGAGAAATGGACAGATGTATAGATAAGTAATGCAACCAAAGCAAAATGTTTATTGTAGCATCTAGATGGTGAGTATATGGTGCTCCTTGCCCAACTATTTCAAATTTTTTGTACGTTTGAAAATATTCATAATAAAATATTGGGAAAAAATGCAAGAGAAAATATTTTTGTAACTATTTTAGGGCATGTGTGGGCAACAGTTTTAAGACCACTGGCTTCTATTTATCACCATTTGCTGAAGAATCTTTACCCTAAACTTACCATCCAAACCTTTCTCCAGAATCCAATCATATTTCCACATCATCTGGATTTCCCACCATATCTAAAACTCAGCAGATCCAAAAATGAATGTATTGTCTTCCCTCTACCAGTCAGGAATATCTTTAGCTACATGTAACAACACAAAGTCAAACAAAAAGAGGGTTATTTTTCCTATATAATAAGAAATGTGGAGTTAGGTAGCTGCTGGTATTGGTTCAGCAGTTCCACAATGTCCTAGCTGGAAGGTCTGCAATTGTCTTGCCCTTTCTTCATAGTCACAAAATGTTCTAGCACTTCAAGCATCATGTCTGAGTTCAAGACAGGAAAAAGAGAAAAGGGAGCAATGCCAGTGACAGTTTAAAGGCTAACTTCCTTATTATGTCATTTAATGTAGCCCTGTACTTTCTTATAGTAATATACCCTTGAAAATGTATGGAATGCCTTTCAGGCACAATACATACATATATGTTGATGATGGCAATTCCTCATGTTGGAAGTGGGACCTTGTGTGAGGTATTGGATCGGAGTGGATCCTTCATGAATGGCTGGATGCCATCCTCCCTATAATGAGTGAGTTCTTGCTCTGAGTTCACATGTGATATCTGGTTGTTTAAAAGAGTGTGGAACTCCCCACTTCTTTTGCTCCCACTCTCGCTGTGTACACACTGGCTCCCTGTGACCTTCCACCACAACTGAAAGCTTCCTGAGGCCTCACCAGAAGCAGATGTCAGCACTATGCTTCCTGTACAGCCTGCATAACTGTGAGCCAATTAAATCTCTTTTCTTTAGAGATTACCCAGTCTCAGGTACTACTTTGTAGCAACACAAGAATGGACTAACACACATGCGTCCACACACATACACATACATGTACACAAAAACCTAAACCTCAATTGGCTTCAGAAATGGCTAACTCAGTTATGGCGTAATATCACCTATGACTCTGGTTTTTTCAACTTCCTGCTTTGCTGTTTTCAATGTTGGATCTCTCCTCAGGCTGGTATGAAGATGGATATAGCAACTCTATGTATACCATCCAGATCCAACAGCTTCAAGAGGAAGAAGACCATCTGGCCCCTCAGTAGACACCACTCCCATCCCATTAGTCAGGATGCTTGTCAATTTGTTTCCTGAACTAACTACAAGGGAAATGGGATTACCTTCGCCTATTCCTCTCAAGGGTCAGCTTCCCTTAAGACATACAACTTTGTGAAAGGGCGACTGGGCAAGTCTATACTAAAGATCTGAAACTGTTATGTTGGACAGGCAACCACCATCTGTCTCTAATACATGTGTGCTAAAATCGTAGCATGAAAAAAACAAACAATAGATGTATATGTTACAATAGGGGTTCTCTTCCCTCTATATAATCTCTAGACATATTTTGTCTTAGAGATGTAAAATTCAACGATATATTTAAAGTATAATATCATTGTTCATTCAGTTGATTTACTGAACGCCTTCTATGTACCAGACACTACTCTTTAACTTAGTTCTTTTCCTTTATACTAAAACAGAGGTGACAGATATAGAACTATAAGTGTTTGATTGAAGCTAATGATTCACTTCTCTCTGCATACCTAATGACTTCCATCTTTGTCTTTATTTCATTGTTGGAGACATGTTTATTACTAGAATCAGCACTTTCATTTTTCTGTCTTTGACTCGTTTTTATAAATGAGTCGATATTCAAACAAATGTCCAAAGACACAGAGGTAGGCAAAGATGGCAACATGGTAGAAACTGAATGGTTGACTGATAAGAGTGTGATACAATAATACTAACCCTTATGCAGTACTTAATCTGTGCCAGGCACTGTTCTAGGCACTTCACAAATACTAACTCATTTATCTTCACAACTCTATGAGGGGAGTACTATTACCTCCATGTTGCACGTGGGGACACTCGGGGCCAATGACAGTTTGGCACATTGGTCAGCCGACTGAAAGCTGTGATTTGGCTCCTGCCTTCCTGACTCACTCTGCCCCCACCAGGCTTCACTCGGGCTAACTGCGGTTCTCAGAACTCCCTTGGAGGCCTTGTTCTCTCCAGCTCTGTGCTTTTGCGCATGCTGTCTTCCTGGACTGATCTTTTCCGCCTGGGCTCCGTCTTCTAGACCAGATCAGGCCCCTCTCCTTAGCAATGCCTTTTCTGGTTAAGGCAGTCAGGCCAGGCACACCTGTCTAGCACCCAGCCCTTCTCTCCTCACCCTATTTGCTTACAGATCTGTCTCCAACACCAGAGACTGTGGTTCTGGGCCTGGCTGTCTCCTCATTGTTGAGTCCCTGGGGCTTGCTACTATGTCTGGCCTATAATAGGCACTCAAAGTTTTGCTGAATTTATGCATAAGCTCTCCGAATTTTGCTTTCTTGTCTCCCCCATACTGTCTGACACCACATATTGTAGACACTTAGTCAATGGAAGTGGGAGTCTGATTTTCCTGCCAACAGCCTAACTTAATAAAAACAAAGCAAAACAAAAACCGCCCCCTTCCCCTTTCTCCCATCTCCACATCATAATTAAGATCCCGAAAATTTGGGATCCTTCCAAGCCCTCCGATCAGTGGAACCCGGCAGGACATGAGAAGTCAGACTCCCTCCACTGGCCGGCTGGGTTGAGGGCAGCCCACAGGACTCAGGGCGCCGCCTCCCGCACCCTCTCTCAGTTCTTGCCTATTAAGGTAAGAGTCCCCCGAGGAGGGGGGAGGGGCCGGAGGGAGGGTCCCCTAGAAGCTGCTTGTGTGCTTGCTCCGCGCCGCGGAGCCGCAGCCCTGGACACTCAGTCAGGTGCCCCGCGACTGGTCCTGCCAGCTTCGGGGCAACCTCCGACCCCACTTAGCTCTTCTACCCGAGGTCACCTTCCTAGATTTCCATAGCCACGAGACCAAGTGCTTATCCCTCAAGCATCGCCCGGGCCTCAAACCGGTCTCCGCACAGGGCGCTGATTAAATGGGTCCCCAGTCCCCGGTGGGCGCTCCCGCCCTGCAGGTGCTCCGATAGCCGGCGGCGGTGCGCCCACTGGAGGGAAGGAAGGTGGTCCCTGGGTCCGGGAGAAGAGCGAACGTGCTCCCTCGGGCTGCTCGATCTCCACCCGCTGGCGCCCCCACCCGTCGCCAGCCACGCCGCTTGGGGTCCACGCGCCCCTCCCCGCCGGGCCCCGCCCCGCCCCCCGGAGGCCCCGCCCCGGTCCTCCCCGCTCCGCCCCCTCCCCGCCGGAGCCTGCCGCTCCCCGCGCTCGTAGCGCGGGCCTGGGGACTGGGGATCCCGCCGCCGGGCCGCAGCATGGGGCGCTTCCGCGGGGGCCTGCGGTGCATCAAGTACCTGCTGCTTGGCTTCAACCTGCTCTTCTGGGTGAGACCAGGAGCCGGGAGGGCCGGTCAGGGCAGGGGGCCGGGTGGCGGGCGCGGGGCCGGGGTCCCCGAGCTGCTGACTGCGGCGTCCGAGTCGCGCTCGTGGGGAGGGCTGGGTGCTCAAACGCGGAGGCGAGGAGAAGGCAAACAAAGAGGGAGGGGAGGGATGGAAGGGAGAGAACGGGAAGACAGAAGGTTGATCAATGAGAAATGGTGAGAAGGGGAGAGACACCGTGTGGCTCTTTCCTGGAAGGAACCCCCACCTGCCTTGGTTTTTATCTCCCAGCTAGTGACCCCAGGTGCGGGGACCCAGCCTCTCCTCACCTCCGGAGGACTTGGGTCCCTGTTCCCCTCCAGTCTCCCGTGCACACACCCCCTTTTCACTCTGCCTACCAGCTGGAACCAGGGCCTGGCCAGGGTGATGGGAGAGAAACCCCTGCCCTGGGGCTGCCTGGGGTGGTGCTCCATTCGAGTGTGTGGACACTGTACCTGGCTGTGATGGTTTTGTTTAGGAAATTGGAGATAGGAGTGAAAATTGTGGTGGGGGGGCGTCGTCCTTTTTCTGGGCATCAGGGTAAGAGTACCCCTGGGTGAGAGGAGGTGGTGGGTTCTCTTCTGAGAAGGGGATGGGGAATGGAAGGGCTTCTAAAGGGCAGCAGCAGCTCTCCACAACCCCCAGCCGCAGCCTCTGCTAAATACTAATTCTCCCAGAGATGATCTCATTCAACTTTGCAGGGTTTGATTGAACTGACAGCGTTCCCAGGATTCATGGTTCACAGAGAGATAGGATCTTGACCCTTGTCTCCTATATTATCGAGACAGGGATACAGCTAGACCAGACCTACATCCCTGGATACCCTGTCCCAGGGCCTGCAGGACTGTGAGACAAGGTCTGAAAATTGTCTTTTCTGCACATTTCCTCTTGGGCTTTCTTAAGAGAATGTCAGCCAGTGTAACTGCTCAGCTAGACCCTGAGGGGAAACATTGGATAAAGAGGTTTGAGAGCAGCCAGGGCCTGGGTGCTTTGAAACTACCAGGTTGGAGGAGGTGGCTGTCCTATCTGCTCTGGGGGACGTTGTCTTCCCATGATTGCAACTAATTAATTATTGAATGATGGGCTCCTCTTTTGTCTGTCAATCCATTAGCCCAGATGCCTGGGTGACTTCAGCAACTCCAAGCTCTTCAGTATCCTTCAGCAGTGGAAGGTGTGAAGGAGGTACCTCCTCGACATCCCCTGAACTTTAAAGAGACACATGGCCTTTGTACACGTGGGGATTTACATCAAGCATACTATAGGGAGAGGCGTTTCTGAAGACCCTTTATGTTGTATTTTTTAGGAATCTGGCTTAATTTCAGAAGCTGTTAATTATAGATGTCACGCCACAGTGACAACCTTCATTCTCACTGCTTATGAATTCAAAGCCTTATGAAGTTTTAAGCCTGAGGAGGAATTCTTAAGCTGGGTTCAGTGCTTATTTAGTGGCTGATATTGTACCAGCCTTTCCAGTGATAGCTGGAAGGATTCATTGAATGTTTTCAATGTGTCAGGGACAGTGCTAAGCATATTACTTTCATTATTACACATAATCCTCACAAGAGTCCTGATATACATATACTATTATTATCCCCATTTTTTACAGATGAGGAAACAGGCTCAAATTGGTTAAGTCACCTAAGATCACACAGCTAGTGAGTGGCAGGGATGGTATTCAAACTCAGCCTACCTTCTCTTTTTTTTTTTTTTTTTTTGAGACGGAGTCTCACTCTGTAGCCCAGGCTGGAGTGCAGTGGCCCGATCTCCACTCACTGCAAGCTCCACCTCCCAGATGCACGCCATTCTCCTGCCTCAGCCGCCCAAATAGCTGGGACTACAAGCACCCTCCGCCACGTCTGGCTAGTTTTTTTGTATTTTTAGTACAGACGGGATTTTACCGTGTTAGCCAGGATGGTCTCCATCTTCTGACCTCATGATCTGCCTGCCTCAGCCTCCCAAAGTGCTGAGATTACAGGCGTGAGCCACCGCGCCTGGCCGCCTACCTTCTCTTAAGCACTGTGGTACATTCAATTAACCAGTGGTTCTCAAAAGTGGTTCCTGGGCCAGCAGCATCAGCATATCCTGGGAATTTGTCAGAAATACAAATTCTCAGGCCGGGCACAGTGGCTCATGCCTGTAATCCCAGCACTTTAGGAGGCCAAGGCAGGCGGATCACCTGAGGTCAGGAGTTCGAGACCAGCCTGGCCAACATGATGAAACCTCATCTCTACTAAAGTACAAAAATTAGCCGGGCATGGTGGTGGGTGCCTGTAATCCCAGCTACTTGGGAGGCTGAAGCAGAAGAATCTCTTGAACCCGGGAGGCAGAGGTTGCAGTGAGCTGAGATGGTGCCACATTGCACTCCAGCCTGGGCAACAAGAGCGAAACTCCATCTCAAAAACAAACAAACAAACAAACAAAATTCTCAGCTCATCCCAGACTTGCTGAATCAGAAACTCTGGGGGTAGGATCCAGCAATCTAATTTAACAAGCCATTCACATAATTCTGATCCATGCTCAAATTTGAGACCCATTCTGTTAAACAATGATTAAACAAATAATAATTTATAAATATAAACACAGTTCCCTAAGCTGCTCATCTCATTGAGGAAACGAGACCAGTGGATATGGAACAACACAAAAATAAGACAGTGTGGAATCAAGTGACAAGTTTCACACTGTTGACCGTAAGCACAGTAAGGAAAGGAAGTAGGAGCAGTGCAGTTTTAAGTGCTTGAATGTGTTAACCAGTGAGGTTAGATCCGACCTTCTCTATATGTGATCTAAGTAAGGAGTTTAGAGAAAGGATCACAGTCATGATGAGGAGCCAGAAAAGTTCTCCTTAAGAAGGAGCTATTCGAGCTAAACCTGGAAGGACTGGTAGAATGGAGCTGGGCAAAGCGAGGGGGTGACGCACCATCCACCAGCAGAGGAGCAGAGCAAGGGGGAGTGTGCGCCACCATCTGACTGTCGAAGCCATCAGGCTGGAGTGCAGAGATCCCAAGCAGGGCGTGCCTGCACAAACAGGGTGTACTTGAGCAAGTTATTGTTACTTCTAGGCTTGTTTTCTCATCTGTGCTATTGGAGTAACAGAAATATTGAGAGGATTAAGAGGGAATATATAAAGTATGTGACCTCAACTTCCTATGAGCCTAGGACATAGTAAATGCTCAAAAATATTAATTATTATTTTTGTTATCGGCACATAGGAAGCATTCAATAAATGTTAGCTCTCTTTCTCCTGATTCCTTTCTTGGTGGGGAATAGTATATAAGTTTGCCAAGTGACTTGCCATTTGTCTTCATTTGAGGATAACTACACCTTATCTTGTCAATTTGTACTTGTGGATTTTCCCCACTAGAACTTAAAACACTCTGAGAGCAGGAATTTTGTTTTTTCTGTTTTGCTCATAGCTGTATCCCCAGTGCTAGAATAGTGCCTAGCATATAGAAGGCATGCAGTAGGACATGAAGGACCTTCCTCTCCCCCAGTTTCATGGGGGGTGGGGGTGGAGGCAGCAACTAGAGCGAAGAGGCAACTGAAACAGGCACCTCATGACTTAAGGGAAAGTGTGGGATAAAGTATCTAGATATCTGCCTTCACTGTAACTGAGGGAACCTGATTCCAGAAAAGCCCCACTCAAGTTTCTAAAGTTGTTTTTTTGTGGTTGGAGGGCTTCGTGGGAAGTTTGGGAAAGGGGTGGGGGATAGTTTTCCTAGAAGGCCAGACTTTAGCTGTGACTGAAGTATAAATTTACACACACCCTTAGAAGCTCATGTGCCTGCCCCTCGGAGTTACGGGGTTCCTTGGGTGACAGCACTTCCTTCCAATCAGAACCTCGCCAGAAGTAAGCATAGAGGTGGGACAGGTTCTGTTTGGTGATCTGCGATTTAACAGATCAATTTGCAGCCTCCTCTGGCAGCTTGCTTTAAGTTTCCCTAGGCTGTGCTCCTGGTTTCATAAACATACAACCAGGCCCTGCCAGAGCCAGCACAGTATTCCCTGGCCCAGGGCCGCTGACTGTACTCACCACTGAATTTTTAAAAACAAAATAAAGCCTAGCCATTAACCCCACTACATTAATTTCTCTTATCGTGGTTGATGTCAAATGTGAAACCCCTCCCAACATCTGTCATGTCTAAATTCAGACCTGCGATCAGATAGCACAGCATATTCCTGTGCCTTTCATTGAAATCACCTTTTTTTTTCCTACGTTGCATAGCAATATAAATAAAACACTACACCCCCACCAAGCCGCATATGTTGGCTTAAAGGAAAACCTGGGCGCTGTTTATTCCTTGGTTTATTGTTGTATGGTCAGTGTTTTCCTATCATTGTGCTGCACTAGCTGCTCAGCGTTACTGACCCACAGGAAGCAGAGCTGTTCATTGTTGAAAAGCAGATTCCATATATGGCAAGTCTGAAGTTGCCCTCCTTTCCTTCTCACCATTATTAATACAGCTTTGGGTTTTCACTTGGGGATGCCTAACAGGTACATTTAAGAAAGACAGTGTCTTGCAGGCTTGGGAGTCAAAGAAGTTTGACTCACATGAATCTCATAGAGGTCACCTTCCACTCTTTCCCAAACTTATTTCAAACAGTAACTTCAGAGCAATCACCTGTCAGAGACATTGGTTTAGGAAAAAATACCTAAAGAAAGTATTCTTTGGAGACCAGCCCATAAGGCAGATAGGAATGTTCTCAGCCTCGCTGGAGGAGAATCTTCATTTCTGATTTTTGTCAAGGTGGAAAGAGAGTACCAGGGGCCAGTGTCCCCTAGTGTGGACCTAGAATTGCTAGGAGGAACAGATAGCCTACAAGAGGGGACAGTCTGAAGAAGCCACAGCTATGGTGCCAGGGTTCCGGTAGACCTCGGACAGACCTATGCAGCGTGGCAGTTCAAATCCAGGAATCCAAAACCTGGGCAGTGGATACTGACATCATACTGCCTGACTCTATTCCTGCCTCCACTCTTTACTACCTAGGGGACTTTGGGCAAGTTGTTTAACCTCTTTGAGCCTCCATTTTCTCATCTGTATAATGGACATAATAAACTACTAATATCTGTGAACTTTGTGCACATAAAATGAGTTAATATATGTAAGGTTATAAGTATGGTTCATGCATACAGTAAATAATAACATATCAGTAATAGTTGTTTTTAAATACTAGAAGTACAAATGGGAAAGTAGAATCTAGAATCCAAGAGGTTCATAAAGTCACAACAAAGCAGGCAGGTGTTTTACATCCAGCTAAGCAAGCAAGGTAGCAAGAGGCTTGGAGTTTATCAAGGGCATGGAGTCAAAAGGAGAGATCACTTCCTCCACCGTTCCCTGCCAAGTGCTGGGAATTCAAAGATGATTAAGACACAGCCCTTGATCTTGAGGCACTCATGCCTTTATTTAGCCTCCATTTTGCCTTTGATTAGAATTTATTCCCTGTTTAGTCTTTGCTCCTTGAGGGCAGGGACTGTGTCCTTTTGGCATCCCCTTTCTCCCAATCCCTCAGTACCTAATAGAGTTAAGCATGGCTCCAGCTAAGGTAGTTGTGTGCACTGACCCTGGAGCAGGATCTGTTTATTTCCTTTCCCACTTCTGTGCTACTAAGTGGAGGCCAAGGAAAAGCAATGGGAAAACCTTTGGTGATCAGTGCCTCTCAAACTTTAACGTGCGTACAGATCACATAGGGAGCTTATTCAGCTTTATTCGGATTCAGTGGGTCTGCATTTCTAACAAGCTCCCAGGTGATGCTCGTGTTGCTGGTCTGGGAACATGCTTTGAGAACCCCTGTTTTAGATGTGGCCTGAAGAGGTCAGAGATTCAGCAGTGGCACTTGTTTCTGACTGAAGCAGGGTGTGCCCTGCTTCTTGGCTTACTCACTTGGCTTGTTTTTGGCAGTTCTTTTAATTTCAGTTACCACTTTACCTTTATTAAGTCTCTTTTTTACGCTAATACTTGATGCTTTCTGGAATTACCGGGAGGCCACCTGTCCATTGTTCATTGCATTTCACCTTGTTGTTCTAGAACATCAGCCATGAAGTGTCTTTGGGTCTCCAACCATGTGTGACAAAAGAGAACGTAACCTCTATCCCCCAACCTTGACAGTTAATATCGCGAAGCTGCTCCCTTAAAACAAGTGATGCTATACTGAGCACTGAAACAAATCATGTCATGGTTGCTAAGGAATTAAAGAGAGAATGCTGCCAGCAAGATGGAAATACCAGATGGGCTGGGAGCACATCTTACAGATGAATTAACTCGGGTTACCTTGGCCTGCCTTTTTCATCCTCTTTGAATTTGATTGGGAACAAAAATAACAATGCTTCAGTTTACGAAGTGCTTTCATATGCGTTATCCCACCTGATCATGAATCACAACAATCTCACGAAATAGTGTAATTATTCCCATTTTACAGTTGTGAAAGCTGAAAGTCAGGCACAGTAGGTGGTATGTCCCAGGTCTTCTGACTTTAAACCCCATGCTTTTTTCATTGTTTTAATTTATTGGAACGTGTAGAATATAAGGTATAAGAAATGCTGCTAACTTGGAAAATCTGAAGCCTGTGATCAGGGAGATTATATTCAGTGTCAGATTTAGTCTTGATGCATTCCAGAAACAGGTACAAAGAGATGCCTAAAAATACTAAGGCATATGGGAGAAGAAGCAGGAAGGAGAGAGGTTGGGAACACTGCTGATCAGTTTCAGGCAGAGGAAAAGTAACATGGAAATTGAGAAAGGGTATATATCAAGAGACAGTTTAAAAAGTTAATTTCAGGAGCAAAAACTTGAAGAATAGTAAGCACTATATAAATGTACACTATGTGCCAGCTGCTTTCCTAAGCATTTATTAACTAATTTAATCCTCACAACAACCCTATGAAATAGTAGCAGTTATCATCCCCAGTTTACATATGAGAAAACAGAGGTCTGAAGCATTGAAGAGACTTGAGAGCTGGCCAGTGGCAGAGCTGTGTCTCTATGTGTGTCCCCAGAGTCTGTACTCATAACCACTCCAAGTCTACAGACTATCGGAGAGGAAGGTTGAAGCTCTGACAAACTTGTGAATTCTAGACCTGCACTGTCCAATGCGGCGACTATGCTACTGATCACATGTAGCTATTTAAATTAATTAAAACTAAATAAAATGTAACCTTCATTTTCTCAGTCCCACTAGCTACATTTCAGAGCTCCATAGCCATAGGTGCCTAGTGGCCACAACGCTGGACAGCAGAGATATAGGACATTTACATCATTGGAGAAAGGTCTTCTTGACAGCCCTAGCCTAAATATAGTTATTCTTTCACTCATAAATATATCTATTCATATTTTTCTCTTATGGGGTCTTAAAAACATTAAAGAGAGGAGACATAGTTTCCACAAAAGGCTACTGACTTTCTAGTATAGAAGATTTAGAAAACCGAAAGGAATTCCAGCTGTCATGGAAAGAGGGAGTGTGGATCTAAAATAAAAATTAGTAGAGGACGGCTGCAGCAAACCACATTATTGGAACCATGGGAGCGATGTTTCCTATCTTGAAGATTAAGCTTTTGGTTTGAAGGTAACATTAGCAAGTCTACCAACATAATAGCACAAAGTGTGAGGCACTTACTGTTCTCAGTGTGTAACATGAACTCATTTAGTCTCTTTAGGAGGCACTATTATTACCTTCACTTTGCAGATGAGGAAGCTGGGGTTAGAGAGGTTAAGTGGCTTGCCCAAGATTATAGGACCAGTAAGTGCCAGAGTCTGATTCAAACCCAAATGCGTAGAACCCCCATTTTTATCCACTACAACTCCTTTACACCTACGTACCGTATGCACGCATGTGTTTATTACCCTAAGGGCATCATTATATATTCTGAACACCCAGAAGAGGTGAATTTCTAGAAGAACAGTTGGCAGATATTCCAGGATGTGTACCAAGCTCTGTCCTCCACATCGTAATGGTGATTGGGAAAGAGTCAGCTTATTAACAGGGGTGGCAGAGCAAGGCTGAGCAGGGCCAGGGGTGCATTGGAAGTTGCTGTCACTCATCCAGGAAGCCGACTTTGTCTCCCTGCTCCCGCCAGAGTCTATCTAGCCTTCTGTGAATGGACCAGTGCTGCACCTTCCTGACCTCAAACAGGTCCTGGTAAAATGGCTTTTAAGAAAAATCTCTATAGAGCACCAAGCTAGACTTTCACAATTTCTGCTAGATTCCACCCATGCTAACTTCTTAGTAAACAAATTGTTTTGGCTTTTCTAATCTAGCCTTAGTTCCATTTGAAACATTTTTTTAACCACTGTCATTCTGTAACAACTAAAACTGGATGAAGATCATTATTTATTGATCAATAATTAAGAATTGTTTATCTGCTCCAAAGTAGTTCTCCCAACCACTATAAATAAATATTGTTTAATGTGTTGTCTTTGCTTATGTAAAGCTCTATATAGATGAGATGTCACAGTAGTCATTGTGGCCTCCAAGATAAGTGATTATATATGCAGAGGGCAGGCCTAGGATGAGAGCCAGCTGGATGTTCCAAGGAGGAGGTCCGCTGAACCTAGAAAAGACCATTTTTTTCCTCTCCGGGCTTATCCCCTTGATGAGGTAAGTAAGGCAGACATTGAGTTCAGTTCACTTCTGTGACTTGGTAGACCAGATTTTAGTTCTGTACATATTTGATCTTCATTTGAGAAAGCCATCTGCTCCCTGGAATCCTTAGCCAGTAGTCTATGACATTTCATTTTGCTGTATAGTATAAAGAAGACTACATAGGCTGGGCATGGTGGCTCACACCTGTAATCCCAGCACTTTGGGAGGCTGAGGCAAGAGGATCACTTGTGCCCGGGAGTTCAAGACCAGTCTGGACAACAAAGTAAGGCCCCATCTCTACCAAAAAATAGAAAAAAATAGCTGGATGTGGTTGCACATGCTTGTAGTGGGAGGAGGAGGTGGGAGGATGGATTGAGCCTGGGAGGTCAAGACTGCAGTGAGCTGTGATCAGGCCACTGCACTCCAGCCTGGGCAACAGAGTAAGACCCTATCTCAAAAAAATAAAAAGCAAGAAAACTACACAGCCATCGTCTTTCTCCTAATTCTTGATGTTCCCTAATCTCCTTCTCCTTCTCCCTGTATTGTTAAGAGAAAAGACATTATGTATAATCACCAAATAAACAACACATTTTCCACTGTCTATATGTAAATTATCTGCTCTATCATTTGCAGCAAGCTTTTCATCCCAAGTTAGTTTCCTTCCCCTGAGCTTATATTTCTCCAGCACTTCTAAACTGCCCCCAGCAATGTTGGTTGACCCATGCAAGTTAACTTTATAACAATTTAAACAAACTGAAGGTGCATCTGGCACAAATGTATAGCCCAGTGTTCTTTGCAGAGATGAATGGAACACTCCTGATTTTATTGTGGCCTGAATTGCACCACCCTTCCATCACTGCAGAGAATTAAGCATTGGTCAATTATAAAATATACTCTTACCTGAAGGAAGTTTTTCTTACTGTGAGCTTTTTCTTAGGAAATGGCATGAGGAAAATAATGGGGAGATCAGAAACACTGGTACCTAAAGGAGCTGCCATGCATTTCCAGACTAACACAGCCTTCTCATCGCCACAGGCTGCCACAGTCCTGCCTCTCAGTTCCCACTCACCTGGTCCTGATGAAGGCCAAGGTAGTGAGGTCCTTCGGAGACCATTTGACATAGATGTCATATGGCATTCAATTCTTGTATTTTTTCTGATAAAACCCTTGATTTTGAAGAAATGCCATCTGAATCCTTGACTTGCTTTTACTGCATAACAGAATAAAAATCTTGGGAGCTGGTTTTCCTCTTTGAGAAAATTCAGATCATCTTCCAGAGCAAATGTGCTTCTGACTTTTGCCTGCTAAGAGGGTGAGACTCCATTACCCTTAAGGTATCATAATGGGGTTTACAATCAGATCAATAATCATAAGTGCTCATTATGTGATTCCAATGGGGATGAGAATTGCCACCAAGAGCAAGTATTAGCTTAAAAGCATTTAATGAAAATTCTAGGGTTGAAGCATCATTTCCAATTTTGTGACTTCATCCCAAAGAAGAGAATTGCAAATGAGTTGGTATTCACCCTGGAGAAGCAAGAATACAGAATTGATTTTGTTCATTCTTTCATTTGAGTGCAGCATGCGCGTGTGTGTGTGTGTGTGTGTGTGTGTGTGTGGCGCTATAATTGTATTGTGTTCATATGCCCCTGCCAGTGGAAGGCATGTATACATTGTGTAGATTTACATTGTGTAGATTTATTCTTTGTATCCGTGGATGGTACACAACACACATTCCTGCAGGCTTAGGAAAACACAGAACTGATACTATGTGCTCTACTTTTGTTTTCTGTTTCTGAGGCATGTGTTTTGCTGAGCATATTCAACAGCGTGTTCACACAGTGCCTTCGAAGGTATCTGCAGTGTTTCCCAGGTGCAGATGAGTTTGAAAATAGCACTTTGTGAAGTATTCCCTTGGAGACTTGTGAAGGAGGTTGTTCGCAATTGCTCCTGTCAGCCTGTCTTAATCAGCTCAAGCTGACATTTTAAAAATATAATACCACAGAGTGGGGTGGCTGAAGCAGAAATTTATTTTTCACAGTTCTGGAGACTAGAAGTCAGAGGTCAGGTGCTGGAGGTTGGAAGTCAGGTTGGATTCTGGTGAGGGCTCCCTGGTGAGGGCTTGTGGACAGCTACCTTCTTGCCATGTCTTCATATGGTGGAGAGACAGAAAGCAAGCTCTCTGGTGTCTCTTCTTATAAGGGCACTAGTCCCTCATGATGGCCCCACCCTCATGACCTCATTTAAACCTAGTTACCTCCCAAAGCCCCAACCCCACATATCCTCACACTGGGAATTAGGCCTCAACCTGTGAATTTTGCAGGTTGGAGGGATACAATTCAGTCTATAGCATCTTTGTGAAGGTCCTCCATTCACTCATTTAGCAAATGTCTATTGGGAGCCCACTCTGCAGGGCAGAGGGGATTATGTTTGGGAAACAGCAATATAGACCCTGTCCCTGCCCTCACAGAGCTTAGGCCTTAATTTACAAAATATGGGCATATTTAAGTAGAAAACATTATGTGAGATATAAAAGAAGGTACCTATCTAGGTCATGGTAGGCTTCCCTGAGGAATTAATGTTAGAGCTGTGAATGGGTGTCAGCTAGGGGGAGGCGGAGGAGGGAACAGCAAGAACAGAGACCTCCACAGGGGCAGGAAGGATCTGAAACTGTAGCTGGAGCATCTGAGGGCCAGGACCTGTGTTTCCCACTTAGGTATCAGTGCACATGCTGTCTAGAACTTCCCTAAATGATGCTTTTTACCCCCAAAGGGGGCTTTTTTGCTGGACTTAGTCACTAGAAAGTGGATAGCAGGTATTTGCTCTTGGTGATCTGGTTGGCTAACCTCCAGGAAAAGGAGGACAGCTGGGCAGACTGGGGAGGCCAGAATGAGGAATGATCTCTGCATTCTTGCATCTCAGCACCACCCCACTCCAACCGCAGCGCCTGCCTAGGGACCATGTTTGCAATTTGTGAAACCTGTCTTTTTTTAAAATGAAAAAATATGTCCTCAAGATAGGACATCTCATCAGCAATCCCAGGAAATGGAAGTAAGTACAGTAAAATAAAATTGAAATCTATTAGCAAGCTCTGCTTCATGCACGATGACTTTTTTTTGGCAGATAGCCATTATTAAAGAAAACTTTTTGTCCATCCACTTTGCTTTAAATGCTTTCTAATCAAGTTTTCAGTCCTTCTTCTGTTTCTTGAGTTTTAGAACACACATTGTTTTCACTAAAGACATATGCTTACAATTTGCAATTTCGTGTCCTCCAAACTCTCTGGAATATGGTTAGCTACTGAAAGAACTTGCCCAAGACAATACGTACTATAACCATATGTGATGATCCCCTATTTAATGACTTGGAATTATTGTCACTATCTATTCCTTTCCCTGCATTCTTATCTTCTTTTTTTTTTTTTAAGTATTTTTCTTGTCCTCTTTTTAACAGTTGGCACACTCTTGCCCTTAAATACTATTTTATCACATTCTCTGAGTACCTCACATACAACCGGTCCTCAGAAAAGGAATGATGAGGCTGGGCACGGTGGCTCATACTTGTAATCCTAGTACTTTGAGAGGCTGAGGTGAGCAGATCACTTGAGTCCAGGAGTTCGAGACTAGCTTAGGCAACATGGTAAAACCCCATCTCTACAAAAAATACAAAAATTAGCTAGTGTGATGGTGTGTGCCTGTATTCCCAGCTACTTGGAGGGCTGAGGTGGTGGATCGCTAGAGCCCGGGAAGTTGAGGCTGCAGTGAGCTGTGATGGCACCACTGTACTCCAGCCTGGGTGACAGAGTGAGACCTTGTCAAAAAAAAAAAAAGGGAGGGAGGACTCAAAAAATGGTGCTTTCTGGCAATTTCTCATGTGCATTCTGGTGGGCTGCCTCTGGATTGACTTCCCACCTGCAGGGTTGGATTCCCTCCTGGGCCACCCAGTGGGGATTAGCGTCTCCTTGAGCCCCAGAAGAAGGACTGGACTTTCCTCATCTCTGAAACCTTGGCTTCTGACTCATAGTAGTTGCTCAATAAGTGTATTTTAAAGGATTAACATCAAAGTCCAACTTTTGCTTCTGTATGAAAAAGTCCATTTCCAGAAAAACAACAATGTTTCTAGTTGTAATTGTTCCAAAGGCACAGGGATTGGCGCTGGTCCTGGAAGCAGGGCAGCCCTCAGCAAAGTTCTTCAATGAGTACAGTGAGTTCGTAGTTCTCACAGCTCTCCACGTCCACTCCCCTGGTGTCCTGTCCCTGGTCCTCAGCCATTCAAGCCTTTCCCTTTGGCTCCCTGCTATGTCTGACCTCCAGGTAACATTCATGCTCCTGATGGTTTCCATCAAAGTGTGGGCTTCTGTCCCTCCTCCCCTCAGGCAGACCTTGCTATGGGCTTTCCAAGATGGTAGCAAACAAAGTAGAAGCCGAGTCATGGTCTGTCCCACACCCTCTCAAGCCCCAACCTCCGACCTCCCCCAGACTCTCCTTAACAAACACAGCATCGAGGTAAGGAAATGAACCTCTGTACTACCATCTCTGCCTGGAATTCGCCTCTGCTGCCAGTCGTTCCTTGCCCAGTGACTTCTCACTCATTCTTCAAGATGTAAATTAAAATTTAATGATTCCTCCTGCATGCCAGTGGCTACAGTTTGCTCCAATCCCTTGGCAGTGTGCATGCTGTTCCTCTTCAGCACACTTCCTGCATTATAGTGCACTTAGTACTTTATGTGACTATCTACCACATTAGACTATGAACCATGTCTTTTTCATCATCGTTTCCCTGACACTGAGCACAGTACCTGGCCTGGACTGTAGTTTATTCTTAATAAACATGCAAGGAAGAAAGACAGGGAAGGGAGATGTGGCTGGGGGCAGAAGAAGGAAAGGTTAAAAAAAAAATGGTAGCCTCCCATTTCTTATTTGTTTTAACATTGGCTGAGGTGCAATGTTATGTCTGAATGCAAGAGGGGTTGAGACTAAAGGGAGAAGAGAGAATGTGGGCGTGAGGCAGTTTTGGCCTCATCGGGTTAAAATTTAGGATTAGAGAGTTTGAAGACTTCCTTCAGGTCTTTGGGGAGACCATTTCCTCCAGCTCTATGGAATACAGGGAATGTTGAGAACTTAGTGACACTGACATGCTCACTTTGTTCCTGACTGGACTGGAACTGGTGTGAATTTTTTTCAAGCAATTTCTAGTCTGTGATCAAAGCCCAGTGAACACAGAGCATTCCATGAATCTTAAAGGAATGGCGAGTTAAAAAGGACCAAAGTGCTGTGTGGTCTGTGCCGATGCCACTTTCCAGAGCAGTGATCGCCCTGTCTCTTGTCACAAGCAGCATCAACCCTGGCCGGGTCCTTACCCACAGCATCCCTGACACAGCCGGCAGCAGCCTGCTGGGAGGATTCCCTTCCACACAGTGATGACATTCAGCTAAGCCACAGTTTCCTTGACCCAGGAGGAAACCCGTGTGGTTGGGGGTTAGGGGCATGGATGAGCAAGCGCAGATTTTTTCCCATTGCCCAATGGCTTTAAATTGCAACCTCTCTTTTAATTTTCCATTATGCATCAAACACATCTGTGCCAGAACTGGACAAATGTATTCTGTCTGGGAGGATAATCCCAGACAGCTATAAATTAGAGTTTGTGTACAGAGATTCCAAAAATGTGGCCTCGTGGTGGGGTGTCCCTGGGACCAGTCACCTCCTCCACAGTCTGCTCGGTGGCTGCTGGCTTTGGCCTGATGCCTCTGTCAATAGGTCTTGCTTTGTATTTGGAAACTCTGTCTTTCCATTGAGTCGCCACAGAGATGAGGGCGTGCAGGGTTGCCTGTGAGGCTTTGCTGGGCAGACTTGTCCCAGGCAGCCTCCAGATGCTTCTAGGAGGAACCTAGGTGATTGACCAAGGGCATTGCTCTCTTTCCTACACAGGAACAGCAAGGACCTCAAAGCTGGTGTCCTCCCAAGTTAAAGCATGGCCCAAGAAGACTCTCCCCACTTTTTCTGGATTGCACATAGAAACTACCGTGTAACACTTTAAAAATGTATTTTTAAAGTTACAAGAGAAATACATGCTTAATGCAGAGAACTTAGAAAATATACTGAGAAGGAAAAAAGTCACCTGGAATCCTGTCCTTCATAAATAATGTTTTAGCAAAACTCCTTTCAATATGTTTCCATGACATGCCACCCTTTTTTTAAATGCAGACGTCTTTCAGAAGCTGATTGATCCCGGGTCCTTTAGCTGCCCCTCACATTATCCAATTAGTGCTTTCCTCTAAGTACTGGAAACTTTTAGTTACTCCACAAGGGAGAGTCCAGCTGGTAGAATTCTGCCCCTCTGACTCCTCCTCACTGAGGTCGCACCTCTTTTCTGAAGAAGCTGGCCACAAAGGGGATTGGCCTTGGGAGATAGAAGGAGAAGAGGGATAAAGTCCTCATAGAAATCCAGCCAGATCGTCCAGAAGGCTAGTTCCGGGTCCTTTATAAGCTGCCTGGCAAGACAGAAGTCCCCTGTATAAAAAGGACTATGCTGTCTCTGGTGCGATTTTTCCTTTTAGACCTCTGCTTCTCTGATTTCCATCCTCCATGCTCCTGTTCCCAGCGTCTGTGTGTGCTCTGCTCTGTTTGGGCAGGGGAAGCCTCTAAATTGTTCATTTAGTGGTAGACTAGGGCAGCCCAACAGCAACTGGATGGGCTAGCAGAATTAGGAGGCTATTTTTATATCTCTGCTTACTTTCCCATGGTGCCCTGGGCCCAGAAGGTGTCCAGTAAATATCTGTTGATGGATTGATACAGTGAAATTCGAGAGTGGTGTTTGTGGAGAGAAAACACCGTGGCTAGAGCCTGCTGGCACGCAGCAATGACAGTCCTGAGATGGCAGAAAGGGCTTCCAACTTCCAAGCTGAGCCTCACAAAAGCCTTCAGAGTAGGGAAGGAAAGGAAGCCGGGTGATGACTCTACCAGCCGCCAGCCTGCCTAGCCACTGCCTGTGCCAGCCACTCAGCCTCTCCATGAGCCACACAGCACACAGACCACGCTTTTTCAGAAAATTATTTTTTCCTTTCTCACTTTCCATGGAAACTCAAAATAGCAACCAAAAAAAAAAAAGACTAGGCTATCTCCCTACCAGCAAAACCATCCCCAGTCAGGGCAGTGACCATATAGGATGGTGGAGAGGGTTACAAATGCCCCTAAAACCGCTTTCTATTTGGGGACTGTGCACTCACGAGGTGTGGGTGGGTTCTGAGGTTGAGGTTGCTGTATTTTCTTCCCATTCAGAAAAGTGGGTTTCCCCCAGGTCTTGGAGTTCATCGTGCTCTTGGTGACCTGGCAGCTGAGACATAGTCACCTCTCGTTGTGGTGTGGGTGAAGAGATCCAACATGCCCAGCAAGGGACAAAAAGGCAGGGGCAGATGCCTTCCAGAGGGAATGTTATTGGAACATTGCTTTTGAGACACCTCCCTGGCTGTGCTGTGTGTGCCCCATAACCACAGGGCAGCCTGGCATCATGGAAAAACCCTGCTTTCAGAATCAGAAAAACCCAGTCCAATGTCACATCAGGGGCCTGAGGGGCTTCGTGCACATCACTTCACCTCTCTGAGCCTTCATTTTCTCCCCTATAAAATGGGAAGGTGGTCTAAGTGATTTCCAAAGGGGTGACCTTGTCAGCATCCTGTGCCTAGAGCCTGCTCTCGGATCTGTGCATGCTCTTTCCCCTTCCACTGTAAACACAGTGTCGTTTGCCTTCCAGCTGGCTGGATCGGCCGTCATTGCTTTTGGACTATGGTTTCGGTTCGGAGGTGCCATAAAGGAGTTATCATCAGAGGACAAGTCCCCAGAGTATTTCTATGTGGGTGAGTGACTCCAGCTTCCTAAGCTCCAGCTCAGAGTAGATGGGGCTGTGCAAAGACTTAGAGCAGAAGCTGCACTTGAACTTTGGTGGGAGGGGGAGGGCAGAGAGGCAGGGAAAGACGCTGAAAGGAGCCACCTCTGAGCCCCTGTGCACTGGTGTAGCCCTCCGAGTTGTCTGCTGGAGACAGGTAGAGAGGCTGTGGTGACCCCTTCCCCTTGCCCTCACACGGTCTGTTCCTCCGCTCTCCAAAATCAAGGGAGTCTGGGGCTGGTAAGAGCAGCCTGTTGTGCTTTGTTTCAAGGAAAGAAGTCTCAAGGAAATGCAGCTAAAATTTATTTCAAAGAATGAGAAAACTCCCTATTGCCCCTGGAGTAAAGTGGGTACACCACAAGTGTGTCATTCACTAGTCTATATGGGGTGACACGGGACCCCTGTAGGATTTTATTTTGTGATCTTATATTTTAAATTGTCTAGGAAAAAACATAACTCAAAATACAGGTTTGAAGGTGCTAATCTCAGTCTCTCCATGACTAGGGACTGCAGAGTGGAGGGGAGGAGAGAGAAGAATGAGGGAGAGGAGGGATGGAGGGAGAGGAGATGAGAGGGACTCCCCTGGGAAGAGGTTCCAGCAGGAAGGGGCAATAGCTCTGACCCCACCTCTGTAGGAAGGGGTGAGGAGTGTGGGGTGGGGTGCAGCCTCCACCCGCAAGGCAGTGTTCTTAGTAGGGGCTGAGCATTGTTGCCCTGGGATTAGTTGACCTAATTCTAGCATTTCCTGTGACCTTTCCTCATTCCCCAGCTAAGTGGACTAAGACTCTAGATTTCAAAAAGCCCAAGACAATTGTCATTAAAGGTGGCACCCCCATATACTGGCTGTTTTAGGATCTGCACCAGCCATAGAGTAAGCTTCAGTTGCTGTGGTGACCTCTATGGCAGGGAGGAAGAGCATCCTGCACAGGTCATTTGCTCTAAATCACAAGAAGAGTAGAGTCTCTTCCATGAGAGAGAGAGCGCAGGCCCCACTCAGAGCAGGGACATCCTCCCGAAGGGCCAGCCTGCAGCTGTGCTACCTCTTATTACAAACACTCTTCCCACACAGCATCCTCCTGCGAGGAAAAGAGCTGTGTCAGTTAGGATACTTTTAGAGGAGAGTAGCAGAAAACCTACTAAAGATGGATAACAATAAGGACATTCCACATTTCAGGAAATCTTAGATGTGGCTCTTTGTAAAACACTCAATTATTTTAGGTTCCATTAAGAAAGGAAAAAATGCTACCAGTTTAGCTTAGCTATGACATACCATAAAAGATGCATTCTAATTTCAGCATTGTTAAAATATACCAAAAAATAAATCATCTCAACAGTGATGAAATATAGTAAAAGAAGTCTGGAGATGGGGACTTTCCAGAATTCGTTCAGAGCTGAACAAAGTCATCAAAGGCCCAGGTTCTTTCCCCCTCTCTGCTGTCTTCAGTGTCCTTAGACATCTCCCCTTAAAAGATAGCTGCAGTGGCTCCAGGCATCGTATTCTCGTACAGCAACATCCAAAAGAGAACAAAGCAAATTTCGCTTCATAGGGTCCCTTTTTTGAATGAGTAAAACCTTTTTCAGAATCTCCCAACACATTTCCCCTTGCAGCTTATTAGTCAAAATTGCATTCTGTATTCATGCCTAAACCAATCATGGCCAAGAAGCGAATTACTATGATTGGATCTCTGACTAATTGATATTCACACCCTCACACCCTCCCCTGGGCCTGGGGAGGGGCCTGGGCTCCCCATAGGACCTGTGACACTTGGACAAGATTGGGATTTTGTGACAAGGAAAAAGCAGAGGAATCTGCCGTAGACATAAAACTGAAATGCTCCTTTCTACCCACATGGTTTCCAGGAAGTATGCACAGGGCAAGGACATTTGAGACAAAAAAATATAACCTATCAGTATAACCTAAATATAATCCATTGGCCAGCATTCACAGTCCTGGGCTCTGCTGTCACACAAAAATGTATAAGAATTCTGTAACCGCCCCCATGTAACTTGTAATATAAATGAAAAGACTCATAGACTTCACAATTTAAATTACAATAAAAATTAGTATGTGACTAAATGCCAGCTAAGTGGTATTTGCAGTGGGTGCATTAGAGGTCATTCTAAACTGGTAAGGAAAGAAGGATTTAAGTTAGGTTTTAAAGACCAGGCTGTAATCAATGGAGAAGAGGAAAAATGGGGACTAGAAAGGCTGAGGGGAAGGCATGCACAAAGAATGGCTGTGGGGAGGGATTAGCAAGCTGGGAGGGGCTGGGGGCTCTGTTGGGGTCTGAGGACTAGGGCATGGTGGGCAGTAGGATTTGGAATGTTGGGGAGGGAAAGGGGACAAGTATAGAGGCCTTTGAATGTCAGGGTTAAGTTGGTAAACAGTAGAAGAATGATTTGGGGCCGGGGGTAGGGTATGATCTGCACTGTACTTTAAAGAGATTATTATGGCAGAAGTAGAATGAAAGGGGAATCCCAGGACAGAAAAAAAAAAAAAAGCAGATTATTGATATAATCAGGCCGGACAAATTAGGGTATAACCCACAGTGATTGCAGAAGGAATTAAGAAGAAAGAAACAGAAAGATAAGAAACATTATTAAACATTTTTAAGCCTGCCTAATCAAACTCAGGGACAGAAGAAATCAAAATGGCAAAAGAGGTAGTGAGAGGCAGAGTCAAGCCTCTCAGTAATAATTCATGACTTTCTGATGGAAACCTGAGTTACAGGTCTAAGTAAGGGGCCCCCGCTCCATCAGAGGGAGGGGCCGTTGCGTGGCGCTACAGATGGAAGACCTCCCCGGGAGCAACCTCAGTCTGTGTTTCTCCAGAAACAAAGGGCTGATAACCATTTCACAGCTCTAGATGTCAGTTCCACATAAAAACCTTTATGATTAGATACATCAAAAGGTTGAATAGACTTCCATAGATGAAAGTGAGCTCTCCTTCATGTCATATTTAACCACTATCGTGGCAAGAATCAGAATTGTGTGTTTCATTCAGGAGATTCCTGTGTTGAGCCAGAGGCTGAACTGGCTCTACACCCACATTCCTGATTTTGTTTCTAATCTAAACCAAACAATACACACACTGCCTGAGATATGAGGAATTCTTCATTATGTCATATCTTTATGGACATGTCTATCAGGACTCTTCGTATTGCAAATCACAGACACCTACTCAAATTGACTAAAGCAACACAGACCTTTATTGACTTACATACTTGAAAGGTCAAGGGTTAATACTGGTCTCAGGGACTCAGATGATGTGACCAGAGTCCAGTCTGGAGCCATCTCTTGGCCCTGCTTTCCTTTGGCTCCATTCTTAAGCAGGTTTCTTCTCCATGTGATAAAACGGCCGTCAGTGGCTCTAGGCTCCACTTCCAGAGTGACTCCAGAAGTAGAACATGCTTTTTTCATTCCAACAGATGCATGTAATGCCCCAGGCCTAACTCTCGTTGGCAGTATTGGACCTCGTGCCCATCCTCGAACTTGTCATTGTGGACAGCTGCTTGTGGGCATATGCCTGGGCTTCATGCCCACCGTGGAGCTGGAGGTGAGTCAGCCCTCTCAAACCACATGGGCTGAGAATGGAGGAGTTCCCTTTACCTAATAGAGAAAAAGAAGTGGATTCTGGGCAGGGAAAACAGCAGGCCACAGCAGGGCCTGAATCCTCCTGCTTGCTCTTGGTGTCACAGGGCATGATATGGGTTTACCCACCTTTCGTTCCTCGTCCACCCCATCTCCCTTTCCTAAGGCAGCCCAGAGTGGTTGGTGGTAAAGGCACTCACGATCCATGCTCAAAGTTCAGAGAAGTGGGTCATCATAGAAACTTAGCACCACGCAGAATAAGGAAACTACAGGCTGTGGATAAACACCTGGGGCTGGCAGTCAGCCAGGGCTTCCCAGCTCCTCCTGGTGGGGCTTGGCCTGGAACCCAGGTTTGCTGACAGCCAGGTCCGTGCTTGCCCTGTCTCCCGGTGCTGCCTCTCTGGATAGTGGCAACAAGAAGTCCTTGTGAAGTCAGGTACCTTTTTTCCCTTTCAAGTATGTCTTATAATATAAATAGAAAGACAATAGACATGTTTGTAGAAATTGACATTTTTTCCTCAGTAAATAATTTTCCACATAAGATACCTGCTCTCCAGCAACAAAACAAGAAGAAAAATACACTAGGATGCTGTTTATGGATTTGCACAACATACAGTATGAGGTGATAGCACTTTAGGAAACAAACAGGCCCAGTGTTTGGAAAATCTCACTCCACTGTCACAGGGCACCATTCACTGATCTGGGTATTTCCTTTTCAGAATAGGTTCCAGATAAATCAGCCCATTAAACTCTTATCACCCCTTTGTTAAAGAGTGTCCTAAACAGGCATGGCACATTCAAATGGTTCTTAAAGAAATAAGCCCTTCCAGCCTTGACTCTCCTCTCTGAGAGGAACCCCAGGAAGACACACTTGTCTAGGTCCCTGCTTCGGGGTAGATGACTGCCAGACTTTGTAAGGGAAATTGTCCCATCTTCTGGGGGAAGCTTTCCTTTCTGGCATCCTTGGTTCTCTTTCCTTGGGGATGGAGCGAGTTTCCCTTCCTGTGATAAAGATCAGACATAACCTCCAAGCCAGAGGTGTGGTCAATCCCAGGGCAGGGCAGGAGGATCCAGCTGTGGGAAATGAGGACAGGGCGAGAGGATAGTCAGACTGACTGCCACCTGTGTCTCTTCTCAGGGCCCTCTGCATCCAGGCCAAGGCCTGGAGGCCCTTCCAAAGTCTCTGTGTCCACTGGTTGCTAAGGGTAGAAGAGAGGACCTGGCAGGAGTGACGCTGGCAGAGGAGGGCTTGGGTTGCTCCGTGTTGCCTAGACCTTGTCCACGCTAGTCTCTTTCAGGGCACTCTTGGGAGAAGCCCCCGTGTCTTCCAAATTCCAGCAACCTGCCCATCTGACTTCCTGTTACAGTCCCTCTCTGGAGTGGGCAGACACCCCAGGGGTCTTCTTTCTAGAGTTACAGAGTAGGGAGCGAGCCCCTCAGCCCTTGGAAAACTGGAGAGACTGTGTGCTTGGTGCATGAAGTCATGTCTGTGAGCAGAGGATATTAACAGGTTTTCTCCAAGAAGGGGTTGCCCACACACGCAGGAGCCACTCGGCTCTCCAGGATCGCAGCCTGACTGCAGCTGTCTCTCCCTGTGGAACTCAGAGTCTCCAAGCCTGGCTCTGATTGTGGCTGGATGTTATGTATAAGGAAAGCATTCCAGTGCCGAACACCAAGGGGGTGGCTTGGCTTGTTAAAAACTCTGACTCACGCTGGTCATATTTTTTTACTTGGTTTTCACTTGTACCTGACATCCATGGTAGCTGTATACCAGAGAGGTGTTGTAGCTTACATTGTTGAGACAATTTCTCCAGAGCATTTTTATAAGAAGTTGGAATAGACAATCATTTCCATATTGCAGCTAACGAAACTGAAGGGTAGGAAGACTTACCTCAAGCCATAGTTGGCAGGCCTGGATTTCTGGCTCCCAGCCCTGTACTTTCAGAGGAAAAACCAGGAATCATCAATTCTAGACATCTCAAGTACTTTTCTCAAGGGAGAAGAAAAATAACTCTACTGCCATTTATAAATTGCAAAATGAACCAATTTCTAGCTAAGAGCATTGTTGTTCTTCACAGTTACTGCTAAAACGAAAGCATAGGGGTTCAGGGACTGCACTTTGGAGTAGGCTCCCCTAGGTTCAGTTCCAATTTTTCCCCTCACAAGCTATGCAATCTTACATAAATTATTTAATTTCTTGGTGTCTCAGATTCTTCAGCTGTGAAATATGAACATATTTAAGCATAGTATCTGTTCTGTGGTGAGCCCTCAGTAAATATTGGCTATTGTTATTACAGATCGAGCATCCCTAATCTGAAAATCCAAAATCCAAAATTCCCCCACATCCAAAACCTTTTGAGCACTATCCTGACTCTCAAAGGAAATGCTCATTGGATAATTTCAGATTTGGGATTTTCGGATTAGGAATGCTCAACCAGTGTAATGCAAACATTCCAAAATGTGAAAACATCCTAAATCTGAAACACTTGCCCTTCCCAAAAACTAAGTTGCATTCAATATTCTAGATATTTGCATTATTATATGCATTCAGGGGATACTGAAGGGACATAAATGTAGGGACATAAAAAAATTTCAAATAAAAAAATGGTCATTAGCAGATTATGTAAAACCATCTGCTGCTAGAAAGCCATTAAAATTGATGACCACGTCCAGTCCCTAAAAGGGGGGAACCACATTTTTAAGTGAGTTTATCCCAGTAGGCCGTTAGGAGGTTCTCTCTCATTTTTATGTTAACTAAAATGATGTTTCTAGCTTAAAAGAAGACTCTGAAACCTAAGAAAAGAGTGATGGAATTGCCTGGGAACATGTTCCATATCTTACCCCAGCTAGAATGACTATTATCAAAGGGAGAAAGAATAGCAAATGCTGGCAAGGATCTGGAGAAAGGGGAAGCCTCGTACACTATTGGTGGGAATATAAAGTAGTACAGCCACTATGGAGAACAGTATGGCAGTTCCTCAAAAAATAAATATAGAGCTATCATCCAGCATTCCCACTGCTGGGTATATATCCAAAAGAAAGGAAATCAGTAAATCAAAGAGACATCTGCACTCCCATGTTTATTGCAGCACTTTTCATAATAGCCAACATATGGAGTCAACCTAAGTGTCCATCAGCAGATGGATGGATGAAGAAAATGTGGTACATATACACAATGGAATATTACTCAGCCATAAAAAGAAAGAAATCCTGTCATTTGTAGCAGCATGGATGGAACTAGAGGCCATTGTGTTAAGTGAAACAAGCCAAGCACAGGAAGAGCAGATATCACATGATCTCACTCATGTGGGAACTGAATAAGTGGATCTCATGGAGGCCGAGGGTAGACTGATGGTTACTGGAGGCCGCAGAGTGTAGGGGGTTGGGGAGATAAAGAGAAGCTGCTTAATGGGTACAAAAATACAGTTAAATAGAAGGAAGAAATTCTTGTATTCTATAGAACAGTAGGAAAATTATATTTAGCAATAATTTTTATATATTTCAAAGTAGCTAGGTGAGAAGAATTGTAACTTCCCAACACAAAGATAAATGTTTGAGGTGATGGATATCTCAGTGACACTGATTTGATCCTTACACATTGTATACATGCATTGAAATAGCATATGTACCCCCAAAATGTGTACAACTATTATGTATCAGTAAGATATTAATAAATAATTTTAAATACTTTTTAAATTTTTAAAAATGAAGGTGTCCCAGGGAAAGTACTTGTGGTAGCATGTCACAGAGATCACTGGCATCCCAAAGGCCAGCTATTCATGATGAAAATGTAATTTCAAAATGTTTTCTATTTTTCAAATCAAAGGCAATAGGACTCGGAAAGCATGAGGGCTTTGGGAAGTAGGTCGTATGTTTGTCACACCTGCTCCTGTGGGAAGGAGAAGGCTCTACAGTAACCATCTTGGAATTTAAAATGTGGCTGTAAATTAATTATTACATTCAGCAGCTATTTTTTGAGGGTCAGACCATAAGAAGGATAAAGTATCCTTGGAAGCCACAGGTGGCCTTATGGCATGCGGAGTATTAGAGCCAGATTTGGAACTGGATCCGGCACGCCCAGGGAACCTTTCCTCTTGTAGAATTTCTTCTGCTTTTCCCTTCAGCTTCAGCAAGCAATGTTCATTTGGAGCTGGGCTGAGTCACGGGCCCACACATACAAAACAGAGGCTGGCTGAGAAGTGGCCTCAAAGTTGAAGCTGCTAGGGCAGCTTCAGGTTGTTTTTGCCGTGAGCTCTGGGATTCTGATAGCCTAAGAATGAAATATTGTTCAAAAAAGCACACTTTCCTGAAAAGCTCATTATTTCAGAAGGATAAGGATTGTTGCCTGAGGGAGCAGACAGTTTCATTTACAGTGGGGAACAACTCTGGCCTCCTCAAACCTCTGTGCCCCTGTCCAGTGAGCCTCCTGCCTCCTCACGAGCCTCCCTCTTTCACATATTCCAGGGTGTCTCGGGGTGCGAAGCAACCATCCTCATGTGCTTGGCTTTGGAGAGCACAGCTATGTAGTTGCTTTGTGGATGTTTGCTGAGACCTGTTTCCAGCATATATCTCTAAGCAAAGATGGGTGATGACAGCCAGCAAGCCTGGAACTGATTTGATTTTCTCTGTCTTATCTACTAATCCAATGCACACTGACTAAGAATTCTGCCTTGTGCAGGGCATGTTCTAGAGAGGATGAATAAGGTTTGTCAACTTGAAATCTATAATGAGAGACTAATATGAGAACCTGCAAAAGCACAAAATGGAAAAGAGCAGGACACAGCCAGATCATGGTGAATTCCCAGGTGGCTGGAGCATAGGATGGATAAAGATTTTGGGGGAAACTGTTCTGTAGGCTGTGACTTCATGATAGATCTGCAAACGGCATCATGTAGCAATTGTGGCAGTAGCAATGAGAGGCAATGGGCATGTTCTGCAGCAAGGGGGTCCACCAGGAGACATTCCATGAAGGAACTGAATATGGTGTTGTTGCTGCCGCCCTGCATTCAGCTCGCTTCTGTGGGGTGGTCAAATAGAAGTGTGGGATGGGAATTGGGGCTGCAGGCCAGGGCATCCTGCCTACAGCCATCTTGACTCTCAGACCTCCATTTGTAAAACAGAAATAATAGTCCTTGCTTACCTAACCACGTTGTTTTGAGAAGCCAATAAGATGATGGAAGTGAGAGCTTTGAAAACATTGCAACACAGTGAATGACTTTTTTTTTTCTTTTTCAACTTTCATTTTAGAATCAGGGGGTACATGGGCAGGTTTGTTACAAAGGTACATTGAGTGATGCCGAGATTGGGGGTATGACTGAACCTGTCACTGAGGTAATGAATATAGTATCCAATAGTTAGTTTTTCAACACCTGTGCCCCTCTAGTAGTCCCCAGTATCTATCATTCCCATCTTTATGTCCATGTGTACCCAATATTTAGCTCCTACTTATAAGTGAGAACATGCGGTATTTGATGTTCTGTTCCTGTGATAGTTTGCTTAGGATAATGGCCTCCAGCTGCATTCATGTTGCTGCAAAGGGCATGATTTTGTTCTTTTTTATGGCTGCATAGTATTCCATGGTGTATATGTACCACATTTTCTTTATCCTATCTACCATTGATGGGCACCTGGGTTGATTCCATACCTTTGCCGTTGTGAATAGTGCTGCAGTGAACATGTACCCTTTTGACAGAATGACTTATTTTCCTTTAGGTATTTACCCAGCAATGGGATTGCCGGGTCGAGTGGTAGTTCAACTCAGTTGTTTGAGTCATCTCCAAACTGCCTTCTGCAGTGGCTGTACTGATTTACATTCGCAACATTGTATAAAGTGTCCCCTTTACTCCCAGCCTTGCCAACATCTGTTATTTTTGACTTTTTAACAAAAGCCATTCTGACTGGTATGAGATGGTATCTCATTGTGGTTTTGATTTGCATTTCTCTGATGATTAGAGATGACGAGCATTATTTCATGTTTGTTGCTCGCTTGCATGTCTTCTTTGGAGAATTGTCTGTTTATGTCTTTTGCCCACTTTTTAATGGAGTTATTTGCCTTTTGCTTGTTGATTTGTTTAAGTTCCTTACAGATTCTGGATATTAGACCTTTGGTGAAAGACATTTTTAAAACAATAAAGTGTTGAGGTAGTGGGGCCAACAACACTATTATTTTTAATATGATATCATTTCTCACATTACCACATCCATTCCCTCATGAAATTATTCTTTTAGAGAAAAGGGAAAGGGAGGAGGTGGTAGAGCTAGAACAGCAGGAAATAAATACCCACCTCAGGACTGCAGAGCAGCAAGGCCTCAGGGCCCTGAAAAGAACGCTGAGGCCAGGTCCGGGTGGGGCAGGAAGCAGAGCAGCCTCGCCTGTGGCTCCTACTAGGTCTGTAAACTGCCAGATCTGCCCGCAAACCACCATCAGCAACCCAGAGGCGCCCCAGGAAGCACCCTGAATGCCAGGCCCAGGGGTTCCCCACAGAGGCGGGGCACCAGCCCCCACCCTCCCTATTAATGGGAGTGGTTTCCAGGTGACTCATATGAGTAAAATGCAAAAAATGAAATAGAGACCATTAACATGATTCCAAGTAAGACAAGTGCCAAGTCCCATATTGTATTCTAACTTATCTCAGGATCAGAGAAGGAAATACAAAAAGGCTTGGCTTTAGTTCTCTCAGAACCAGAGCATTTCTGTCCTTTTCTTTCTCTGTAAGAACTGTACGTGGGGCTTGCCTAAGCAGTAAGTGAAATCCCCACCTGAATGATGGCTGCCTCCATCACTAGAGATGCAAGACAGAGTCGGAGTGTTGGGCAGGCTTTTGAGGCTCATGGCTATTTTTCTCCCGGCTCTGCCAAACACCAGCTCTATGACCTTAAGCAAATCGCTTTACCTTTTGGGGCCCAGTTCCTCCGTGTCAAACATGGCAGTAAGAATAGCACCTCCTTTTGGTACTATTAGAATGCTCTGCAGTGCCCAGAGTCTTAAGCCTAGTTGGTCGTGGAGGCACTCGGTTGGCTCTCAGTGGTCTCCTCTGACCTCTTCCCCACAGGGCTGTATGTTCTGGTTGGAGCCGGGGCCCTGATGATGGCCGTGGGGTTCTTCGGGTGCTGCGGAGCCATGCGGGAGTCGCAATGTGTGCTTGGATCAGTAAGTGGGGCGAGGGGGTAAATGGTGGGGTGGGGGTGAGGGAGCGGCCTGCATCTGAAGGGAGTCAGTGCCTCTGGCCCCTGGCTCCAGCTCCTCCGTGGACTCTCTGAGCCCTTGGCATGCACTTTTCCTCCCTCAGTCTTGGTTTCTCCATCTCTTATATATGAATAATACTAACTAGGGCCGGGTGCCATGACTCACGCCTGTAATCCCAGCACTTTGGGAGGCTGAGGCAGGAGGATCTCTGGAGCCCAGGAGTTTAAGACTAGCTTGGGCAACACAGGGAGACCTAGTCTCTACCGGGTGTGATGGCACACACCTGTGGTCCCAGCTACTCAGGAGGCTGAGGCAGGAGGATCACTTAAGACCAGGAGTTGGGAGGCTGCAGTGAGCCATGACTGTACCACTGCACTCCAACCTGGGCGACAGAGCAAAACCTTGTCTTGAAAAAAGAAAAAAGAAAAAAAATATTATCTTTGTTCCTGCCTTATATGGGAAGTGTGAAAAGAAATGACGTCATTGGTGTAAAGATGTTTTGGGAGTAAAAGTACTTAGTAATTGTAAGGGGTGACTATGATTGTTCTTTAAAAAAAAATATTTCACAGTGGGTGAGGCAGCTAAAAGGTTTCTATAGCCAGGGAAGTGCTGTTATCTACAAGGAAAACATTTATGTTTGAGATCAATAACTTAACCAAAATCCCTCTTGTGGCTTATTTTAACAAGCAACCTCTGTTTAAAACAAAAATCAAATAATTTCAATTAACTGCTATACATTCTATGTCAGTGTAGCCTGAGAGAAACAGAAAGGAAGAAGAGGGGCAGGAGGAGAGAAAGTGTTGATATTTCTCCACAGGGAGTCAGAAACAGCAGTTTTAATAGGCAGCCTCTCATCTCTCATTACTTATTGTGATATTTGGATTTTTAACTCTGGCCGTAGCCTCTGATCTCTTGCTATGTGAAATGTCTGACTTATTTCTTTGCCATTCATTCCTTCTCTTTCTCCTACTGTTGAGCACATTTCTGTCTTGTTTATCACTGAACTTAGTTTGATCAGAGCAAATCCATAGACCAGAACAGAAATCCATCCAGAAGGACACCCCTCACCTCATCTCCTCAAAGAAGCCTTTCCAGACCACAGAATCTCCAGTCACCCCCTTCCCCATGCCCAGGCCGCATCAGTGATGCTCCCTCTCCTGACCTTATTTTATATCTTTCTAGGTCTTTTGTGTTCGTCAAGTATTTACTAAGCACGTAGGTGCCAGGTGGTGTTCTAGGTGGTGGGATTTTTACATCACTACCTGAACTTATCTTATTCACTTTTTAACTTCTTTACACAGTTATCGTATATTCCTCTGTCCAATCCAAGGTCCGTGATAACAGAGACATTTGGATATTATCTTGTTCACCACTGAATAGTCAGCACCAAGGACAGTACCTGGTGCAGAATAAATGCCTAATAAACAATTGCTGAATGAATGAATGAATGAATGAACCACATGAAAGCGATTCAGCCATTACATAAGGAAACTAAGGTGCAAAATATATAAATTGAAAAGGTATTAAATTAATGAAATTAGTATTTTCTCTCCTCTACAGTTTTTTACCTGCCTCCTGGTGATATTTGCTGCTGAAGTAACCACTGGAGTATTTGCTTTTATAGGCAAGGGGGTAGTAAGTAAAATTACTTATAATGTTTTTCTATGATGGTTAAAAGTGTTAGAATATTGATACCCACAATAGTGTTAAGAAACCAAATAATCCCCATTATTATAGTTTAAACAGAACTTTTTAACTTAGAAGTGGTGTGCAGAACTGAGCATATATGTATATGAGTGTGCAGGCATATATACATGCTCACATTTTTCTGGGGAGATAGTTCATCTCTTCCATTAGACTTATGAAGTGGTCTATAATAAAACCAAAAAAAAAAGGATCTCTAATTTAAGATTCTTCCCCATTGTGAAATGGGGTAACAGTTAGAGTACAGACTTGAGAAAGAATCTAGATTCTCATCCCCTGTCAGACTGCCATTTGTCCTTAAGGATTGGCCTGGATGGGTCCATTTCATTCTCAAAGAGCAGAGCCTACACTGCTGTGGGCTAGTGAAGCCAGTTTATATTTGCTGCCCAACTCTAGGTGTCCAGAATAGGTTATCGGGGGGACACACAGAGGAAGTAGCCTTTCTTCCTCTGTAAAACACACTGTGGGATAGAAGAGAATGGAATGGAAAAGGAGGAAGAATGGAAACTTAAGTTTGGTGTATTTCACATTAACTCTTGTGTCATTAATATTATGTTTCTGAACTTATTTTAGACTATAAAACAGTAAACATGTAGAATAGTAAATGTCACCTCCTTTTGAATTTTTCTAAAGTAACTGGCTGTGTTCATAGGTTAGTTTAAATTCAGCTACATACAGAAGTAGAATGGAATCTTAGGACCTGTTGAGATATCTGTGGATTTGAAATCACAAGCTTTTATACTAGAAAAAGCATTCTCTAAGCTTTATATGATATCTGAATGTAGAAAGTTTTCCTTGGTGATGAATACCTTTTAAACCACGTCATAAAAAGATTTGAATGCTTTTAACCAATGGGGTAACAGGAATGTATAAGTCCGGATCCTAGCTATGCATCCAAATCATCTGGATGGAGCCCAGGAATCTGGGGCCCAGTTGATGCTGAAGCCCAGTTGGGCTTGGGAACTGTCAGAAATCTTTCTAGTCCATGAAAACTGTTCTGGTTAGTCTGTCCTTCCATCCTCAAAAGCATCTTAGAAACTCCAGAAACTATAATCTTCTCCATATGTTGCTGAATTATCCTAAAATACCTATGGAAAGGCAGTATTTTTTTTTATTTCTACAGGTTTTGTGGGGAACAGGTGGTGTTTGGTTACATGAGTAAGTTCTCTAGTGGGGATTTCTGAGATTTTGGTGCACCCATCACCCGAGCAGTGTACACTGTACCCAATGTGCAGTCTTTTATCCCTCACCTCACTCCTACCCTTTCCCCTGAGTCCCCAAAGTCCATTGTATCATTCTTATGAGAAAGGCAGTGTTTTTCAAAGGTGTGGAAGAGGAGATTTTCCTTGATGAAAGGAGAATGTTTGAAACTTCCCACCCAGAAGTCCTTCATTTTTCCTTGTATTTCTTCAGGCTATCCGACATGTTCAGACCATGTATGAAGAGGCTTACAATGATTACCTTAAAGACAGGGGAAAAGGCAATGGGACACTCATCACCTTCCACTCAACAGTGAGTAACTTCACTTCTTCCTTAAAATCACAGCTTCTAAAGATTATGTGTGAGCCAGGTTCTCACCAATCACCAGGATTAAAAATAAAAATAAATTCAGTAAAGCCAAGTAGCACCACCTATTTTAGCCCTTTTGAGGGCCACAGTTTGCATTATGTGTGGAACCCTAGAAGGGAAAGATGTCTATCACACAGAGTTCACAAGAGAGACAGAAGAGCATGAACCCAAAAGACACATGCCCCAAAGAGACAAAAGAGCACAAACAAGGTTACAGAGAAAGGAGCCCAGATAAATAGCAGGCTTTGTCAGAGGGTAGCATTGTGGTGTAACAGAAACAAGTGTGACCTGTAAGTCAGAAAAGCTAATTTCTAGCTGCAGCTCTACCATTCAACAGCCTTGTGACCTTGAGCAAGTTACTTGGCCTCCCTGATACCCACGCAGCTCCCTCATTTGTAGAATGAAGGGTCACAGGAGATGGCTACACTCCCTTCTGGAACATTCAGTGGGACTGTGCTGTCCGTGGAGTGCTCAGAGCTACATGCAGTTAATCACAGAAGGCTTACAGAGGAGATGGGCCAGGCCAGAGTTATTCTGATTTTTTAGACACTGTGATATGAAGAAGTAGCTGTGAATTCCTGGGCCAGGTGTTTTCAGGTACCTAGTTCTTGTCTAGGACAAGTATGTCTTGGAAAGTGGCCACCATTTATACATTTATACGGTTTCACCTCAGCTGCCGCCAGGACCTGAAGCAGCACACAGGTTCTTTTGTCTTAAAGGGCCAGCTAGCCTAAGCAGGACACCTGTTTGCTGGCCAATCTTCAAATCTGGTCTTTTGGACCCTGGAATTTCCTGCAGCCACTTCTCCCCTCTTCCCCAGACTATTCCCAGCTAATGAGTCCTTCTGCAGCTCATAAAACTTGAGCTCCTCAGCAGGTTAAATGACTCCCAGTCTGAAAGAAGGAATCTAAAGCCCCAACCCCTTTCTAAAAAGTAGCAATTTACACAGACACTGTCAATTAGCTTCTTGCCTTGTTTGGGTTGCCTTGAGTCACTTCCCATCATAAACTCAGATGGCTTTAGCGAAGTCATTTTCTTGTTTTGCCAGCATGATTATGTGATTCTTCACTCTCCTTCCAGAAATAGCAGTCTGGGTTGCAGTGACTGGGCCTCGGAGCTGCTTTGCCGCCTCGGCACCCCAGTCCTTAGCAGGGTGCCCAGACTTGTAGCTGCTACTCCTCCCGCCTGGTCCTGAAGTCTCTTTTCTGACTCTCTAGTTTCAGTGCTGTGGAAAAGAAAGCTCCGAACAGGTCCAACCTACATGCCCAAAGGAGCTTCTAGGACACAAGGTAAGCTTCTACCAAGGTTCTTACTCTACCTGTAGTATCATGCTGCTAGCTTAGGAAGCCATTGAAGGTAGAATCTCGGATGGGATCTGCATTTTACTGAATTTGCTCTAGTGGCAGCATAGAGGATTGATGGAAAATGAATAGCGTTGAGCTGAGAGACCCATTGGGAAGGCTGCTGTCCTTGTTGTTAGCAAGAGATGTTAAAGAGGGCCCTTTAGAAAGTGACAACTACAGGAGTGGTGACCAGAGAAGAGAGGAGAATCCATTACTGGGTTTTTGGCTTCACCACCTACATAGATGATGGTGTCATTTATGGAGCTGAGGGAGAGAGGAAAAGGAGCCAATTGTGGAGAAAAGAAAATGAGCTTTGTGTTTAACATGGTGATTTTGAGGAGCCAGTGGCACTTCCAAATGGAAATATCCAGTAGGCAGTTGGAAAATCTGGTTTGTGGCTCAGGAGAGAGGTCTGAGTGTCAGCACTTGATGGGAAACTTAAAGCTATAAATACGGATTTGATCCATTAGACTTGGAAGAAAAGAAGGATGAGGATAGATCCTTGGGGGACAATTTAAGGGTGGGCAAAAGAAGAGATGCCAAAGAAGGAAACTGGGAGGGGCGGCCAGACACAAGTGAGGAGACAGCACGGGAAGGGGAGGGAATGGTCACCAGGCCCAGGTGCTGCTGTTGAGGGCAATTCAGTATTGATCAGCTGCCTACCTTATGTTCGGCACTGTGGATGCAAAGGAGAAGGAGAAAAAGTTCCTACTCACAAGGAGCTTGCATTGCAGTCTGATAGGAGGGATGAACATGAAGTCCATACGGTCCAGTGATTAGGAATGCATGGAATGTGCAACGTGCTCGGAAAGCACAGAGGGAAACGCACTTAGGAGAGGCGAGAGGCTGGGGGATGGGGAAGGCTGACAGAGGTAATGATGTCTCAGCTAAATCTTCAAGAATGGAAAGTAATTATGCAAGCATTGGGCAGAAAGCGGGAGGGGGAGGCCTGCGTGCCGAGAGACCAGCGTAAGCAACAACACAGAGGCAGAAATGACATGGTTTGTGTGGGGAACTGAAAGCCTAAGAAGGTCTACTAATAACTGCTGAAAAGCTGGCAGGATTTAGCATGCAAGGAACCAACTGGTGACGTGCTGTGAGGGATGGATTGAGGACAGAGCCCAGGTTTCAGAGAGCGAGATGTGAGGAGAGAGAGCATCCTTTCAAGAAGTTTCGATTTGAGCCAAGGACACAGAAAGAAAGTTTACAAAAGTCAAAGTCCAAATTACCATTAAACATATAGAAAATATAGAAAATTAAAAGTAATATTTAAAATCAATAGCAAATTAAAATGAAGAGATGCTGTTGTTTAATCTATGAAATTGACCAAGTGTTTTTCCTTTCCCTTAACAATAATACACAGTTTTGGTAAACGTGATGTCGTGAGCATTTTCAGAGAAATTAGTAAATAGTTTTAAAGGTCAGTATGACTATGTAAGACTAGAGGATTAAGTATGTTTATGCCCTTCTATCCAGAAATTCCACTTCTCGGAGTTTATTCTAAGGAAAAGGAATCAGAAATGCAGACAGACGTTTTTGTGCAAATCATGCTCATTACATGTTATTCATAAGAACAAAACACTGGACAGACCCTTAATATGTGGCAATAGGGGATTGTTTGGATAAATTGTAGTATATTCATATGATGAAATGTTTTACCACCATTAAGAATCATGATTTCACCTGTAATCCTAGCACTTAGGGAGGCAGAGGCAGGCAGATTGCCTGAGCTCAGGAGTTTAAGACCACCCTGGGCAACATGGTGAAATCCCGTCTACTAAAAATACAAAAATTAGCCAGGCGTGGTGGCATGTGCCTGTGATCCCAGCTACTCAGAAAGCTGAGGCAGGAGAATCACTTGAACCTGGGAGGCAGAGGTTGCAGTGAGCCGAGATCGCGCCACTGCACTACAGCCTGGGTGAGAGAGCGAGACTCTGTCTCCAAAAAAAAAAATAATCATCATAATCATGATTTCAAAGAAATTTTTAGTGAAACAAGGCATTTTTAAAGTTGTAATATTAAGTTTAAAAAGCTCACTGTTGAATATAAAGAATGACCTAAGGGTGTAGGTGTGTTTGTGTGTGTAAGTATCACCAACAAATTTATTACCTTTTATGGTGAGAATACAGACATTTCTTTTTAAAAAAAAAAAAATCTCTTTTCCAGATTTCTACAAGAAGCATGTATTCCTTTTGTGACTAAAGCCAATATACCTTTTGTACATTTGTTTTTTACAAAAAGAAGCTGGCAATGAAGGGAAGGAGGGCCTAATGGCAGAACTAGAGGAGGACAGTCTCGAGTGTTGTTTTGTTTGTTTTGATTGAAGAACTGAGCATGGTGATAGGATAAGTAGAAATGTCAATGGATAAGGAGAGGCTGAATGTATAGGAAGGAAAAAAAGTAACTGGCAGTGCAGGCTTCCTGAGGAGCTGAAAGACCCAAAGCAGGATATGAAGTTAACTGTCTTTTATTATTATTTATTTATTTATTTATTTTGAGACAGAGTCTCACTCTGTTGCCCAGGCTGGAGTGTAGTGGCATGATCTCGGCTCACTGCAACCTCCACCTCCCAGGTTCAAGTGATCCTCCTGCCTCAGCCCCGCTAGTAGCTGGGATTACAGGTAGGTGCCACCATGCCCGGCTAATTTTTTTATTTTCAGTAGAGACGGGGTTTCACCATGTTGGCCAGGCTGGTCTCGATCTCCTGACCTTAGGTGATCCACGCATCTCGGCCTCCCAAGTGCTGGGATTACAGGCTTGAGCCACCGCGCCCAGCCATGAGGTTAACTTTCAACAGAGAAGGGCACCTCTTTGGCTCTGATCAGAGAAAAAGGAGTCAGGAGTGTGCTTGCTACCTACAGCAATGCCTGGCACTGAAGGAAGGGAGCATCTAAGTGTATAGGAGAAGGAGAGGAAGAGTGAAAGAATTGCTATAGGTTGACTCTCATTTTTTCCACTAAGTAAGGGAGCCACTCCTTAGAAGAGTAGTTTTCAAACTTTTGTCAGAATGCATTATAGGTATCTCTTGTGGATCTGTGTCCTCTAAACTGTGAATTCCCAGAAAGCAGGAGAAACCATATCCTATTGTCTCTGCATCTACCACCCCTCTTCCAGTGACTAATGCAAGGTAGATGCTCAAGAAATGTTTGTTGAATGAATGAAGTGTGATAGGAAATACGAAGAGAGAAGTAAGGGTTTTATATAGCTCAGATGGTATCAAAGGAACCAACCAGTGACAAGTGAACAGATCTGAACAACCTGAGGGTACAGTTGGATTGAGAGCATCCCTCTACTTAAGAGCACTCCAAATAGGAGTGTTTGAAGTTGGAGAAACTAATAATAGTTACAGGTGATCTATTTGGCTTTCTGTCTAAGTTTCCCCACATCCATGAAGGCCCTTTGAATCTATGCTGCACAGGTGTCTTATGGGCACAGATGAAAGGATAGGAACTCACCCAGCACAGCCCAGCCCAGCCACCACAGGAGAGAATGGTCCTCTAGCTCCAAGACTTGGCTTTTCTAATTCTTGGCTTTCCTTTGTTTAACTTGAACCTGTTAAGACTTTTTAGTTTCTTAATAGGTCATGCCTACTTTGCATAGTAAATTGGGTCAAAGACATAGAAAGTATTTTAAACTGTAAATGACAATATGAAAACAAAGAGTTATTGTTTTAAGGGTATTTTACTTATTTGCTACAAGTAAGAAGTGGCTCCAAATTTTTAGATTCCTTGGAACCAGACAAATAGCTTCCTCCAGTTATATTTCAGGGCTCCGAAGAAGCCACTGGCCTAAACATGAAAATCTCACCCAAAGGAGAGGCTTCTATTTTTTTCCCCAAACTGCATTTTTGCATTAAGCTTATTAGGATGATGTTATCAAAGATGAATTGTTGAAACATGAGTAGAAGCTGGCATGGATTAACTCTCACAGAATGAACTGTAGAGATGGAAAGGATAGGATCAGGATAATGACTGACACATACAATCAGTTTTTATTCCCGACTTTTTTTCCTCAAAACAGAATTGCATCGATGAAATTGAGACCATAATCAGTGTTAAGCTCCAGCTCATTGGAATTGTCGGTATTGGAATTGCAGGTCTGACGGTGAGAAAGTTCTAGAACTTACCCTTTTTGCCCTCTAAAAAGCCTTGAAACTTTGCATCTTATTTCTTTTCAAGTGTGATAGTATCTTAAGAGAGAATTCTCATAAAGAAAAAAGACCTTTGTTCACAATGTATTACATCTTCTAAGAACAAAGCTCATAAATATATTAATAGTTTGTCCTCTAAAATATAATAGAAATTTCAACTTTAACTCATTATGACCTTGAGTGTGTCATTGTTATTAACTTCCCGTTTTAAGGCTACTATCCATAACCTAGATAAATGATTTTCAGTTCTGGGTCTCTTTCTACTGTTACAAATTCAATGCAACATATCAGGTTAATCTCTCTCACCTACGATTTGAAGAGGCAGCAGAGCATAGAGATTAATAGGGCGAGCTCTGGCATCACATGGTTTGGATTTAACTCTAGGCTCCACCATTTGCAAGCTCTGAGATCGCAGGAAAATTTCTTAATTTTTCTATACCTCAATTTCCTCGTCTGTTAATATATAAACCTTATAGGATTGCCGTGAAAATTAAATGGGATACTACATATACAGTAGTATTACAAATTAATATAAATAAAGTGTCTGGGACATATAACACTCAACAAATGCCAGCTCTCTGCATAATCTACCAGGCAAAGGCAATGGCATAGATGGTATTAAGCGTAGTGCATCCAGACCACCACCAGGTGGCTCTGTACTTCTAAAGTACAAAAGAAGAGTGTGTGGGAAGAATGGATAGCAGCGGACAGGTATGGCAGGAGTTGCGAGAGGTGGTAATGGAGAGAGTATTCGATCTACATCATTGAGATCTTTGTATGCCCCTTTGAAAGGGTGGGCTTCACCCTTAAGGAAAGGGGAGTCACCAAGAGTTGGAAGAACCTGTGGTAGAGGATAGAGGAAAGGTTGGAGGGAGGCAAGATTGGATTTGGAAGGCGGGTTAAAGGATGATTTCCATTGTCCAGGGGTTGGATGATAATAGCTAATGCTAAGATGGCACTTAGTCTCTAGCCCTCTATGTAGATTAATTCATGGCCTAAACTAAGGCAAGGGCTGTGGGAATTGTGAGGAAATCAGTGAATTTGCAGTTATCAGGGGACACACAAGCGCCTTCCCCTTTTCTGTATTTAGAGCACAGAGGGGTGGAGAAGTGGCTGGAAATACTCTGCTGAGGCCCTCCAAATCAAGGGACATTTCTCAGGTCCTCCCCACCTGCTCTGGGGATAGCCTGGCTGCAGTTCTGCAGCTCCCCAAAGGACAGTCCTGAGGCAGGTCTGAGCGTGTGCTGCATAATGGAGAGTTTCACAATCTCAGCAAATGAGCAGCCTAGAAGCATTCACCCCTGACTCGTGTCGGCAGTAGGCTGAGACTGAAGGAGTCTCACTGAAACCAGGATGGGTAGGGATTACATCCAACCTTATGGCAATGATAAAGGGGAAATGCCCATAGTGAGCCTATCTTGAGTCGGCACCCCCAGGTTTCTTCGTTAGTTCTTTTCTCTGTAAAGTGAGAGTTGCACAATGTAATCAGCTAACTAAAAGTGCATTGGGTGTCGCCCGTGCTACACACTGGTACTGAGTCCTGTCATCCAGAAGCTTGAAATCCTGTTCCTGGCCATGCCCTTACCTGCTTCTGCCCCTCCCTTTTCAAAACAACTGATCATTCATATCTTATTGAATTTAGCACTTACAGATCCTAGTCTGACTTAGGATGGAATTGAGGAGAGAACCAGAAAGTTATAGTACCCATTTTTTAAAATAAGCATTGACAGTAGTTTATGGAATGGTGCCCACAGATAGGGTTCCATGGGCTCTACAAAATTGTAGGGGAAATAATAGCGGACAAGAAGACTCTTTGGCATTCTTCTATTCAAACCATGGAAGTGGATATTGATTTCACTCAAGTATTTAACTTCTCAGAGAACTATCCAAAAGGTAAAAGTCAATAATACCATAGTATAAACCCTTTAGTTTATGTTTTGCTAAAACTATTGAATTAAACAGTGAAGCATCGTTTGCCCTTAAAAATGGACTGAGAATGAAGTGATGCTCCACTTTTTTTTTCTTTTTTTGTGAGACAGGGTCTCTGTCACCAGGGAGTGAAGTGGTGCAATCACAGCTCACTGCAGCCTCGACCTCCTGGGCTCAATAATCCTCCCGCCTCAGCTTGCCAAGCACCTGGGACTGCAGGGACACACCACCATGCTCAGCTAATTTTTGTATTTTTTGTAGTGACAGGGTTTCACCATGTTTCCCAGGCTGGTCTAGAACTCCTGAGCTCAAGCGATCCTCCCACCACAGCCTCCCAAAGTGCTGGGATTGCAGGCATGAGCCACTGCACCCAGCTGATACTCCATTTTTGGATGTATGGACACTGTTGTAAAAAATCAGAGCTTTTCCAGCAATAGAAAATTATTTAGACCACAAGCATATCTAAACAACAAGTGGTTATGGACACAGTTTTCAAAATAAACATATAAAAGAGATCTAGGATTAACCTGAAATATAAAATTCCAAAGCCAGTATTGTGTCTGTCTTTCACAGGTATTCAGAACGGTTCTATAATTCTGAAGCAGGGTAGGTTCTTTTAAAGCAGAGCCTTGTTACTTGTTAACAATAATAATACACATTTAAACAGTTAATCTAGAATTATTTACCCCATAGCCAACCTTAAGTAACATACTAAAATGTCATTTGTGACTGGTAATTATTGGTTATAATTATTTGTTAACTTGAGTTAGACACCCAGGAAGTCTGCTGAACTTTTTACCTATCAGTACCCGTTTCAAAGTCACTGATGAGTGTTTCTTCTGTTTCAGATCTTTGGCATGATATTCAGCATGGTCCTCTGCTGTGCGATACGAAACTCACGAGATGTGATATGAAGCTACTTCTACATGAAAATTGCAATCTAAAGCTTTCATACCAAATGTCACAGGAGCTGTCTCCCAGCTCATTTTTAACACTGAAATGACATTAGGATCTAAAATAATTTGCTGTCAATTGTACATTTGCATGAGTACGTATGTTTGGCTCATTACTGGTTTACCCCTTGAGTGAATGCCTGTTTATGATGACTGAGAGCATATTCATGTGTGATCTGCGTGTTTCTGGAATATGCTTTATACGTAATGAAATCTGTTTGCTGGGAATTCCTGATTCTTGTTATATAAGAAGAACAACCTATTTCGCTCCCAGAAAAAAAAGATCAAAGAGCTTTCAGAAACTTTGAGAACTTGGCTATTTAGAAAAAGTGATAATGGGTCAGTTTCTCAGACTGTAGCCATTGAAAATTAGATGCAGAGAATTCAGAGATTTCTTCTTAATGGAAGTAATAAGCTGTAAGAATTGAGAGATCACAATGGAGTGTTAAAACTGACTGTGTCTAAGTTGGGTGTAAGGGTTTCCTGGGTTTTTTTATATACATGCTCTCCCCAGAATACAGTAAACCACAGTTTTAGAACTAAACACATCTGTAAAACTAAATATAGCATGGAAAATCCAATTTGAATAAGTCATGCTTTCCTAGAATTTAAAAATAAAAAAGTCTTCCTCTGGAAAGAGAAGTCACACAGACAATCATGTGCCCTATAAAAGTGAGTGTTTATAGGACTAAAAAACTTTTAACAACTTTTTAAGGAAATATTTTTGTTCTTATACAAAAACATGTAAATATTGCTTTATTACTTTCATTTTCTGACCCTGCTGTAAACTACTGCAACCCTCACATCCTCAAAGGGACTTTTATGTCAAACTCTTCTGTTTCTCCAAATATAAGGAAAAAAGACTAAAGCAAGAGATCTGGCAGTTGAAAATTGTGGGAAAGAGAATTTGTATGGGCACTGTATCTATGAAATACCTCATAACTTACGTTTACATGTTTTCCTAACTTTTTGTATTTTTCTTGTATAGCCACCTAGAGAATTCTTCATAGATTAAGAACTACAGTTTTCACCACTTAACATAAGTAAAACAAAGTCCTTCATAATTTAACCATTAGCATCTTTGGCCAAACCAAAATAAAGAAAAGCATCTTCTCCTAGTTGTGTGTGGGCAACAGAAACAAGTTAAGGAAACAAAAATACTTATATATACACAGAACAAAAATAATGTTCTTTTTATGCAAATCCCCTGTGAAAATAAAATTTTCAATGTTTTTTTGGTCTTAACGCTTCATTTTAACTTAGTAAACCCAAATTTAGGATTTACATTGGCAAATTTTTCAGTGATTTTTAACGTGTTACATTTAGTAAACCATAGATTTTTTAAAAACTACATTTTGTAAGGCCACACATAAGTGAAAATACGGAAGGCTTTGGAAACCCCCAGATGAACTTCTATACATGTGAAAACACAAGTCTTTGAGTGTGCACTAAAAGTGTCACACTCCCAAAAAACTCACAAAACATTTTGCTAAAAAGATATGACTGCTTGAAATAGTCTCTCTCCCATGGAGAACCACATTTCTCTTTCTGCCATACTTGCTACTGCTACTGATTTTGGAGGAAATTTTTCTAGAAGAACAAAGGTCATATTTGAGGCAAGCTAAAAACTTAATTATACATGGCTACTTTACTGTGTCTGTAGCTAAAGAAAAATTATTTTACAAAAATTACTTCATGAAATATAGTTTGTACCCCAGTAGTTGAGAAATGTGACCTTTTAGGCAAAGAACAGGCAGTCCATCTCTCTTAGCTTTAGTTTATCTCTCTGCCTGAAGACAGGAAACAGGCCCAAGTGCATACTCGGGTTCTTTCCAACTCAGAATCATCTCTGATTCCACAAAAGTGAGTTTAGTTTCCTATCTGAATTAACAACTTTAAAGGAGACTATAATAGTTAAAAGTGGAAGAATAGAAATAAATAAATTTAAAATGAAATTAATTAAAGTAGAAGAGAAGGGTTCTGTTCCATGTACGATTAATGTGCCCCTTTTGGAGATAAGCTTTCCAAAATATGCGTATGAGTAAAATTAGAGAATTCCACCACTAAGCAACAATAGATTTTATATGTGTGTGTGGATATATATACACACACACACAGAAAGATGAATATATATATATATATATCTGTATAGACACACATATAATATATATAGATATATAATCCCTATATATCTTGAATCTACAAATATCTTTATATGTATATAATTTGAATATATACATGTATGTATATACAGATGTGTGTGTATATATATATATACATACACATATACATAAATTTTCAGCTATTTCTGTTCCCCTGAACTAATTTGAGATTAGACCCAAACATGCTTTTAAATGTCTCATGCCAAGGCACTGAATTAAGACTTCTTAATGTTGAAATATTTTAAGTGATTTCATATTAAATTTTCTATATACTGAAATTGCTTGTTTGATTTATCTTAAAGTCCTATTATATCTTTCTACAAACCTTCACGCAACTTATCTAAATGTCAAACTACCAATCAAATAATGTGATTAAAAAAAAACAGAGTGGTAACCCTTCTATAATTTGCTATTGGTAGTTGACTTAAAAGCAACACCCTAAGGACTCTTACTGCATATACAGTCATCTGTCAGTATTCATAGAAGAATGGTTCCAGGACCCCCTGTGGATACCAAAATCCACAGATGTCCAAGTCCCTTGTATAAAATTGTGTAGTATTTGCATGTAGCCTATGCATATCCTCTCATATACTTTATTTTTTTAATTTTTATTTTTTTATTGTTACATAATAGTTGTACATACTTTTGGGATATATGGGATATTTTGATATTAGCATACAATGTGTAATAACCACATCAGGGTAATTGGGATATCTATTACCTGAAACATTTATCATTTCTTTGTATTGGGAACATTCCAGATCTTCTAGGCCTTTTAAAACATATAATAAATTGTTGTTAACTATAGTCACCTTATTGTGCTACCAAATATTAGAACTTATTCATTTTATCTAACTGTATTTTTGTACCCAGTAATCAATCCCTCTTCATCCCTCCCTGCCTGCTACCCTTTCCAGCCTCTGGTAACCACCATTGTATTTACTACCTCCATGAGATCAATTTTTATAGCTCCCACATATGACTGAGAACATGATTCATCTTGATGATATTTGTCTTTCTGTGCCTGGCTTATATCACTTAATATCCTCCAATTCTATGATGTTGCTGCAATTGACAGGATTTTATTCATTATTCAGCCATTGTCATGGCTGAATAATATTTCATCGTGTATATATAGCACATTTTCTTTATCCATCTGTTGATGGACTCTTGGGTTAATTCTGTATCTTGGCTATTGTGAATAGTGCTGCAATAAATATGAACATGCAGACATCTCTTTGATATACTGATTTTCTTTCTTTTGGATATATACCCAGCAGTAGGATTGCTGAGTCATATGGTAGTTTTCTGAGGAACCTCCAAACTGTTTTGCATAGTGGCTGTTGATTGTTTCCTTTGTTGTGCAGAAACTTTTTAGCTTGATGTAATCCTATTTGTCAATTTTTACTTTGGTTGTCTGTGCTTTTGAGGTTTTACCCCAAAAATATTTGCCCACACCAGTTTCCTGAAGCATTTTCCCAGTGTTTTCTTCTAGTAGTTTCATAGTTTCAGGTCTTATATTTAAGTCTTTAATACATTTGAATTTTGTGTAGGGTGAGAAATAGGGGTCTGGTCTCATTCTTCTGCATGTAGATAACCAGTTTTCTCAGCACTATTTGTTGAAGAGACTGTTCTTTCCCCAGTGTAAGTTCTTGGTGCCTTTGTCAAAAGTGAGTTAGCTGTAAATACATGGATTTATTTCTGGGTTCTCTATTCTGTTCCATTGGTCTATGTGTTTGTTTTTATGCCAATACCATGCTGTTTTGGTTACTATAGTTTTGCGGTATACTTTGAAGGAAGGTAGTGTGATGCCTCCAGCTTTTATTCTTTTTGCCAACGATTGCTTTGACTATTCAGGAGTTTTTGTGTGTGTGTGGTTCCATGTGAATTTTAGCATTTTTTTTCTATTTTTGTGAAAAAATGTCATTGGTATTTTGATAAGGATTGCATTGAATCTGTGGAACACTTTGGGTAGTATGGTCATTTTAACAATATCAAGTCTTCCAACCCATGAACATGGAATATTTTTCCATTTTTTTCTGTCCTCTTCAATTTATTTCATTAACATTTCATAGCTTTCATTATAGAGACCTTTCACTTCTTTGGTTAAATTTATTCCTAAATTTTTTTGTAGTTATTGTAAATGGGATTGCTTTCTTGATTTCTTTTTCAAATTGTTCACTGCTGGCATATAAAAATACTACTGTTTTTTTATTTTGATTTTACATTCTGCAACTTTACTGAATTCATTTATCAGTTCTAACAATTTTTTTGGTGGAATCTTTAGGTTTTTCTAAATATAAAACATGTCTTCTGCAAACAAGGATGATTTGACTTCTTTCTTTCCAATTTGGATGCCCTTTTTTTCTCTCATTGAATTGCTCTGGATTGAACTTCCAGTTCTACGTTGAATAGAAGTGGTGAAAGTGGGCATTGTTGTCTTTTTCCACATCTTTTAATTTTTGGCCAGGTGCAGTGGCTAACGCTAGTAATCCCAGCACTTCGGGAGGCCGAGGCAGGTGGACCACTAGGTCAGGAGTTTGAGACCACCCTGGCCAACATGGTGAAACCCTGTCTCTACTAAAAATACAAAAATTCTCTGGACATGGTGGCACATGCCTGTAATCCTAGCTACTTGGGAGGTTGAGGCACGAGAATTGCTTGAGCCTGGGAGGCAGAGGTTGCAGTGAGCCGAGATCACACCATTGCACTCCAGCTTAGGCGACAGAGTGAGACCCTGTCTCAAAGGAAAAAAAAAAAAGAAAGGCTTTTAATTTTTTATTTTTCCGTGTTCAATATGTGATGTTAGGTGTGGGTTTATCTTAAATGGCTTTTAATGTTTTGAGTTATGTTCCTTCTATCACCAGTTTGTTGAGAGTTTTTATCATGAAGGATACTGAATTTTATCAAACGCCTTTTCAGTATCTATTCAAATGTTCATATGGTTTTTGTCCTTGTTACTATTAATGTTTATTGATTTGTGTATGTTGAACCATCCTTGTATCCCTGAGATGAATCCCAATTAATTGATCATGGTGAATGATCTTCTTAATGCGTTTTTGAATTCTGTTTGCTAGTATTTTGTTGAGTATTTTTACATCTATGTTCATCGGGAATATTGGTCTGTCATTTTCTTTGTAGTTGTATTTTTGTTTGGTATGGCTATCAGGGTAATGCTGGACTCATTGAATTAGCTCTTCAATTTTGGAGAATAGTTTTGGTAGAATTGGTGTTCTTTAAATATTTGATAAAATTTGGCAGTGAAGCCATCAGGTCCTGGGCTTTTCTTTGATGGGTGACTTTTATTACTGCTTTTACCTTATTACTTGTTATTAATCTGCTCAGGTTTTCTACTTCTTCATGATTCAATCATGGTAAATTGTATGTATTTAGAAATGTATTCATTTTTTCTAGGTTTTTCCATTTATTGGCATATAGTTCAAAAGTCTCTAATGATCTTTTGTATTACTGTGGTATCAGTTTTAATGTCTCCTTTTTTGTCTCTTATTTACTTAGGTCTTTCTTTTTTCCTTAGTCTAGCTAAAAGTTTGTCATTTTTTTATCTTTTAAAAAATTTCATTTTTCATTTTGTTGCTCTTTTGCATTGTTTTTTAGTGTCCATTTTATCTCTACTCTGGTTTTTATTATTTCTTTTCTTCTACTAATTTGGGATTTGGTTTGTTCTTGCTTTTCTAGTTCTTTAAGGTACATCATCAGTTTGTCTATTTGAAGTCTTTCTACTTTTTTGATATAGGCATTTATTACTATAAACTTCCTTCTTAATGCTACTTTTCCTGTACTCCATTGGTTTGGTATGCTGTATTTCTATTTTCATTTGTTTCAAGAATTTAAAAAATATTTTTAATTTCTTCATTGACCCATTGGTCATTGAGGAGCATGTTGTTTAATTTTCATGTATTTATTCAATTTTCAGTGTTCTTCTTGTTATTGATTTCTAGATTTTATTCCATTGCAGCCTGAATATTTGATATTATTTCAATTTTTTGAGTTTGCTAAGACTTGTTTTGTGCCCTTGCATGTTGTCTTTCCTGGAGAATGTTTTCATATGCTGGCAAGAAGAATGCGTATTCTGCAGCAGTAGGATGAGTGTTCTGAAAATGTCAGTTATGTCCATTTGGTCTAGAGTGTAGTTGACTTTTCATGTTTCTTTTTTTTAATTTTCTCTCTGTATGATCTATTTATTGGCAAAAGTTGGGTTTTGAGGTTCCCTACTATTATTGTACTGGAATCTAGCTCTCTTTTTGTGCTCTGATGTTGGGTACAATTATATTTACAATTGTTATATCCTCTTGCAGAATGATCCCTTTACCATTACATAATGACCTTCTTTGTCTCTTTTTGCAGTTTCTGACTTAAAAAGAGACAAAGTGTTGGGTCTTGTTTTTTCATTCATTCAGTCACCTTGTGTCTTTTAAATTGGAGAATTTGGTCCATGTTTACATTCAATGTAATTAATGATAGGTAAACACTACTGCCATTTTATTGTTTGTTTTCTGGTTCTTAAGTCCTTTATTTTATTCTTACTATCTTTCTCTGTGGTTATCTTCCCTGGTAATACATTTTAATTCATTGCTTTTTATTTTTACTGTATCTATTATAGGTTTTTGCTTTGTGATTGTTATGAGACAAAAAATCTTATAGTTATAATAACTTGTTTTAAACTGGTAACTTTCATCACAAAGAAAAGAAGCAAACAACCAAGTTTTTTAGTTGTTTTTAGAAGAAACTAAAAAACCCTACAATTTAACTCATCTTCCCCCACTTTTTGACTTTTTAATGTCTCCATTTTTAACTTTTTATGTTGTTTATCTCTCTCTCGCTTTTTTTTTTTGAGATGTAATCTTACTTTGTCACACAAGCTGGAGTGCAGTGGCGTGATCTCAGCTCACTGCAACCTCTGCCTCCTAGGTTCAAGCTATTCTCCTGCCTCAGCCTCCCTAGTTGCTGGGATTACAGGTGCCTGCCGCCATGCCTGGATAATTTTTTTTATATTTTTAGTACAGCCAGGGTTTCACCATGTTGGCCAGTCTGGTCTCAATCTCCTGACCTCGAGTAATCCACCCGCCTCGGCCTCCCAAAATGCTGGGATCACAGGCATGAGCTACCACACCCGCCCTTATGTTGCTTATGTCTTAACAAATTGTTGTAGTTATTATTTTTGATAGATTTGTCTTTTAGTCTTCATACCAAAGATATGAGTGGTTTACTCACCACAGTTAATGTATGAGAATATTCTGAATTTGTGTATTTACTTTTACCAATGAGCTTTATACCTTCAGATGATTTCTTGTCACACTTTAGCATTCTATTCTTTCAGATTAAAGAACTGCCTTTAGCATCTTTTGTAAGTCAGATCTGGTGCTCATGAACTCCTTCAGCTTTTGTTTGTCTAGCAAAGTCTTTATTTCTCCTTCATGTTTGAAAGATAGCTTTTTTGGGTACAATATTCTCAGTTGAAAGTTTTTTTCCTTCAGCACTTTGAATATGTCTTCCCACTTCCTTTTGGCCTGTAAGGTTTCTGCTGAGAAGTCTGCTGCAAGACATATTGGGGCTCCTCTATATGTTATTTGCTTCAAAAGAAAAGCAGCCCTTGCTGCTTTTAGAATCCTTTCTTTATCCTTTACCTTTGAGAGCATAATCATTGTATACCTCAGGGTAGTCTCATTTGGGTTGAATGTGCTTGGTATTCTCTAACCTTCTTGTGCCTGGATATTCATAACTTTCTTTAGGTTTAGAAAGTGATCTATTATTTCTTTGAATAAACTTTCTACCCCATCTTTTTCTCTACTTCCTCTTTAGGCCAGTAACTCTTAGATATGTCCTTTTGAGGCTATCTTCCAGATCTCGTAATGTACTTCAATCTTTTTTCTTTTTTCTCCTCTGACTTTGTGTTTTCAAATAGCCTGTCTTTGAAATCACTCATTCTTTCTTCTGCTTGATCAGTTCTGCTGTTGAGACACTGTGATTATGCATTTTTCAGTTAATCAGTTGTACTTTTCAGCTACAGGATTTCTATTTCTTTTTTATTATTATTATTTCAATGTCTTTGTTAAATGTCTTTAATAAATTTCTGAATTTTTTCTGTCTGTTTTCTTAAAGTTCATTGAGCTTCCTCAAAACATCTATTTTGAATTTCCTATCTGAGATATCACATATTTCCACCACTCCAATGTTGGCCATTGACCCCTTATTTAGTCTGTTTGGTGAGGTCATATTTTCCTGAAGTTTTGTGCTGGATGCTTTTGGATGCTCATTGATGTCTTGGCATTGAAGAGTTGGGTATTTATTCCAGTCTTCATAGTCTGGCCTTGTTTATCCTCATCCTTTTTCAGAAGGCCTTCTAAGAATTCAAAGGCAGCTGAGTCTTGAGTTCAGTAAGCCTGTGTCATTACAGCTATTTCAGCACTAGAGGGTGTCCAAAGCCCAGGTACACTAAGATTCCTTACAGATTCCTGGATACCCATCCCTGATGGACTTGGAAAAAATAAGGGAAGTCCCTGGATACCCAGGAAAAGTCCCTCACTCTCTTCCCTCTCTTTCCCCCAAGCAGGAGTCCCTCTCTGGGGTTGGCCACTTGGTGTTGTGGGAGGGGTGACTCAAGCACTCTGGCCATTGCAGCTGGCAGTGCGCTGAGTTGCATCTGATACCCATGACCTCCCAAACCAGCATAGGACTAGGACACTCAAGGCCCATGGCTGCTATTGTCTGACTGCACTGATGTTTATTCAAGGCCCAAGGACACTTTTGTCAGCAGGTAGTAAAGCCAGCCAAGAATTGGGTCTGCCCTGCCAGGGCAGTGGATTCCCTCCTGGTCTGGAGTGGGTATAGAAGTGTGGTCCAGGAGCAGTGGCCTAGAAATAGGGGCTTCAAGATTCTGCTAGGTGCTTTGTTTTACTGTGGCTGGGCTGGTACCCAGTCGCGAGACAAAGAGTAACATCTTGTTCCCCCAAGCAGAAGGAGTCTCCCTTCTTGCTGCACTGCCTGGAGTTGGGATGAGGTGACACCAGCACTCTCGTGGCTGCTGCAGCTGGTGTTGCACCAGGTCACATCCCAATCCCACTGCCTCCAAGACCAATGCAACACCAGGGTTTGCCCAAAGATGGAAGTCATTATGGCCTGACTGCCACTTGAATTTATTTGGAACCCCAGACCACTTTACTCAGCCTGTAGTGAAGCCGGCTGTGACTTGTGTTCCTCCTCCTGCTGCAAAAGATTCCCCTCTGCCCCGGGACTGGTTGAAGTGCTCCCTTCTTGAGCATCAGAGAAATTCTGCCTGGTGTTGTGTTCTGTGTCAGAACAGCTCTGAGTTCCAATGCAAAATCCCTCATATTTTGCTTTCCCTCCACTAAGCACGCAGATTCTCTCTCTGTGCTGCACTGCCTGGGGTTGGGAATGGGGTGGTGTAGGCAATGCAATACCGTCCTTCCTACCCTCTTTAATGCATCTTTCCTTGTTATTTTATTAAAACCAAGTGCTGTGATCTCTCACCTGATTTCTTAGTTCTTTTGAAAGGGCTTTATTTTGTAGATAGTTGTTCAATTTGATGTTCCTGCAGGTAGGGGGCCCTATCACTGCAGGGTTCTATTCCAGCATCTTGCCCCACTTCCTAGCTCCTCCTGTATACTTTAAATCATTTCTAGATTACTTGTTTACTTAATTCAAAGGACATGCTGTATAAATACTTGTTATGCTGTATTGCTTAGGGAATAATGGCAAGAAAAATTTTATACGTGTTCAGTACAGATGCAACCATTTTTTTTTTTTTTGGTCCAAATTGTTTTAATCTGTAGTCGGTTAAATCCACAGATACAGAACCCACAGATACTGAGGATCAACTATAGTTGTATTTTAATTCATATTTTTTATGTAAATTATACCTCTTTTCCGCAGAATTGCTCCTTTATTATCCATGGTTCAAGCTATAAAATTGCACACTGACGCAGGGTCCAGTGTGGTTCCCCATGCAGTCAGCAACTATAATTGTTCTCCTTACCCTGTGAGCGGTGTTTATAGATTTGGCTGAGTGAGAATGAGGCTGGTGGGAAGATGGCAATGAAGGAGATAGCATGTTTTCCCTTCTGAAACAGGTTTATCAAAGATGAAAAGGAAGAGGTACCCTTCTGTCATGGGTAAAATGGAGTTTCCACAGCCACTGGGAAAGCCACTGGAACTTTAGTAGGTGCACCACACCCCTGCTTTCCTGGTTCATGGCCCCTTTGACATCCTCTTTGACCACCAGCTCCTCAATTTCAACAACATCATTTTCGCCACCCCTGGGAGAGAACACTCATGGGCCTTCAAAGCTAGTAGATTAACTGCATTATCTTAGTTCGGGCTCATCCAAATCAAATTTATGTTAAGTTAGATTTTAAGAGGGACAAAAGGTTTCTACTTTTTTTCAGCATGATCCTTCGTTTTTTACTATAACATGTACCTGTAAGGTATTATATGTAAGTTTCTTTTGAAAGGTAAAAAGACTTCACCAATGCAAAATGATTTTTAAAAATATCCTCATTATAACAGCAAAGGCTAAATACATTCCAGAAATCCACTGTTCATATAGTTTATCTCCTGGGGATAGGGGAACCAGGAAGAACAGGAGTAACATGTCCTGAATGTTGCAAAGCATAATCTATGCTGATTTCATAAAGTTTTTAGCTAATGTATCAGAAATCCTTTCAAAGCTTTGGTAGTTGTTTGTGGCAGGAGGCAGCGTTGTCTGTATAATTTATGATGTTCTTATATTAAATGGAAAAAAATTAAAAGAAATTACCAATATAAAATGCCTAGCATACCTGGCAAGTAATGAATATTATCTGTTGTAATTATGTTAATACTCTGATGAGGAGAGGTTTTGGTTTTTTGGTTTTTTGCTTTTTTTTTTTTTTTTTAGATGATGGAGTCTCACTCTGTTGCTCAGGCTGGAGTGTAGTGGCATGATCTCGGCTCACTGCAACCTCCACCTCCTGGGTTCGAGTGATTCTCTTGCCTCAGCCTCCCTAGTAGCTGGGATTACAGGCATGCGCCACCACACCTGGCTAATTTTTGTATTTTTAGTAGAGATGGGGTTTCACTATGTTGGCCATGCTGGTCCTCGAACTCCTGACCTCAGGTGATCTGAACACCTTGGACTCCCAAAGTGATGGGATTACAGGTGTGAGCCAAGGAGAACTTTTTGCTAATTACAAGTCAAACAGCTTTCTAGAAATGATGCATAACTGAACATATTTCATTGTGATACCAATTATCCATTTGAACACATTTATTTGTAGAATTAATGAATAGCTTTTGATATCTTTCCCAATTCTATTTTAATTCAAAGACTTGAGATCAGTAGCCATAGCTAGAGTCCTTATGCTTTTCTCTGGGCCTACTCTACCTTATAAGATGAAACCCACACTAATATTGGATTGGTTTTTTACTTTGGGGGTTACTATTTTGTACATTTGGAAAAACTATAAGAATATTGATATGCTAAGATGGGCAAGACAAGTCTCTGCTGTCAAGCAGCTTATTATGGAAAAAAACAAGCAAGCATATTACTATAGATAAGTGTTATGATACTCATTAACACAGAATAGGCCCGCTCACCTTTGGGGAGAGTGGTCAGGAGAGAGGCTTCGTTTATGTTGGAGTCTCTAAACTGAGTCCTAAAGAACCCATACTAATTAGCCAAGTCAAAAGTAGTAGAAGAAGATGAGGGGATTGCTGGGGAACAGCATGCAAGAAGAGCCTGAAACATTAAAGGCATGGAAACATTCAAAGAAAATGAGTCAAGTGCTAAGGAGATAAATAGCCCTATTAAAGTATACTTGAGTGCTATCTTTGTCCTGAGGCCATGGGGAAAATTTTACATGGTGAGTTACAAAATTAGACTTGAACCTTTTAAAAATCACTTAGTCTTAATATGAAGAATTACTGGATGGCAAACACCAGAGTCAGGAAGATTTGTAGCTAATGTACTGGAAAGCCTACTAAGAAGTAGACAGACTTAAGAGAAATTGGATGTGAGAGATGAAAGAAAAAGAGGAATCTGGAGTAATTCCCAGGTTTCCGACTTGGCAGGTGGAAGATAGTGGTACACAGGAGGAAAAGCAGATTGTGATGATGACATGGGGTGGAGATGATTATAGGATACCCAAGAGGAAATATAAACAAGCACTAGATATATGGCCCTGAAGCTCAGGAAAATAAGTCTGAACTAAAACTGTAGGAATCAATATAAGCATGGTCATGCCCATATTTGAACAAGATAAGCCACCTCTTATGATTAAATCCCCAGCAAGAAAGTTTTAAACTTACTTTAGTAAGTTAAAATCCCGCAGTAATTCTTTGCTCCCCACCTATTTCTTATCCTAAACTTGGAGAGTCTTTCTTAGCTGCCTGTGTTTCTTTAACAACTGCCATCAAAACTGTCTTTAATGAGTATAAATCCTTAGGATATCCAAGGCTGAATTAATACAAACCCAAGTTTCTCATATGCTGTACATTTAACAATGTCCAAAGTGTCAATATGACACATAAAGTTATCACCACACTGGCCCTCCTTTCACAAAGTTTAGAATCTTCATCGCTACAGAATCAAGCAAAATCACCAAGCAAAAATACAGTCCAGACCTACATTACTGTTGCCTGCTAAAGACCATGGCATAGATTTTGAGTCATCTTGGAGAAGGAGGGTAGAAAGAAAACATGAAAAAAGGAGAAAATGTGGATTTCATCTTGTTTAAGACTGGTTATAAATGCCATAATGAGGAAAAAGAAAGAAAGGAACCAGTTAGGCAGATAGCTAGGATAAGTCCTCTGTAGGATTCCTTTTGTCTAAAAAAGGAACAGCCTGAAAGATCAGACTGCAAGCATAGATAAGGAGGCAAGGTCCACCATGAAGATACCTTCTGTGTAATTAGCAAGGGTCACTTATACACAGTAGGCTTCAGTGAGCACATTCCTTTCCTTTTTTGAACATACTGAGATAAGGGAGTTTGCACAGGGGAGGGAGGAGAGGGCTTGCTTGAAACATGCCCAAGAGCAGTAACACAGAACCCGGCACATCCACAATGGAGAATTCCGCCCCCTTACACATGCACAGTAAGGGAAACTAAGTAATATAGAGTAACTTAGGCTAAGAGTCCACATGCACACTAAAAAGACAGGGAGGAGCTGTCAGGAATTTGTGTCTTATGCAAATGAAACACCTAGTCCTAACCATTTTTTTACACCTTATGTAAATGAAATATCTTGCCCTACTAGCCTGTTTATAAAAGCCCTTGTATTCCACTGTAGAATAGCAACCCTCTTTCAGTTTCCTGCTCGAAAGGAGAGCTTTCTCCTTTCACTTATTAAACTTTCGCTTCATCCTCACCCTAGTGTTCATGCTCCTTAATTTTCTTGGTGGTAAGACAAAGAACTCTGAGTCCTACTTAAAAACAACAAAACTAAAACATTGTGGTGCATTGGCAAGGCTGCTACAATAAGATGTATTGCATTGTGAATCCAGATATGTGAGGACCACTGGGCCCTCTAGGGAAGAAGGGAGGTCAGGGCAGATTGGGACTAACAGTTGTCCTGTATATTGGCCCATTAGCAAGTCATTGTTGACCTTACTGAAAACAATTTCAAGAGGGGACAATAGTGGAAGCCAAATTGTAATGATTGTGAAGAGAACGAGAAGTGAGGAAGTAGTTGGTTAGTGTAGTGGGCTCTTTCACACACACACACACACAAAACTCGAAATAAGAACTCAAGGAGAGAGGGGGCAAATAACTAGATGGTTGCAGAGGATCAAGAGAGGGTTGTTTTTTTGCTTTTGCTTTTTTTATGATGGAAAGAGATTTAAGGATGCTTCATACTGAAAAGAAGGAATCAAGAAAAAGGAAGCAAGAGAAAATACGACAGCAAACAATGAAGTCCTAGGGGAGATGAGGAATGGAATTAGGAGCATCTTCTGAAACTAGTGGGAAAGAGCTGAATCTATCAGAACTTCTCAGTTGCAAGTGTCAGAAACCTAACTCTAACTGGGCAGAAAAGGGAAGTTATGGTTTCTTTTAAGGGGTGAAGCCAGCTTCAGATTAGGCTCAAATGATATCAATAGGCCTCTCTCTCCTCAGTCTCTCTTGCTCTCCACTGGGTTGGACAGCTAGCTGTTTCCAAGGGATGCCAAAGATGGCCAGCAGCAACTCCAGGCTCACATTTTATCAGTTTAGGAACTCCAACAGGCCAACCACTTCTCTTTCTAATAGTCCAGGTTTGGTTGAGCCTAGTAGCATACCCACCCTCATCATCCCCACTGAAACCACTTGAACTCAAACTGTAGGTGAAGAGAACCCCAGAGGGAAATCAAGGTGCAGCTACCAGAAGAAGAGACATGGATGCTAAGCAGGCAGAAACGGCAGGTAGAAGGAGGGTAGCAGAAGTAGAGAAAGTGAGATAGAGTTGTCTTATAAGTGGGGATTAACCAGGAGAGATAAGCAAGTAGGGAAGAACCCAACAGTGAACAGTAGAGTGGAAGTTAACTTTATAAAAGAATTTTTATTGCACTTAGACTCAGACAGTTCAAATCCTTGAGAAAACTTTTTCAGAATCCATGAAGGCATTTGTGACTAGTCCCTGTTAGATTTGAACATTAGACTTTTTATTTATTAAAGATCTGTATTTGACATACAGTTTAAGTGGTATGCAGCTTTAAATGTCCATGTTATCAGCTGATATGAGAACACAAAACCCTAGATTAATATGTGGAGACCACACAAATACCAATTTCAGATATTAAAGTAAAATAATGTGAGTTCTGACTTTTGTATGTAAATACACATCTATTCCCTCCCTGTTGTACTAATCCATCTACAGGACCCCACCACTACCACCACCACCCTCCTCAGCCCACCCCATGCACTATCAATCAGCATACAGACATTTACAGTATGCCTAGCTGAATTTAACTGGTGGCTATAGAATACAGCAAAGGCAACTGGCCCTGCTGACAACTGTTTTTCACCTTGGTGGGGCAGTGTGAATGAAAAGGAATGGACAAAGAGAGGATATATCAACTTTTTGAGATCAAGTCTACAGGGCACTGGGTCTGTCTCACGTCAATCATCTGTTGAAACCAAATTCTCATGAAAGAGTGTCTAAGGAAGGAGAATAAAAATAAACAGCTGCTTACCAAGCACATTTACCAGAAAACAGTGTTTCAATATTGATGAAGGTTTAGATTAGAATTTAGAATAATTCCACTCTCTCAAATCCCTTTGCACTCTCCCCCATCCCTAAAACCTTTTATTGTCATACCAGTTTTTCATTACATTAAAAGTCAAAACAGCACCAGTTACTTTTGGTATAAATGCTGAAAAGCATCTCCTATTACTTGAAGGCCTACAAAGGATTTAGACTTCCACATGTAAAATGATCGTGGCCTCTTTTCTAGGCTTTGTAAACTGACTTTTTGGGGTATAACTTTCATAGGTCACTTGGTGCACCAGAGTAATTAATTAAAGAAAATAGTTCCTAGACTCTTCTGAGTTTGGGTGGAGTTTTATCCAGTGCATTTGAATGACCAGGAATAAAGCACTCCACTGTAGATTCCACATGCTCCTTACTCCCCACCTCCATGCCAGCCCTGCTTCTAGCCTTTGGAAGTAGATGTCTCCAGTATCCTGACACCATGTGTTCCTTCAGCTTTTGATCACATTACTCTCTCTTCATAACTCTGTAGTCATCCCACATTCACTTTCTATATCATAGAAACCTCCTGGCCCTCTGTTAGGAGAGACTGTTCAAGGTGAGCTTTTTGGCATTTCATATCCCTGTTCTCCATTTTACCACCACTCTGCTCTTTCACGTGAAAACCAACCTTCAACTGAGCCCAAAAGGTCCATTCATTCACCTTTTCTTCTAAAACCACTTAAGCTCTCTAACGCCTGTGTAGGTATGGGTATGGATTAAATAGTACTCAAAATGAACAGAAGATAATGTGAAACATAATATTTTTATTAGCTTTATTTCAGGCAAGCACATTTAACCAAATTGCAAATTATATCACTATTAGACAGAAAATCCTACCAGATAAGACTTCTGAGGTTTGGTACAGTAGTTTGTCTTGATGGCTTCATGTATGCAGTCACTATAGTCAGTATTGCACTTGCCACACTTACAGCTTAAAGCAACAGGATAGGAAAAATAGGGAGCAACATGGAGTGGGCATCCTGGTATTTCTACAGTCCTGTAGATGAAGTCTCTATATGTGCAAACATCCTGGGACAGAGCATATTTGGGAAGAAACAGTTTGCCATTGATATCCTGGGGAAAGAACAGAAAAGAGAGCATAATGTGACAGGACTTTAGGAAACATATAGATAATAGAAACATAAAAATAAATTCACTTATATTCCTTCATCACAAATACAACTGGGAAAGAATTGCTTAGCCCCATTCTCCAATACCAACTTAACCACGTTGAATTCTACAGAGACAAAAGTGAGACCCTCCTCTCTTTCATCGTTGATCATGGGAACAAGATAAGGTTTAAGTAAAGCTGGGACACAAAACTGTTATAAAATTATGCGTATCCATTGTGCTGAGTAGATTCACATAATATTGTAACCTGTGTACTCTGCTTCTAAGGAGCCAATAACCATTAGATTTGGGAAATGAGGTTGTGATTTATTTCATTTCCTTTCTATATAGGAATGGACTTCTTCAGGGCTTATATAATTTACAGCCAAAAGAAGTGACATGAACTACATACCCGTGTCATACAATATCCAGCACAGATGGTGGTGTTGATGGTTAGGCAATAAGCACACTCTCTCCTTTCGATGTGCATTGTATACTCAGTTGGAATACAAAAAGACATCGCTTGCCCACATGTAAGGCCAAAAAGCATGGACATCAGAAAGAGAGCAGTCATGCTAAATCAAAGATAAAATTAAAGAACCTATTTGTTAAAATCAGAAAGGGCAAAGAAACCAAGAAAAAGTATAACCAAACTTCAGTACCATCCCAATGCATATGATCATGCTTATAATTCTACCATTTGGTCAAGGAAGACACCAGAAAGATAAAGTCCAAAAAAGGTCAACTGAAATTACAACTGGTGTTAAGGGGCTAACTCAGAAATCTAGGAACCCCCTGATCCCACTTCCAAACCCTTAGGATATCCCTTTAAGGTGGAAATATGTACAGCTGGGACAAATTAAAGATTATTTTACACAGAACAGGTATGTAATTTGTTCTCAAAAAGATTAACAGGCAAAAAAAAAAAAAAGGTTGACACAATTAGAAGAATACAATCAAGGATGACAGCTCCATTATGGGTTAGCCAGGAATATTAAATAATTTTTGGATGCATGGAAGAAAATAGAGGATCCACAGTGCCTCAGGCAGAAACAGAACATGCATCTCAATAGAGCCTGCGTGATGAAGAACTTGTTCAATATCAATTGGATATCATTATCAATATGTATTGATTGGATATAGTTATATTGGATATGATATCATATTGGATATATCATATCAATATGATATTGATATGATATTGATATTGATATCATTATCCCTCTGGATAATGTTATGACATAATTATTTTAGGTCTACTACTGAGGAAGGGTAATTAAATTTCAGACTTTTGAATGTAAGTTGATCACCTTGAAGATTAAGAAGAATTTTTTTAATCTTACAAATATTGTACAGCTAGCTAGATGTGTTTGGATTTTTTTCCTTCTCAAGTATCATTGTCAGTAAAGAAAATATATACCTTAATGGAGTAGTATTGTGGTCTATGAACATAAACTTGTTTGCTTGTTCTATTAAATAAAATATAATTTACTAAATATTTTGTTCAATAATCAGAAGTACCAAGATTTCCCCAAATCTGTCAGTTATATCCCAACAGCATCTTTAAGCTATATACACTAAAACCTCTGTAAACTGAAACCTCATAGGTTCGGCCTTGGTTAACCAGGATTTTTTTTTCAATCAACTTATAAGAAACCATGAAAACCACATTACACAGGTTACCAGGGATTTATTTTAAATGTCAAATTCCAGAGATCAGTGGTCATTTCAATCAACCTTCTATTCCTAGAATGAGAATTGTAGATAAATTAGATAAACATATATTGAGCATCTGAACCAGGCACTGACAAACACAAACGGAAAAGCTACGGTCCTTTACCTAAAGGGCTGACTGTCCAGTGGAGGAGCTAATATGAACACAAATAATAAAAACGCAGATTGTTCTAGTGCTCTGAAAGAGTCCAAATTAAGACTTTAAGACCTACAATTATCAAAGATTTATGTTTACTATACTTCTTATTACACAAGAAAGTAAACTAACCCATTTTAGGAAGACTTAACTTTTAAAGGTTAAAATAACAGGGGTTTTTCTCACAAATTCTTTTAAATGAAATGTTGCATATTCAAACATTCCACGGAAGGTTTGTTTGGTATTTGAGTTAAGGAGCAAAAACATACAAATTCCTTACTCATGGAATCTGGCTTTCTCAAGCGCTTCTCAAATGTGAGCTCCCTCTATGGTACAGAGTTGCTTCCAGTATTTTAGAGATACAGAACTTGATGATCCTCTGTAGGATCTTAAAATTACTAACTGGTAAATTATGTAAAATGCTTACCCATCATGGCCATTATAGTTCTTGCTTGTTTAGACAGCCAGCTACTGAGTTTTTTCTATAGGAAACAACTAACTTCACATATTTTAACTTTTAGCTCTATAATTCTGTATAAAATCAATGTGGTGACCTGGTGATGAAAATATTGGTCTAAAAATTAAGAAACAGAATTCTTCCATAAATCTATGAGAACTTGACTAAAATATATAATCTGTTTGAGTGTTATTTCCCCATCTGCAAAATAGAAAGTGACAAGTACACCTGACCCTTTTTAAAATGTAGGATGAAAATTTGTTTTGGTTTTCCTATTGTCATACTAACTATGGATACTCTATATTTTTTTGAAGTTTCTCCTATAAATGTAGAACTCTAAACTAACAAAAGTAGAAAATGGAAGTGCTGAATTACCAGCCACAGTATCTGTACAACTTTGTGGGCATAAAGAAAGCAAGAACTTTTCTTTTCCTTTACTTCTTTATTGCGAATAGTAAAACTTCACCCACAGAATCTTTCTGGGCCTCAACTTTCTCACCTATAAAAGCAGGGCTTAGAGCCAGAAGATGATCATGAAAATCTTCGCAGCACAAATAGTCTGTAATTCTATATGATAAATTAGTGTCAGATCTGATTGATTGATTAAGAGTTAGTGATCTAAATTCTACTTAAGGATTTAATTGTAATTGTGTGCAACTGAGCAATTTAATATCTTTGTGCCTTCATTTTTCCATATGTCCCTTCCTAAAATCATAAAAAGAATAAAACAATACATGTGAAACACTTGGCTCTCTATATAAGAAAGATCACATAGCTGTATAACACTGTACAAATCCGCGTTAGTTAATCCCTTCCTCTGTGATATGCCACAATTTCTTCCTCATTGTCATCTGGGTTCTCATCTTTGCCACTTAATTGCTTATTCTGAAATCACCATGAATAATTTGTTGGGTACCTAAACATAGAAGGCATGGTTTCAGGCAGGGCCTAAATAATGAGATGCCTTCTTCAGATGCATGGACATATATGTCCCTACTTTGAACGTATTTTCTTATTCCAAGATATGTTCTTTCCTTTGCCTCTTTCCTCTCTTTTTTTCTCTTATTTTTGCTCCCAATGCTTCATTCTTAATAAACACTTTCCTCTCTGCTCTGCTAATTTCCTTCATTAATTTTTACTCTCCAAATCCCTTACTATGAAAAGAACTAATTGCCCATCCTATGAATAATCCTGGAACTTCACTAAAGCAGTATATTTTTCTAGAAAGCAAAATGTACTATACAGCAGCTGTGTGTGTGTTGAACACTATCAAAGGAGGTTTAGCTATTAAATAACTAAAAAGAACTTATAATACAGAGTACATTACCCCAGCAGGTACTCAAAAATGAATTTGCTCTAACATTCCCGGAAGTACATTTTCATAAAAGATGGCCATTAGTACAGTAATTGAGAGGATTTAATACACACATCATTAAATGGACAACAATATTTAAATCAAAATGAAAACAGAAGAAAGCCATGAATATCAAATATCCTTCATTAGGGAACTAATCAGTTGTTTCTCTTTCTTTAAGTCAATGAATTTTTTCCTTATCCTTATGTAGGTAGTTCTCTCACCTCCATCTACTACTAAACAATTTGGAGCAGTAATTTAAGATATTACAGCCTGTTGAAGCAAATTATCTTTCAGCATTTGCCACTTTCTAAAAAATGATAAAATGGTGAAAGTGAAAAAAAATAGCTTAAGAACATATCATTTCACAGAGCCTTCTCACTATAGACACCTACCTTACTTTGCATTGGTGAGCAGATGCTGTGGTGACCCAAACTAAAAGCTCTTGGTTCATTTTATACCCTTCAGGATAATCCCTCTGATCTTCTTGTTTATACAATTGCATTTGATTTACTGCTTTCTTATCTGAAAAGCATCTATTGAAAATTCATACTGAATTCCAAATAAAATGTATTTAGACAAACAAGCTCACAATATCTTTACCTGGAAACTGACATTATTAAAGCATGCATTTTCCTCTCTTCTGTTTCAAAATAAAATTACCTTTTAAATATATTCTTTATTAATATTTATTTATTAATATTAATAAAAGATAGATACAGAATGGGAAAAACCAAATTCAAAAAACACTCTAACATCATCTAAATAAGTCTTGGGAATAAAAATTTATTTGGGGCTTGAGGGCTTCAAGTTTTACCTAAATGTTCATGTAAAGATATATAAAATTATTCCTCATCTAAAAATTTTGTTTAGAACAAAATGTGTAGTTCAAAATATTTTTGGGGGATTTTAAGATATTAAGTAAAATTTACACATGTGAAAGAATGACTCTGAGGAACATGGCCACATCTGACAGGATGTCAAGCTGACCTGAGATAAAATTTTGGCCCTGCCATTTACTTGCCATATGACATTGGCATGCTTGACCTCTTCAGTTTCTATTAAAAGGTAATATCACTTCTCTAATGATTTGTGGTGTGAGCATTTTTTCATATGCTTATTGGCCATGTATATATCTTCTTTTGAAAAGTGTCTGTTTATGTCTTTTGCCCACTTTTTAACGGGGTTCTTCAGTTTTTGCTTATAAATTGTTTAAGCTCCTTATAGATTCTGGATATTAGACCTTTGTCAGATGCATAGTTTGCAAATATTTTCTCCCATTCTGTAGGTTGTGTGTTTATTATGTTGATAGTTTCTTTTCCTGTTACATCAGGTAACAAAAGTACACGATCCTAGAGAGATGGGAAACAAACAGGGAGAAACTGCCTGGAGAAAGTTTCTGGGCCATAATGCAGAAGCCCTTTAGTTAAAGGTCCCATTTGTCAACTTTTGTTCTTGTTGAAACTCCATTTGTCGTCTTCGTCATGAAATCTCTGCCCGGTCCTACATCTGGAATGATATTTCCTAGGTTATCCTCGAGGGTTTTTACAGTTTTAGGTTTTACATGTAAGTCTTTAATCCACGTTGAGTTGATTTTTCTATATGGTGTAGGGAAGGGATCCAGTTTCAGTCTTCTGCATATGGCTAGCCAGTTATCTCAGCACCATTTATTGTACAGGGAATCTTTTCCCCATTGCTTGTTTTTGTCAGTTTAATTGAAAAAAGAATGATTGTCAAATCAGGCAGCCCTCAGAATCAGAAGAGATTCACAGAGCTCTGCTCCTCAATGTGGGCAGACAGCATTTATGGACAGAAAGTAGAAATGAGATATCGAAACAGCTTGATTTCATTATACATCAGCACTTGCCTTACTTGGACAAAGTCTGATCAGCTGGCTGCCTGTAATTGACTGAAGCTCAGCTGCTGTGATGAGCTGAAATTCAGCTGTCTGTTACAAAAGTATACTCCTAAGTTAGGCTTTCAGGTAGTGTACATACTAAGTTAGGTTGCAGTTCATTATGTAGGAACTCACAAAACAGAGGTATCCTCAGGCCACATTTAGTTTAACAGATATATACCTAGAAATGGCCATGCCAGGGTCCAAGGTCTTGGGAATGTGAGCTACTATGTAGTAAGATAATTTTGAAAACAGGGAAACTGGAAATGAGTGTGCCAACCTAATTTCAGACAAGATGCTAACACAGGAATATGATAAATGGAAGAATGTTGGATGTGTGTTTCTAATGGAATTAGTGCCTCCTTTGTATAAAGCATTGATTCAGGAACTCATTTTCTAGCGGATTTATATACCTATCCCTGGGAGATATATGTATGTATGTGTGTGTGTACATATGTAATGGACAACTGATAGACACTTGGCCTGTTACTAAAAGAACTATAATAAATACCATGCATTTGGGTAGTGATTTTCTTGCTAAAGAGGCCTTAGTGTATATGATCTCATACTGTTAAAAGAATCCAGGCATGTTGAATTTGTGCTTCTGATCCAGGTTTACTTTCTCACCTAAAATAATTATAAAACAGTACAAAATATATAAAATAATGTCTTTATACATATTGGACATCAGGTAACAAAAGTACATGATCCGAGAGAGATGGGAAACAAACAGGGAGAGACTGCCTGGAGAAAGTTTCTGTGCCATAGTGCATGAAAAGTTACCAAGGCAGAGGCCAGAAGCATCACCAAATTGAAGAGATAGACCTGGGAGTCCATGGATCCCCAAGGCAGCTAGAGTTCACAAGAAAGACATTATCAAAAAAGAAAACCACAAACTAATAACCCTCATGAAATGAACATAGATGCAAAAATTCTTCACAAAATTTAACAAAACAAAATAAACAATATGTAAAAAGAATAATACATCATGGTCGAAGTGGAATTTATTTCAGGAATGCGAGTTTAGTTTGCATTCAATTAAGAAAATTCACCCTACTAACGGGCTAAAAACTAAAAGCCTTATGATGATCCCAATGGAAACACACACACACACACAACCACATACACAAAAAGCATTTTACAAAATCCAACATAGATTCCTGAAAAAATTTTCGGCAAACTTGGAATAGAAGAAAACCTCCTAACTTAATAAAAGGCATCATGGAAAATTTATGATTAATATCATGCTTAATATTGAAAGACAGAGTACGTTTACTCTAAGATCAGGAAAAAGGCAAAAACGTCTGCTTTTGCATCTTCTATTAAACACTGTGCTGTAAGTGCAATGTTAACGCAATAAGCCAAAGGAAAAAAGACATTCAGATGGGAAAGGAAGGAGTAAAATTTTATTCACATACGACATGACCATCTATGTTGAAAATCTTACTGAATCGCTGATTTCAAGATGGTAAACCTATGGTAATTAAGAAAGTGGTGTTAAGACAGATCATTGGAACAAAATATGGTCCAGTAATAAACCTGTACACATGTGGTCAAATTATTTTCAAGAAAGGTGAAAACAAAATTGAGTAGAAAATAAATAGTATTTTCAACAAATGGTGCTGGAACAATTCGTTATCCATATATAAAAATAAATACTTTTTAAAAATAAATAAATAACTTCAATACATATCTTGCATTATATACAAATATTAACATGAAATATAAAAACTAAAATTCTAACATTTCTAGAAGAAAGCATGGAATAAAACTTTTGTTAGGGCCGGGCGAGGTGGCTCACGCCTGTAATCCCAGCACTTTGGGAGGCCGAGGCGGGCGGATCACGAGGTCAGGAGATCGAGACCATCCCGGCTAAAACGGTGAAACCCCGTCTCTACTAAAAATACAAAAAATTAGCTGGGCGTAGTGGCGGGCGCCTGTAGTCTCAGCTACTTGGGAGGCTGAGGCAGGAGAATGGCGTGAACCCGGGAGGCGGAGCTTGCAGTGAGCTGAGATCCCGCCACTGCACTCCAGCCTGGGCGACAGAGCGAGACTCCGTCCCAAAAAAAAAAAAAAAAACTTTTGTTAGGCAAAACTTGAATTAGGCAAAACTTTCTTAGATATAACACCAACAGCATGATCCATTTTCAAAAAATGATAAATTGGACTCCATCAGAATTAAGAACTTCTCTCTTCGAAAGGCATTGTTAAAAGAACGACATACCACAAACTGAAAGAAAAGAAACTTGCAAATTATATATAAGATAAAGAACTTGTATACAGAATATATGAAGAACCTGCTATACTCAATTATAAGAAAAAAATTATCCAATTTTTTAAATAAGCAAATGTTTGAATAGACATTTCACAAAATTATGTAGATGGGAAGTAAACAGATGAAAAATTTTCATCATTAGTCTCAGAGATAAGAAATTAAGACCTCAATGACAGCACTACACACGTCTTGGGCTGCCTAAAATTTAAAAATTGGAAATACCAAGGGTTAGCAAGGATGTGGAGCAATCGAAATTTGTATACAATGTTTGATGGAAACATAAAATGGTACAAGTTCGTCAGTCCATAAGTCTCTCAAAAAGTTAAACATACACCTACAATATGACCCAATCATTCCACTCCTCAGTATTTATCTAAGAGAAATAATAAGATATATCCATACATGAACTTGTACATAAACATTTATAGCATCTTTATTTTTAATAGCCCCAAACTGGAAACAACCTGAATGTCCATCCACAGGTGATAAACAAATATGTCATATATATGCAGTAGAATATGTGTCAGCAGTAAATAGGAATAAACTACTGACACAGCAGTGACATGAACATCAATAATTATGTTATAATCTTAATGTTATTAAGACAGACCAAAACAGAGTACATGCCATATAATTCAGTTTATATAAAATACCAGAAAATACAAATTAGTGTAAGACAGCAGACTAATGATTGCCTGGGGATGAGGAAAGGCAAGGAAGGGGAAGAAAGAGGGATTTCCAAGGGGCAGAGGAAATATTTAGGAGGTGAAAAATGTGTTCATTATCTTGATTGTGATGATGGTTTTACAGGATATACATATGTTAAAACCTACCAAAATATATGCAGGGTTAGGGGTTGAATTATGTACCCCCAAAATTCAAATGTTGAAGTTCTAACCTGTAGTATATCAGAATGTGAACTTATTTGGAAATAAGTTCATTACAAATGAAATTAATTAATATGAAATAATACTGGAGTAAAGTAGGCCACTAGCCAATATGATTGGATATATCCCCTTCCAAAAAGAGGACACTTGGACACAGACACATGAACAAGGAGAATGCCATGTGAAGAATGAAATTATGTTGCTTCAAACCAAGGACTACCAGAAGCTGCAATAGAGGCCTGGAATACATCCTAGCTCAGCAGCTTCAGAGGGAACATGGTCCTGCAGACACTTTGATCTTGGACTTCTGGCCTCTAAAACTGTAAGAAAATAAATCTCTGTTGTTTTAAACCACTCAGTTTATGGTACTTTGTTATGGCAGTCCCAGGAAACTAATATATGCAATTTATTGTATGTCAATTATACCTCAATAAAACTGATAAAAAATATGGTAGGTGGAAATCATCTGTGCCTACTTGTCTAACTTCATGTCATACCCACCTCTCTCCACCTTTTATTTATTATGTCCCTTAGAACATTCCAAACTTGTTCTTGGAACAGTGCTTTTACATTTGCTATTTGTTCATTATGGAGCAACCTTTCAACAAGTCTTTGAATGGCTTTCTCCTTATCATCTCAGCTTAAAAATTACTTCTTTAGAAAACCCTTCCTTGACCACCCAGTCTAATGCAGCCTACTGCCACTGTCACTTTTTATCCTGTTATCTCATATATTCTTCATTGCACTTAGCATTTTCTGATACTATATTATTTGTTTATATACTTATTCTCTGTCTCCCCCTTTCCAACCAGACTGTAAGCAATTTAAATGGAAGCTTTGTTTGTCTTGCTCATCACCATATCTTCAGAATCCAAACCAGCCTCTGCTATATATTAGGTACTCAGTAAATATTGATTACATAAATAAATGGAAACATAGATCCTATTCTGACATTTTGCATCCATGGAGAGGTTATTTAATGCTCTGATGTTCTATAGATAGTTATAGGCAAAGTCAGGCTAAAATCCAAGTTTCTTGACATCGTTTTTGTTGCATTAAAATTTTAACTCATTTTCAAAGAAAAACAAACACTCGTACTCTTTACTTAGCTAAACAGAGAAGTGGCATTAAAATATGAATCAGATTTACTGACATTATCCTTTACCCCAAAGATTGGGTACTTTTCTAGCTCCTACTATTCTCTATATCCATAAAATTCTAAAATCCTGGGCAATATAGACACTTTTAAAATAATCAGTTTAGCCATCTTAAGCCTGAGTTATCAGTAACAGTCATATTAAAATGGCCTGCAACATGAAACAAAACCTGTTTGTTTACTTAATTCCTTTCCATGCTTTTTTTCTTAATACAGATAATTGGTAGCAAACAGAGTTCACCCTATCTGCATATTGAGCATTTTATTATTTTAAAGCTCTCAAGTGAGAAGACAAAATTGATTTAATATGTATAAAAATTATGTCAATTTGCTTTTCTCTTTTGGTAACAGATTAAAGCCCCTTGTATACCAGATTTACATGAATGTATGCAAGTTCTTTTCTATTTCAAAACATTTTTTGAAATTAAGGTCATCTATAAATGTTAATAGAAATTGCTAACATCTTCTGTCATAAAATTTGTAGTGTTATAAAGTCAGCTTGGTATCCAATTTTCCTTACCTGTCTGTCAAAACTAGTTTCTCTATCCCTTAGTATAATATCTTTCTTTCTACTTATGTTACTTTATATAACCTCTTGGTAATTAGATATTATTTATCTGGCTGAATAATGTGAGCAGTATTAATTGTATTCACAATAACAGGTATAACCACTTCTCAGCAACTAATGAACAATATGCTATTAATCTCATCCAAAAATTTTAAACTTTTCTTATCTTTTTTTAGCACACCTTTTATTTCTAAAGAAGTTTGCAGTATGATTATATGCAAAAATTAATCAAAAATTTAGTTAGCAAATTAATCAGTGGTAGTCACAGAATAACAAATCCATAATGTAGTTAACTTGTCTCACTACATATGTATGAGTTTTCCTAGTGTTTAGAATTATCTTCTATTGGGAACAATGGCTATTCATGAACTCATTAATTCATTTGTTCAACAAATCTATGGGATTTCCACCTCATTCCAGACACTGCCCTCAAGAAACTCCTTCTTACCAGTCATCTTCTTCACACAGCTATAAAATAACAGTCCAGACCTCTCCTTGAGCCCCAGACCCATGTATCCAACCCCTACAAGACATCTCCAATTACACGTTCCACAGGAACTTCAAACTCAGTGAGAACCCTGAATCCCAGGGACTGAGTTACGTTCTCCTTCTTATACCAGCATATCGCCCTCTGAGCTTACTCCCAAAAGAAGGCAGGAGAAAGGCACTAAGCCAGCTATTCTAGCCCAAAATATGAACCAGGTTTGGTGAACCTCCCCATAGGTAAAGTCAGTAAAGGAATAGGGAGAGGACCAAAATGTGTTTAGGTAAACACATTTTGATTTCAAGGAAGTCAAGAGTAGGGAAAAGCTCTTCCCTGCCTGGCACAAGAGGAGGCCTCCCAGTCTCTACTCCAGCACTACTAACCATTGTTTTCATTGGTCAGTGCCCAGACTATTCAGCTTCTCCCAAAAGCCCCACATATTTCTGCTTTCACCCATCAAGGATTCACTGGTATAAGAATTTCTCTTCTACTAAAAACAGTTAGAAAACAGGGCAAAATATATGAACCAATTATTCATAAACTTTGGATAATAGGCACCACAAGGCTGATACTGAAAGAAAAGAAACAAATAAATTAAGCCCTACGATTGTCCTAGAAACCTGAAGGCAGTTTCTAGGCTACAGCACAGAGAGGGGGAGCCAAAAAGAGACTATACTCTTAAGGAATTGTGAAGAAACGTATAGAAGTTCAGGGAGTCTGAAATGCCTAGAATTTTTAGGACAGAGAAATGAAGAGGAGGGAGCTGCCTAGAAAGAAAATCTGGAGATCTGAAAGGGGTTTTCATTGAGTCTTCAACTGATGACCAATTTGTATATGATGGGGTTGAAACTAGGAAGCCAAGGAAAGATCACTGAAAATCAGGAGGCTGAACAATTCCTCGAGCTTACTTACGTCTAAAAATAGTTTGTGCTTCCATAAGCCAAAGTGGAGAAGTATTATAATACATAATTAGGTAGAGTCCTCAGAGAAGTCATGCTTTAAAAGTGAGGATAAATTAACTCTAGAGTTAAGGCTGCTCTGAACCTTCCTGAACAAAGATAAAAAGGAACTTTCAAAAGGATTGAGTGAACCAAGTAACATGAATGTCTGCCAGAACAAAGTTCAGTATTCCTTTAAAAAAATACAACAAAATATAACTCACTTATTAAAATGTAAAATTAACAATGTTGAGCATCCAATAAGAAATTACTAGGCATGCAAAGAAATGAAAAATATGACCCCTACCAGAAGGAAAATCAATAAATAGAAACAGGCTCAAAATGGCAGAAATAATGAAATTCACAGACAAGAACCTTAATAGAGCTTTTACAAACATTTTTAATACGTTTAAGAATCTAAATGAAAACATGAATATGAGGAAAAGAGAAATAAAAGGTATAATAAAAGACCCAAATGGAACTTCTAGAGATTAAAAATACAGTATCCAAAATGAAAAAAGAAAAGTCACTGAATGAACTGAAAAACAGAGTGGATTGTTCAGAAGAAAATATCAGTACACTTAAAGACACAGCAATAGAAACCATGGTAGCCAACCTCCAAGATGGTAACAATGGTAGCCAACCTCCAAGATGGTACCAATGATCCTCAATTCCTCGTACTTGTGTCATTGTGTAATACCCACCCATTGTGTAATACCAGGATTTGATATGTCTGTGTGATCTTCAGATTGGAGCAGAATTGAAGTTATGTGATTCCTAAAGCTGTCATAAAAGACATTCCACTCTCATCTTGCTCAGTTGAATCACTTGCTATGAGGGAAGTCAGCCATCAAGTCACAAAAACACTCAAATGACAGCAACTGTGGAGCAGTCCAAATGGCAAAGGACAGAGACCTCCTGCCAACAGTCAGAACCAACTTATCAACAATGTAACTGAGCCATCTTGGAAGTAGATCTTCAGCCCTTATTAAGTCTTCAAATGACTGCAATCCTAAGACAGTATCTTGACTGCAACTTGATGAGAGACACTCCAAGCCAGAACCATTAGCTAAGTCACACCCAAATTCATGATCCACAGAAATCATTTGATATATGTTTATCGTTGGTTTAACCTATTAATTTTTAGAATAATTTGTTGAGCAGCAACAAATACCTAATTCAGAGACTACTTAAAATGAATAGCACATGGAAAAAAAGTTTTTTAAAAAGCCTTAGCAGAATAATATCAAGCAGAATAAAATACATGTAATTGGAGTCCAGAATAAAAGGTGAGAATTAAAGTGGGGACCAAAAAAAATTGAAAATATGTGGCTAAAATATTTCCAAATTTGATGACTATAAAACCGCAAATCCTAGAAGTTCAATAAAACCCAAGTGAAATAAACATTTAAAAAACAATTAGGCTTTTCTCCCCCATGATGGAAGATTAGATGCTTTTCTAGCATCCTTCACCTACTTGGAAGAAGCAAAACAGTGTTTAGAGATTCACACTCAAAAAGGAACACAAGAATTCAACAGAAAAGCAAAGGACATTAGCCTTTTGTCAGATGAGTAGGTTGCAAAAATTTTCTCCCATTCTGTAGGTTGCCTGTTCACTCTGATGGTAGTTTCTTTTGCTGTGCAGAGGCTCTTGAGTTTAATTAGATCCCATTGTCAATTTTGGCTTTTGTTGCCATTGCTTTTGGTGTTTTAGACATGAAGTCCTTGCCCATGCCTATAAATCATGCTGCTATAAAGACACATGAACACATATGTTTATAGCAGCACTATTCACAATAACAAAGACTTGGAACCAACCTAAATGTTCAACAGTGATAAATGGGATTAAGAAAATGTGGCAGGAGGAGCCAAGATGGCTGAATAGGAACAGCTCCAGTCTACAGCTCCCAGCGTGAGCAACGCAGAAGATGGGTGATTTCTGCATTTCCATCTGAGGTACCCTGTTCATCTCACTAGGGAGTGGCAGACAGTGGGCGCAGGACAGTGGGTGCAGTGCACCATGTGCCAGCTGAAGCAGGGCAAGGCATTGCCTCACTCAGAAAGTGCAAGGGATCAGGGAGTTCCCTTTCCTAGTCAAGGAAAGGGGTGACAGACGGCACCTGGAAAATCGGGCCACTCCCACCCAAATACTGTGCTTTTCCAACCAGCTTAGGAAACAGCACACCAGGAGATTATATCCCACACATGGCTCGGAGGGTCCTACGCCCACGGAGTCTCGCTGATTGCTAGAACAGCAGTCTGAGATCAAACTGCAAGGTGGCAGCAAGGCTGGGGGAGGGGCGCACACCATTGCCCAGGCTCGCTTAGGTAAACAAAGCAGCTGGGGACCTCGAACTGGGTGGAGCCCACCACAGCTCAAGGAGGCCTGCCTGCCTCTGTAGGCTCCACCTCTGGAGGCAGGGCACAGACAAACAAAAAGACAGCAGTAACTTCTGCAGACTTAAATGTCCCTGTCTGACAGCTTTGAGGAGAGCAGTGGTTCTCCCAGCACGCAGCTGGAGATCTGAGAACAGGCAGACTGCCTCCTCAAGTGGGTCCCTGACCCCTGACCCCTGACCCCAGAGCAGCCTAACTGGGAGGGACCCCCCAGTAGGGGCAGACTGACAACTCACATGGCTGGGTACTCCTCTGAGACAAAACTTCCAGAGGAATGATCAGACTGCAGCATTCACGGATCACGAAAATCTGCGGTTCTGCAGACACCACTGCTGATACCCAGGCAAACAGTGTCTGGAGTGGACCTCTAGCAGACTCTAACAGACCTGCAGCTGAGGGTCCTGTCTGTTAGAAGGAAAACTAACAAACAGAAAGGACATCCACACCAAAAACCCATCTGTACATCACCATCATCAAAGACCAAAAGTAGATAAAACCACAAAGATGGGGAAAAAACAGAGCAGAAAAACTGGAAACTCTAAAAAGCAGAGCGCCTCTCCTCCTCCAAAGGAACACAGCTCATCACCAGCAATGGAACAAAGCTGGATGGAGAGTGACTTTGATGAGTTGAGAGAAGAAGGCTTCAGACGATCAAACTACTCTGAGCTACAGGAGGAAATTCAAACCAAAGGCAAAGAAGTTGAAAACTTTGAAAAAAAATTTGGACGAATGTATAACTGATGGAGCTGATGGAGCTGAAAGCCAAGGCTCGAGAACTATGTGAAGAATGCAGAAGCCTCAGGAGCTGATGCGATCCACGGGAAGAAAGGGTATCAGTGATGGAAGATGAAATGAATGAAATGAAGCGAGAAGGGAAGTTTAGAGAAAAAAGAATAAAAACAAATGAATGGAGCCTCCAAGAAATATGGGATTATGTGAAAAGACCAAATCTATGTCTGATTGGGATACCTGAAAGTGACGGGGAGAATGGAACCAAGTTGGAAAACACTCTGCAGGATATTATCTGGGAGAACTTCTCCAATCTTGCAAGGCAGGCCAACATTCAGATTCAGGAAATACAGAGAACGCCACAAAGATACTCTTTGAGAAGAGCAACTCCAAGACACATAATTGTCAGATTCACCAAAGTTGAAATGAAGGAAAAAATGTTAAGGGCAGCCAGAAAGAAAGGTCGGGTTACCCACAAAGGGAAGCCCATCAGACTAACAGCTGATGTGTCAGCAGAAACTCTACTAGCCAGAAGAGAGTGGGGGCCAATATTCAACATTCTTAAAGAAAAGAATTTTCAACCCAGAATTTCATATCCAGCCAAATTAAGCTGCATAAGTGAAGGAGAAATAAAATACTTTACAGACAAGCAAATGCTGAGAGATTTTGTCACCACCAGACCTGCCCTAAAAGAGCTCCTGAAGGAAGCACTAAACATGGAAAGGCACAACCGGTACCAGCCACTGCAAAATCATGCCAAAATGTAAAGACCATCGAGACTAGGAAGAAACTGCATCAACTAACGAGCAAAATAACCAACTAACATCATAATGACAGGATCAAATTCACACATAACAATATTAACTTTAAATGTAAATGGACTAAATGCTCCAATTAAAAGATACAGACTGGCAAATTGGATAAAGAGTCAAGACCCATCAGTGTGCTGTATTCAGGAAACCCATCTCACATGCAGAGACACACATAGGCTCAAAATAAAAGGATGGAAGAAGATCTACCAAGCAAATGGAAAACAAAAAAAGGCAGGGGTTGCAATCCTAGTCTCTGATAAAACAGACTTTAAAACAACAAAGATCAAAAGAGACAAAGAAGGCCATTACATAATGGTAAAGGTATCAATTCAACAAGGAGAGCTAACTATCCTAAATATATATGCACCCAATACAGGAGCACCAAGATTCATAAAGCAAGTCCTGAGTGACCTACAAAGAGACTTAGACTCCCACACATTAATAATGGGAGACTTTAACACCCCACTGTCAACATTACACAGATCAATGAGACAGAAAGTTAACAAGGATACCCAGGAATTGAACTCAGCTCTGCACCAAGCAGACCTAATAGACATCTACAGAACTCTCCACCCCAAATCAACAGAATATACATTCTTTTCAGCACCACACCACACCTATTCCAAAATTGACCACATAGTTGGAAGTAAAGCTCTCCTCAGCAAATGTAAAAGAAGAGAAATTATAACAAACTGTCTCTCAGACCACAGTGCAATCAAACTAGAACTCAGGATTAAGAAACTCACTCAAAACCACTCAACTACATGGAAACTGAACAGCCTGCTCCTGAATGACTACTGGGTACATAACAAAATGAAGGCAGGAGTAAAGATGTTCTTTGAAACCAGTGAGAACAAAGACACAACATACCAGAATCTCTGGGACACATTCAAAGCAGTGTGTAGAGGGAAAGTTATACCACTAAACGCCCACAAGAGAAAGCAGGAAAGATCCAAAATTGACACCCTAACATCACAATTAAAAGAACTAGAAAAGCAAGAGCAAACACATTCAAAAGCTAGCAGAAGGCAAGAAATAACTAAAATCAGAGCAGAACTGAAGGAAATAGAGACACAAAAAACCCTTCAAAAAATTAATGAATCCTGGAGTTGGTTTTTTGAAAGGATCAACAAAATTGATAGACCACTAGCAAGACTAATAAAGAAAAAAAGAGAGAAGAATCAAATAGACACAACAAAAAATGATAAAGGGGATATCACCACCGATCCCACAGAAATACAAACTACCATCAGAGAATACTACAAACACCTCTACGCAAATAAACTAGAAAATCTAGAAGAAATGGATAAATTCCTCGACACATACACTCTCCCAAGACTAAACCAGGAAGAAGTTGAATCTCTGAATAGACCAATAACAGGATCTGAAATTGTGGCAATAATCAATAGCTTACCAACAAAAAAGAGTCCAGGACCAGATGGATTCACAGCCGAATTCTACCAGAGGTACAAGGAGGAACTGGTACCATTCCTTCTGAAACTATTCCAATCAATAGAAAAAGAGGGAATCCTCCCTAACTCATTTTATGAGGCCAGCATCATCCTGATACCAAAGCCGGGCAGAGACACAACCAAAAAAGAGAGTTTTAGACTAATATCCTTGATGAACATGGATGCAAAAATCCTCAATAAAATACTGGCAAACCGAATCCAGCAGCACATCAAAAAGCTTATCCACCATGATCAGGTGGGCTTCATCCCTGGGATGCAAGGCTGGTTCAATATATGTGAATCAATAAATGTAATCCAGCATATAAACAGAACCAAAGAGAAAAACCACATGATTATCTCAATAGATGCAGAAAAGGCCTTTGACAACATTCAACAGCCCTTCATGCTAAAAACTCTCAATAAATTAGATATTGATGGGACGTATCTCAAAATAATAAGAGCTATCTATGACAAACCCACAGCCAATATCATACTGAATGGGCAAAAACTGGAAGCATTCCCTTTGAAAACTGGCACAAGACAGGGATGACCTCTCTCACCACTCCTATTCAACATAGTGTTGGAAGTTCTGGCCAGGGCAATTAGGCAGGAGAAGGAAATAAAGGGTATTCAATTAGGAAAAGAGGAAGTCAAATTGTCCCTGTCTGCAGATGACATGATTGTATATCTAGAGAACCCCATTGTCGCAGCCCAAAATCTCCTCAAGCTGATAAGCAACTTCAGCATAGTCTCAGGATACAAAATCAAAGTACAAAAATCACAAGCATTCTTATACACCAATAACAGACAAACAGAGAGCCAAATCATGAGTGAATTCCCATTCACAATTGCTTCAAAGAGAATAAAATACCTAGGAATCTAACTTACAAGGGATGTGAAGGACCTCTTCAAGGAGAACTACAAACCACTGCTCAATGAAATAAAAGAGGATACAAACAAATGGAAGAACATTCCATGCTCATGGGTAGGAAGAATCAATATCGTGAAAATGGCCAGACTGCCCAAGGTAAATTATAGATTCAATGCCATCCCCATCAAGCTACCAATGACTTTCTTCACAGAATTGGAAAAAACTACTTTAAAGTTCATATGGAACCAAAAAAGAGCCCGCATCGCCAAGTCAATCCTAAGCCAAAAGAACAAAGCCAGAGGCATCACACTACCTGACTTCAAACTATACTACAAGGCTACAATAACCAAAACAGCATGGTACTGGTACCAAAACAGAGATATAGACCAATGGAACAGAACAGAGCCCTCAGAAATAATACTGCATATCTACAACTATCTGATCTTTGACAAACCTGACAAAAACAAGAAATGGGGAAAGGATTCCCTATTTAATAAATGGTGCTGGGAAAACTGGCTAGCCATATGTAGAAAGCTGAAACTGGATCCCTTCCTTATACCTTATACAAAAATTAATTCAAGATGGATTAAAGACTTAAATGTTAGACCTAAAACCATAAAAACCCTAGAAGAAAACCTAGGCAATACCATTCAGGACATAGGCATGGGCAACGACTTCATGTCTTAAACACCAAAAGCAATGGCAACAAAAGCCAAAATTGACAAATGGGATCTAATTAAACTAAAGAGCTTCTGCACAGCAAAAGAAACTACCATCAGAGTGAACAGGCAACCTACAGAATGGGAGAACATTTTTGCAACCTACTCATCTGACAAAGGGCTAATATCCAGAATCTACAAGGAACTCAAACAAATTTACAAGAAAAAAACAAACAACCCCATCAACAAGTGGGCGAAGGATATGAACAGACACTTCTCAAAAGAAGACATTTATGCAGCCAAAAAACACATGAAAAAATGCTCATCCTCACTGGCCATCAGAGAAATGCAAATCAAAACCACAATGAGATACCATCTCACACCAGTTAGAATGGCCATCATTAAAAAGTCAGGAAACAACAGGTGCTGTAGAGGATGTAGAGAAATAGGAACCCTTTTACACTGTTGGTGGGACTGTAAACTAGTTCAACCATTGTGGAAGTCAGTGTGGCAATTCCTCAGGGATCTAAAACTAGAAATACCATTTGACCCAGCCATCCCATCACTAGGTATATACCCAAAAGATTACAAATCATGCTGCTATAAAGACACATGCACACGTATGTTTATTGAGGCACTATTCACAATAGCAAAGACTTGGAACCAACCTAAATGTCCAACAACGATAGACTGGATTAAGAAAATGTGGCACATATATACCATGGAATACTATGCAGCCGTAAAAAATGATGAGTTCATGTCCTTTGTAGGGACATGGATGAAATTGGCAGCCATCATTCTCAGCAAACTATTGCAAGGACAAAAAACCAAACACTGCATGTTCTCACTCATAGGTGGGAATTGAACAATGAGAACACATGGACACAGGAAGGAGAACCTCACACACCGGGGACTGTTGTGGGGTGGGGGGAGGGGGGAGAGATAGCATTAGGAGATATACCTAATGCAAAATGATGAGTTAATGGGTGCAGCACACCAACGTGGCACATGTATACATATGTAAAAAACCTGCACGTTGTGCACATGTACCCTAAAACTTAAAGTATAATAATAATAAAATTTTAAAAAATAATAAAATAAATAAAACAAAGGTGACAGATTGCATCATCAGCAGATCTGTATTACAAGAAATGTTAAAGGAGGTTCTTTGAGAAAAAAATAAACAGGAGAAAATGTGATACTACTCAATGAAGAGATGAGTAAATATGTGAGCAAATAAAATTGTTATCATTTCTAATATTGGCAAAAGATGACTGAAGTGAAAGAAGCCAGATACAAAATGTCACATATTGTATGAGTGCATTTATATGACATATGTATAATAGGTTAATGCATGGAGACAAAAAGCTGACTGGTGGTTACCAGAGGCTGGAGAGAGTAGGGAATGGAAAATAACAGCTTAATGAGTACAGAGTTTTCTTTTGGGGTGATAAAAATGTTTTGGAACTAGAGAGATGTTGTGGTTGCATAACATTGTGAATGTATTAAATGCCACTGAGCTCTTCACTTTAAAATGGTTACTTTCCTTGTGTAAAGTTTACCTCAATTTTCTTAAAAAGAAAATTGACAGCTTAAAGCAAAATTAGTAATTATTGTGGTGTTTGTAGAAGTAAATAGTATGTCAAGAATAAAAGAGAGAATAGGAATAAGAAATAGAAATATATTTCTGTAAGTAAGTTTCTTACACTATATATTAGTCTGTTCTCACACTGCTAGAAAGAACTACCTGAGACTTGGTAATTTGTGAAGAAAAGAGGTTTAATTGACTCACAGTTCCACAGACTATACCAGAAAGCATGACTGGGAGCCCTCATGAAACCTACAATCATGGCAGAAGGTGAAGGGGAAGCAAGCACCTTCTTCACATGGTGGCAGCAGAGAGAGTGAGAAAGAGAAGAGGTAAGTGCCACACACTATTAAACCATCAGGTCTTGTGAGAACTTATGATTGCAAGGGGGAATTCTGCCCCCAAGATCCAATTACTTCCCACTAGGTTCCTCCTTTGCTTCAATGTGTGATTTGGGTGAGAACACAAATCCAAACCATATCATTCCACCCCTGGCCCCTCCCAAATCTCATGTCCTTCTCACATTTCAAAACCAATTATGCCTTCCCAACAGTCCCCCAAAGTCTTAAGTCATGCCAGCATTAACTTGAAAGTCCAAGTCCAAAGTTTCATCTGAGACAAGGCAAGTCTCTTCCATCTATGAGCCTGTAAAATAAAAAACAAGTTAGTTACTTCAAGATACATTGGGGGTGCAGGCATTGGGTAAATATTCCCATTCCAAAAAGGAGAAATTGGCCAAACAAATGGGCTACATGCTCCATGCAAGTCTGAAACTCAGCAGGGCAGCCATCAAATCTTAAAGCTTTGAAATAATTTCATTTGACTCCATGTCTTACATCCAGGACACACTGAAGCAAGCAGGGGGTGGGCGCCCATGGCCTTGGGCAGCTCCACCCCATGGCTCTGCACAGGATGGCACTGAGTACCTGTAGCTTTTCCAGGCACAAAGTGCAAGCTGTCAGTGGATCTACCATTCTGGGGTCTGGAGGATGGTGGCCCTCTTCTCACAGCTCTGCTATGCAGTGCCCCAGTGAAGACTCTGTGTGGGGGCTCCAATCCTACATTTCCTTTCCACATTGCCCTAGTAGAGGTTCTTCATGAGGGCTCCACCCCTGCAACACCACATGGAAGTCACCAAGGCTTGGGGCTTGCACTCTCTGAAGCAATGGCCTGAACTGTACCTTGGCCCCTTTTAGCCATGGCTGGAGCTGGAATGGCTGTGATGCAAGTCACCATATCCTGAGGCTGCAGAGAGCAGCAGGGCCTTGTGCCTGGCCCAGGAAACCATTTTTCCCTCCTAGGCCTCCTGAGTGATGGGAGGTGCTACCTCAAAGGTCTCTGAAATGCCCCAGAGACATTTCCCCATTGTCTTGACTATTAACATTCAGTTCCTCTTTACTTATTCAAATTTCTACAGCCAGCTTGAGCTTGAATTCCTCTCCAGAAAATGGATTTTTCTATTCCATCAAATGGTCAGGCTGCAAATTTTCCAAACTTTTACGCTCTGCTTCCCTTTTAAATATAAGTTCCAATTTCAGACCATCTCTTTCTTTATGCAAATGAGCATAGGCTTTTAGGAGCCTCCAGGTCACATTTTCAAGGCTTTGCTGCTTAGAAATTTCTTCTATCAGATACCCTAAATCATCTCTCTCAGGTTCAAACTTACACAGATCTCTAGGGCTGGGGCAAAATGCTGCCAGTCTCTGCTAAAGCATAGCAAGAGTAACCTTTACTCCAGTTTCTAATAAGTTCCTCATCTCCATTTGAGACACCCTCTGTCAAGCCTCTGAGTCCAAGCTAAGGCATCATATCCCCTATGACCTGCATGTATACATCCAGATGGCCCAAAGCAACTGAAGAACACCAAAGAAGTGAAAATAGCCAGTTCCGGCCTTAACTGATGACATTCCACCATTGTGATTTGTTCCTGCCCCACCCTAACTGATCAATTGACCTTGTGACATTCCTTCTCCTGGACAATGAGTCTCAGAAGCTCCCCACTGAGCACCCTATAACCCCCACCCCTGTCCACAAGAGAAAACCCCTGTTTGACTGTAATTTTCCACTATCTACCCAAATCCTATAAAACTGCCCCACCCCATCTCCCTTTGCTGACTCCTTTTTTGGACTCAGTCCACCTGCACCCAGGTGATTAAAAAGCTTTGTTGCTCACATAAAGCCTGTTTGGTGGTCTCTTCACATGGCCAAGCATGTCACCCTCAGCCTGGACTTCATTTTCCATATCACTATCAGCATTTTGGTCAAAAGCATTCACCAAATCTCTAGGAAGTTCCAAGCTTTCACATATCTTCCTGTCTTCTTCTGAGTCCTCCAAACTGTTCCAACCTCTGCTCATTACCAGTTCCAAAGTCACTTCCACATTTTCAAATATCTTTATAGCAGTGTCCCACTCTTCTAGTACCAATTTTCTGTATTAGTCCATTCTCACATTGCTAGAAAGAACTACCTGAGAGTGAGTAATTTATGAAGAAAAGAGGTTTAATTTACTCCATTAATTACCTGACCTCCATAAGCCACTACTTTAACTGGAGGACCACAGTGATGTTTTGGGTCCCTTGGAATCAATGTCAGCTCAGAGCCAGTGTCCAGTATTCCCTGAAAGATCTGATCATTTCCCTTTCCTTAATGCACAATTACTCTGGTAAAAGGTTGAAGGTCAGGCCGGGCACAGTGGCTCATGCCTGTAATCCCAGCACTTTGGGAGGCTGAGGCAGGCAGATCATAAGGTCAGGAGTTCAAGACCAGCCAGGCCAACAAGGTGAAACCCTGTCTCTACTAAAAATACAGAAATTAGCTGGGCATGGTGGCATGTGTCTGTAATCCTAGCTACTGGGGAGGCTAAGGCAGGAGAATTGCTTGAACCAGGACCCAGGAGGCAGAGGTTGCAGTGAGCCGAGATTGTGCCACTGCACTCCAGCCTGGGCTACAGAGTGAGACTCTGTCTCAAAAAAAAAAAACAAAAACAAAAAACAAAAAAAAAGGTTGAAGGTCTCCTTGGGGAAGGATGGGAGAAAGATTAACAGCATAAATTGTTTGTAGTGTAGTGGGGTCCTTCCTCAAGGGGTTCTGGGTCTGTAAACTGGTTCAAGTCTGAAAATTGATTGAGGGGCTGTGATTCTGTTTTTATAATTCAAATTGGTCTTTTGTCCATTTGACCTGGAAATTTTCTGCTTATATAAATTAAGTAAGGATGCAGTAGGCTTCCTATAAACTTCACTTCTAGCTACATCATGATTAGTTAGCCAATGCCAGAACTCTACATGCATCAGACTATTCTGATTGCTACTTTGCCTCTGCTGTCCATTGTGGTAGCTACACTCACCTTACCTTTGACAGTTGACTGCTGCCACTTAGCCCCTGCCACCTTGGAATCCAAGTGTTCTCATTTAAATTTTGTAGTTGAATGACTGCAGTTCCTACTGTAACATCTGGCACACAGAGAAGAGCAATTACAGAGCCCTTCAAGGATGCAAGTGCTCCCCTCACAAATCTGTTTTACAAAGTATTGGTCAAGGGTATATCTTCTAGACCCTCCCAGGTGGGATGAGGGGGTCTAAAGTGACTAATCTACTCCAGCATCCCAATCTCCCTAAGCGTTTGGATCCTCTACATTCAACCAAAAGAGATCAGGCTTTTCCAGCTTGCACACAGTGGGCTTTCTTTTAATCCGTATTTTAGCTAACCAAGCAAATAAACTATTAGAACCTTTTTCAGCTCCCCAAGCTGCAACATTAAATGCAGAGTCCCTACTTAGTGGGCCCAAATCAATAAATTCAGCCTGATTCAATCCTATGTTCCTTTTATCATTATCCCAAACCCTTAATATCCATTCCTTTGTCTGTTCTCCAGATTTCTGCTTATATAAATTTAAAACTTGAAGCAGTTAATGGAGTTTTAGCTCAGGTCTGACTTACAGTGGGTGCAGTGCATCCCTGGGCTCATCCTGTGGTCATTTTCTCAGTGTCAGTATGCATAATTGGCATAGATATACTTAGCACCTGGCAGAACCTCCACATTGGCTCCCTGACTGGTAGGGTGAAAGCTATTATGGTGGTAAGGGCCAAATGGAAGCCATTAGAGCTGCTTCTACCTAGGAAGATAGTAAATCAAAAACAATATCACATCCCTGGAGGGATTGTGGAGATTATTGCCACCATCAAGGACTTGAAAGATGCAGGGGTGGTGATTCCCACCACACCCCTGTTCAACTCTCCTAGTTGGCCTGTGCAGAAGACAGATAAATCTTGGAGAATGACAGTGGATTATTGTAAGCTTAACCAAGTGTTGACTCCAAATGCAGCTGCTGTACCAGATGTGGTTCCATTGCTTGAGCAAATTAACACATCTCCTGGTACCTGATATGCAGCCATTGATTGGCAAATACCTTTTTCTGCATTCCTGCCCATAAGGCCCACCAGAAGCAATTTGCCTTCAGCTAGCAAGGCCAGCAATGTACCTTTACTGTCCTACCTCAGGGTATATCAACTCTTCAGCTTTGTGTCACAATCTTGTTCAGAGAGATCTTGATCACTTTTCCACTCCACAAGATATCACACTGGTCCATTACATTGATGACATTGCGCTGATTGGATCCAGTGAGCAAGAAGTAGCAAACACCCTGGACTTATTGGTGAGACATTTGCATGCCAGAGGATGAGAAATAAAACTGACTAAAATTCAGGGACCTTCTACCTCAGTAAAATTCCTAGGGGTCCAGTGGTATGGAGCCTGTGGAGATATTTCTTCTAAGGTGAAGGATAAGTTGCTGCATTTGGCCCCTCCTACAACCAAGAATGAGGCACAATGCCAAGTGGGCCTATTAGGATTTTAGAGGCAACACATTCCTCATCTGGGTGTGTTACTCTGGCCCATTTATCAAGGGACTTCAAAGGCTGCCAGTTTTGAGTGGGGTCTAGAACAGGAGAAGGGTCTGCAACAGATTCAGTCTGCTGTGCAAGCTGCTCTGCCACTTGGGCCATATGACCCAGCAGATCCAATGGTGCTTGAGGTGTCAGTGGCAGCAGATAGGGATGCTGTTTGGAGCCTTTGGCAGGCTCCCACAGGTGAATCACTGCAGAGCCCTCTAGGATTTTGGAGCAAGGCCCTGCTATCTTCTGTAGATAACTACTCTCCTTTTGAGAG